>NC_000012.12:127699006-128000629 GCF_000001405.40 Homo sapiens | reverse complement strand
GGCTATGTCCACACCCATTCCTTCTTGATGGAGAAATCGGTTGCTTCCATCTTCCCACCAACACTCACAGTTGTTTACCCACAGCCCAGTGTGATAATGACCCTGGGTTATTTACCACTAACAGGACTGCAGAGAAAGGACATATATGTATATATATATTTATTTTCACAATTTAATCTGGTTCCACTAATTTGCTCTTTGGAAATCTGGCTGAGCCAGATTTATTTTGCCCCCAGCAGTGGCAAGGATCCCATTATGTTACGTCCTTACTAACTGTTGGAATTAATCCATCCTGCCCAGTATCCCCAACTGATGGGCATAAAGTGGTATCATGTTGCTCTCTTTTACATTCTTAGTTTCCTAGTTAGTTTGAACGTATCTTCAACTCTTAGCCTTTTCCTTTTGCAAGTATATTCTTAGGCATTTAGAATAGTCTAAGTGGCTGCTTTTTAAAAAATATTTTTAATTTTCATGGCTACACAGTAGGTATATATAACAGACTGCTTTGAAAGAAAGTCACATCTAACTATTTCAGCAGTTTTATTAGTGTTGATATTCATAATGGTTTCAGCATCGAGTGGACACTCAAACCAGGACAGCATTGCACAAATTGTAGACTGTGGGCTCCTGGGGATACAAACATACCCTCTCTAATGTGGATGTGTTGAGAAGAGTGCGTGAGTGTTTGGTCTGAGAATTCCATTCTATCCTACACTGCATGAATAAAGCCAAGTGCAATGATCTGTGTTAACAGCAGTTATAAGGAGGACTCCCTTTGAGATGGGACAGTGAGGAACAGTTGACTGGAGAAGGAGGTCTTTGGGTGGCTGCTGATGGATGGGGAGGAATTCTTGTTACCAAACCTCCATCGCTGCAAAGCACATTGGTGAATGAAGTCAAGAATGGAACTCCATAAGATATGATTAAGCTGATACGAGCACAAGGAAATGCCTTACAGTCTGGGGAAATCAAATAGAATATGAAAGCTTATAGGCAAAGTAACTTAGACAATAAACAGGTATATGAGTTAATAAAGATAAGCATAAACACCCTCTCTCAGCTTCCCAAACACCAATTTTTCCTACCACAGTTTGACATTTTTATTGTGATTTTTCATAGTTTATGGAAAATGAAAATAACCATCTATATGTATAATGTGAAATTATTTGCATAGATCATGTTTACTATTCTCTGCACTAAACGCCCTTAGTAGCAATTAATTTTTAACAGCTGTGCATGAAATTCTTAAGATATCTGATATATGTGTCTTTCTTATGGCTAATGAAAAAGTCTCTTTTTCTAGAAAAAGTGAAAGCTTGTTAGAAAAACATTTCATATTTATGCTGAGTCATCTTTTCCATAAATGTCATCTTTTTCTTTTTTCAATAACTAAACTAACTTTTACAATACAAAAGAATAGAATGGGCATGGCTGTGACTAATTTTGCTCCAGGATAATGGAAAATTTATATCCTTACAGGCTCAATGACCTGAGTCATGTGGCTCAGCTGCAGAGACCCCATCACTCACACTGGTCATGACGCGTTGCTTCAGTGTCCTGATGAGCAACCCTGCTTGTCAGTCCTTAGCAATGTATTGGATGCCACCTTTTAACAAATACGTATCTGCATTTTGCAGAATCGTATTTGCATTTTGCATTTTGCAGAATTTTAACAAATATGTATTTGCATTTTGCAGAATCAATAACGAAATGTGTTTTCTACACATCGGGTAGTCCTTTAACAGAATCATTTTTGTGAATCTGATTATTTCAGGAGACAAACACTCAAGAAAATGAATATATTTAATAATCATAATTATAGATAACCGCTGCTTATGGTAAAATATATAATACATTTTAATTTTCTCTGTTCCATTAAAATATAGGCTGGAGAGTGAAGCCATGCAGGTTTCATAGACAAGAATACGGTTGCCACTAGCACTTCAAAATAATGTGGTTCCTGACTCATGAGATTTTATCTGAATCTCCTTTTCCTCCACATTTATTTTAGAAGAATATTACTCCATAGTAAATAATGCAAAACTTTGAGCATTTATGAAGTGGTCCTAGGATACAGAGAAATGGCTTGGGAGCAATTTTTCCTTCCATTATTTTATTTTATTATTATTTTTTTGAGATGGAGTCTCACTCTGTCATCCAGGCTAGAGTGCAGTGGCGCCATCTCGGCTCACTGCAAGCTCCACCTCCCGGGTTCACGCCATTCTCCTGCCTCAGCCTCCCAAGTAGCTGGGACTACAGGCGCCCGCCACCACACCTGGCTGATTTTTTGTATTTTTAGTAGAGACGGGGTTTCACTGTGTTAACCAGGATAGTCTTGATCTCCTGACCTTGTGATCTGCCCGCCTCTGGCCTCCCAAAGTGCTGGGATTACAGGCGTGAGCCACCGCGCCCGGCCTCCTTCCATTATTTTTAATACTATTTTAGCATTATGGGGTGGATAATATGTTTATCATTTTTAAGCTTTTGCTTGAACCTAGTGTAATTCACTGATGATCACTGTGTATTCAAAAACTTAAAACAATAAACACACATATACACAGGGATCATTAGTGCATCGTGCCTTGAATTATCACAAAGTGGACAGAGGCACACATATGTCATCACCACTAAGGTCAGGAAACAGACATCTAGGAACATCCAGAACACGCCACAGCAGCCCCCTGTGATCACTGGCCTCGTCCTCCTTAAAGATAGCCATCATTTCCAGAGGATAAACCATTTTCCTTGTGGAGTCCAATACTGGAGATTTTATTTGGGAGAGTCCTTCATGTGGCTGGATGTGACCTTCATTCATTCATCTTTATTATGTATAGCGTATCATTGTGTGAATCCACTCACTTGTATTATCCATTCTGTTGTTGAGAGACACTTGAGTTGTTTTCAGTGTGCAGATCTCCTGAATAATGCTGCTAGGGGTATCCTGGCATATGTCTTGGTGGTCATGTAGTTTTGTTGAGTATAGTCCAAACACTGAAATTGCTTGACCATGGGGTGTATATTCGTTCAACTTGAGGAGATCTTGCTAAAATAGTTGTCCAAAGTAGTCAAAACAGATTTTATCCCTATTGTCAGTTTATGACTGTGAGACTTGCTCAGTATCTTTAGGAAAACATCACCTTGTCAAGCTTTTGAATTTTAGCCATCGAGTAAAATTTGTGATGATAGCTCATTGAGGCTTTAATTTTCACTGTCCTGGTAATTAATGAGGATATGCACATTTGGACGTATTTATATGACATTTTGGATACTTTTTGTGAAGTGACAATTCACATTTCTTTCTTTTTTTTTATTGTGTTCTATGTCATTTTCTTGTTGATTTTAGAATTCTTTATATGTTTTGGATATGAGATATTTGATGAATACATGTATATTGAAAGTACTTGTTCCAACTTGATGACTTCTCTTTAGATTCTAACATTGTCAAATTTGTAATTATTTAACTTTATTGTTACTGCTTTTTGTATCTTGTTTAAGATATCTTCGCATATCCCAAAGGCATGAAGATAGTATCTTATGTTTACTTCTAGAACATTTATTGGTTTGTTATTCACTTTAGATCTACACAATTCAACTATTTTTATTTATTGTGCACGGAATTAATTTTTCTCGTATAATATCTAGGAAACTCTACCGTTTATCATTAAAAATCACCTTTTCATAATTCTCTACATTGACAGAATATCATAAACTGAGTGGCCATTATGTGTGAGTAGGCGTCTGGGTTCTCTGCCTGGTTTCATTGGTTTATTTGTCTCATTCCGCACCTGTATCACACAGTCTTAATTAGTATGACATTAACTAAGTCTTGATATCTGGGAATATTTTTCCTAACTCTGTACTACATCTTCAAGATGGTTTTTGTTATTCTTGTCCTTTTACAATTCTATATACATTTTAGAATCAGTGCATACATTCTGATTTAAAATTTTGTTGAGGTTTTGATTGGGTGTGCATTGACTCTATAGATCAATTTGGTGACATTTACTTATTTGCACTATCAATTGTCCCAAGCTATGAATATTTTATATCCATTCATGTATTTTTAAAAAAATCTCTGAGTAATTTTTAAACTATTTTTATTGTGAAGGTCTTGCATATCTTCCTTTAGTTTTGTTCCTAGATATTTGTTTTTGTTATGTTGTAAATAGCATTGAAAAATCATTTATAACACATTGTTGCTGTAGAATATAAAACGCTGTTAAATGAAAAAACAATTGATTTTTTACATTGATTTGGTAACTGGAAAACTTGCCAAATTTACTCTTTAATTCAAATAGTTTTTCTATAGATTATTATAGATTTTTCATATATTTGTATGCATGTGTGCATGTATGTTTATATTTATACGCATATTCATGCTGTATTATTTTTATACATAAAATAATATATAAATTGTATATAATTATATATTAATTATATAAAATATTTTTATAAAATTTTATATATAATATGTATTTTGTATATATTATTTTTATATTTTTATATATTATTTTTATATAGCATAAATGTATATGTATAATATACACACATGCATGCATATATTTCTGTAAAATACAGAAACTTTATTTTTTCTTTTTTAAAATTTTTTTTAAATTATACTTTAAGTTCTGGGATACATGTGCAGAATGTGCAGGTTTGTTACATAGGTATACATGTGCCATGGTGGTTTGCTGCACCCATCAACCCGTCATCTACATTAGGTATTTCTCCTAATGCTCTCCCTCCCTTAGCCCCTGACCCCCCAACAGGCCCTGGTGTGTGATGTTCCCCTCCCTGTGTCCATGTGTTCTCATTGTTCAACTCCCCCTTATGAGTGAGAACGTGCTGTGTTTGGTTTTCTGTTCCTGTGTTAGTTTGCTGAGAATGATGGTTTCCAGCTTCATCCATGTCCCTTCAAAGGACGTCCATTGTGGAAGACAGTGTGATGATTCCTCAAGGATCTAGAACCAGAAATACCATTTGATCCACCAATCCCATTACTGGGTATATACTCAAAGGATTATAAATCATTCTACTATAAAGACACAAGCACGTGCATGTTTATTGCGGCACTGTTCACAATAGCAAATACTTAGAACCTACTCAAATGCCCGTCCATGATAGACTGGATAAAGAAAACGTGGCACATGAACACCATGAAATACTATGCAGCCATAAAAAATGATATATTTTTTCTTACTTTGTTTACTGACCCGGCCCTTAGTGTAATGTTGAATTGAAGTGGTGATAGCAGGAGGCTTAAGCCATTTCTGTATTCTTGAAGACAGATTTTGGCATCTGACTACTAGGTATAATACTTGATGTAATTATTTGTAGATACCTTTTATCACAGAAGTCAGCAAATTTTTTTTTCCATAAAGGGCCAGGTAGCAAATATGTTAGACTTTGTGGGCCACATGTAATTTCTATCACATATTCTTCTCTTTTATCACTTCCTTCACCTCTTCTTTTCTACCTCCTCCTTCTTCTTCTTGTTCTTTCATAACCATTTGACATTTTTAAAAAGAAAATTTTAGTTCAGAAACAGATCATGGGGCACCTGGTCCATGGAGGTAGCTGCAAAACCCAACTTTCAGATTAAGAACACTTCCATTTTCCAGGTATTTTTAAAATCATCAATAATGTAGACTTCTGGTTTTCTAAGAATTATAACAACAATGATTAATTTTGTGTGTTTTTTCCCTAAATCTATTGAGATTAATATGGATTTTTCTTCTTTATCTTCATAAAACTTTGCATCATGTTATTTTGCAGTAAGTAGCAAAGCCTTTTCTTTTTGATGGATTTTTAAACTAACCATAACACCTGATCTTTAAAGATTCTTTTATACTAACATGAAAGTTTTAAAAGATGTGAAATTTCTCTGCTTTTACAATTCACCCTCAGAAGCATCTACTATTAACATTTTGGTTTTAGTGTTCCTGTTTTTTTTTTTTTCCTATGGGATCTCAATTAAATTGTACATAATTCATATGACCCAGAAACTCTGTGTTTTTTGCTTAAAAGTAAATTTGATTGTCTAAAACAGGGGTCATTCTTAGAAAAAAATGAGTTTCTAGGTTGAATGAATAAAGAATGATATAATTATCTACCAAAAATCAGCTGAACCCTTGAGTATGCTCTTCAAATCTGTTAAAGTCATACATTTCAACATAGTCTGGAAAATGAAATGATATGTTTTCGGGTCAAAATTGGAAATAATAAAAGAAAAATGTAAAATCCAAAAACAGTCATTGGATTGGGTAGAGGGGAAATATGGTATAGAAGAAACATTGATTTGTGGTCATTCATTTACGTCTTCATTCATCGCCTCGTAAGGCATCACCCTTAATGCTGGCTTATCATGGTGAATGGGACAGATGTCCTTTCCTTTCAAGAGCTCACAAGCTACAGTGAAAGACAGAGTGAAATGGGTAATAGGATAAAATGTGGTGTTAAGGAAGGGTGATCTAGAAGCACACAGCACAGAGGCTTCCATACGCTGGAGTTAGGTTGGGTAGCCCAGAATCAGTGACTTGTCAGCAGAGACTGGAGTGTGTGGGACAAGAGAAAAGCAGGGTCGTCAGAGGGAACAGCCTGTGCAGAGGCTCAGAATGGAGACAAAGCAGGAGACTCCCAGTGTGATGTTGGGAGAGATGACCTCTGATGGAGCTGCTGGATGCTGGTTCATGAGGAGACCTGCAGCCAGACAGAGGAGTGTACATTTCATTCTAAGGGTGGAGGGCTATGATACAGGTGTATATTCCACCCTGCAGCAGGGAGGAAAGACTGTCATGCTCAAGAGTAGAGGCAGGGAGCCCTGTGGGAAAGCCATTGCAATAATTTGTGGAAGAGATGGTTGCAGCTTGAATTCAGATTAAGGAGGTGGCATAGAGATCAGGAAGTAGATTTGAGAGGTAGCCAAGGAGATAGAAGTAGTAAGATTCAGTAAGGCTGGGTGTTGTGGTTCACACCTGTAATCCTAGCACATTTGGAGGCTAAGGTGGGTGGATCACTTGAGGTCGGGAGTTTGAGACCAGCCTGGTCAACGTGATGAAACTACTAAAAATATAAAGATTAGCCAGGCATGGTGGCACATGCCTGTAATCCCAGCTACTCGGGAGGCTGAGGCAGGTGAATTGCTGGAACCCGGGAGGCAGAGGTTGCAGTGAGCCAAGATTGCACCACTGCACTCCAGCCTGGGTGACTCCATCTCAAAAAAAAAAAAAAAAAAACAAACGAAACTTGGTGATTGTGTCTACAGATGGAGTAGAGAACTGGGATTCCAGTCCCATAAGTGGAGTCACCTTAGGGATCTTGGGGATCCTAGGGTTTGGAAAATGAACTCTTTGCTGAAACCTGACTCTGGCAATGCTGGGACCAGAGCTGTGTGAGTTGAGGGCTGTCTGTGTAATGTCTTCTGCCCACGGTGCTCTGCTAAGTGCAGCCTTTCTCACTGAGAGCCTCTACCTTTCCCGATTGCTGCAAAACTCTGCTTCTTCTAATGCCTAGCATGGGTCATCTCCTCCACTGTGTCCATGTGGACTACCTGAGGCAGAGTGATGGTGCTCTCTTCTGTGATGCAGTGAGTACAGAGGTTAGCTCTGTCTATAGCTTATTTTAATTTTGCTTTCACATTTTAAAGCTAATTGATAATAGGCTCTGCAAGACTAGGAACCGTTCCTTGTATCTCAAGAAGCATCTGAAGAAGTCTTAAGCTCTGAAATTCAGATGCCTTTGGAAACCAAATGAATAAGATAAATTCATGAAGCAGTTGCATCAAGCCAATATATAATTGCCAAGGTTGCTTTGTTGTTTTCAAATCAAACGTTTGCCAATTATATGGTTTGAGAAAATTCTATGAAGACACTGGCTAGCAGTTGATAATGATTTAAGGTGAATGGTGGGTACTTTAGAGGTTATGATACTATTCTCTCTACATTTGAATGTGTGTGACATTTTCAACAATAGAAAGTTAGAAACATGCTGCCAGCATGAAACAAAACACACCTACCCTTTGTATCCAAGCTATAGCCACCATTGTGTGGCTCTTACAAGTGGCCTCTATGTAATTGCTAATGACAGAGGGGTGAGAGAAAGATGGGCTCAGGTTTACCCTGAGGTTCAAGGAAATTAATTTATTTCCAGCTGTTTCCAGGAGTATTCTCTTCACCTGTTGCTCCTTGTTTTTTCAGTTTTACACACACATGGACATGTTGGGCTGGGAAAGCTGGGTCTCGGCCTACCTATGAAGTTGATTTGATGCAGTATGTGTGATTTTAGAACAGAAAAGTGAGCTCAGCATAGTCACTGTTGGCTGCACAGCTTTGACTTGGACCCCAAGTTTACTTGTCTGTGAAACGGGAGATTTACAGATGTCAGTAATGACTAAATAGCACAGGATTTTTAATGATGCCTTAAATATTGTGTACTACTTTAAGCAAATGCAGATGGTGATTCTGCAAACCACAACAGTAATAGGTGTCATTTATGGACACTTCCTAAGTGACAGGGGATAAAGTCTGCAGACATGCTCACAGTTAACCTTCACACTGGCAGTAGTGATGCAGGGCAGGCAAGCCCTGAAATTGGGGCTTAGCCTGGGAGGGTTCTTGGCTTCACCCAGGAAATAAGTCAAGGGTGAGCTGGTGGTGTGAGACAGCAGCTCTTATTGAAGCGGCGTGCACAGCAGCAGCAGAGGCACTGATCCTTGCAGAGCAGGGCTCCCCCACAGGCAGTGCGTCCAGAGCAGCAGCTCAGAGGCAGTGCTGCAGTCGTATTTATATCCACTTTTAATTATATGCAAATTAAGGGGCAGATTATGCAGAAATTTATTTAAAAAGGGCTGGTAACTTCCGGGTCACTAGGTCATTGCCATGGAAATGGGCAGTAACGCCCAGGTGTTGCCATGGCAACAGTAAACTGACATGGCGCACTGATGAACATGTCCTATGGAAAGCTTCTTCCAGCCCCGCCCTGTGTTAGCTAGTCTTCAATTTGGTCCTGTGTCCAAGCCCCACCTCTATAGTTGAGTGCCGTTTGCTATCTCAGTGTTGTTACTCTATGAATATAAATAAGAAAACTGGGGACTAGTAAGCAGACACACCAGGCAGGGGGCCCAACACCAGGATTGGATGCAAGCCTGCCCCGCATGAAACCTGCACTCTTAGCTTGCCCTGCATGGATTTTCAGGGACTTAGGGACACAGTTGTTTCACTTTAAACCAAATTGTGATCCCCAGGCATGCTGAGGGCACAGGATTCACATTCTGTTTCAGCAGAATTTAGGGGAAGGAAATTTAGTGCATCTTCCAGCCAAGCAAACTTGGGCCTCTCAGGTTTCCACCCTGTGGGAATGACCAAGAGGCTGGTGGGTTAATGACAAAGGTGGCTCCAGCCCTCCCCCTCTGCCCCTTAAACTCCTTCTTTCTCAGCTGTGTTGGCTACAGGCAATGTTGTGGGGCGGGTGCTGGAAACAGAATGCACAAAACACACGGTGACAGTGCACGTGACCAGGACTGAACTTACCATGACTTACACACCTTGAGTGAACTCATCTTCCTTTTGCCAATTTTCCTGTATTCTTGTGAGCAAAATTCTACCCTGTATTTGGCTTCTTCGTAGGCCCTACATTTGTAGACCCATGCAAATGTGTTTCTCTCCACACACAAACACCACCAGATCTGATCGCAAAGGCTGATTTATGGGGACCAGTCACAGTGGCTCACGCCTGTAATCCCAGCACTTTGGGAGGCCAAGGCAGATGAATCACTTGAGGTCAGGAGTTCGAGACCAGCCTGGCCAACATGTTGAAACCCCATCTCTACTAAAAATACAAAAAAATAGTAGGGCATGGTGATGGGCGCTTGCTATCCCAGCTACTTGGGAGGCTGAGGCAGGAGAGTTGCTTGAACCCGGGAGGTGGAGGTTGCAGTGAATGGAGATCATGCCACTGCACTCCTGCCTGGGCAACAGAGCGAGACTCCATCTCAAAAAAAAAAATGAATAAATAATAAAACGAAGGCTGATTTATGGGGATTTGAAAACAAATAGGGAAACATCTAATAGAGTTTGAGCTGAATTCTCATGCTGCCTGTCTGAAAATATGCCATTGATACACCACTTACTAAAAGAAGAACTTCATATTTCTTTGAACTAAAATACCTTTTATCTTTGGAGTTTGGTTGAAAGAATCAACATAACAAAAAGCATCAACTCTGAAGCGGGTAGATCGCATTAAATAGAAAATTAGGAGAGTAGAATTCATGGGATATTATTGACTACATCAAACAATCTTCCTCAAGAGCAGAGAGAGAGAGAGAAAAGTAAAGGGCTTTAAACAATTTCACATGTGAAACCCACAGAGTTAATTACATTTTTCACATAATTATTTATATTATGCAGTTTTCTGTCTTTCATTTCTAAATAACTTCGACAAACTTTTATTTCCAATACATCGTTCTTCTGTAAGTTGCTAATTCAATGTAAAATTGACATAACTTTGCTAGCTCCTCCTTAGGGGACATTGGGACTCTTGCCTGATCTCTGAGTTTCTCCTTTACGTGGGGTGCAGTTTCGATCCTCTGGCAGGGCAGACCTGTGTGAAGGATCTGTCAGCAGAGGCAGAGGAGAGCGGCCCCAGGGGTCCCCATCCGGAGGAGCTGGAAGGGATGTGTTGTGATAACTGTACCCCAGAAGTCTGGGTCGTTTCTTCCCTGTACTCGGGAGCACCACGTTGCACAAAAACAACACAAAAAATTCACAGCTGTTTTAAGATGCAGCATTATGTATTATTCTAATACGAGCACCTGCTAATAAACTTCAATATTGGATTCTTATGCTTCAAAGTTGTGTGGTGCTAAAAATGGGACAGAGATTACATCGACTTATTGATATAGGACACAGAAATGTTATTTTCATATATAAAAGTTATATCTCTCAATATAAGAGCTTTGTCGCTTTTGTAAAAACAGAAGTGCACAGAATGTACAAAATAGATGATATGCTTGGGCTGTCAGGAACATCATCTTTGTGACCCCTTCAAACATGTCTTAAAAATGTTTATGGCCATGCACAGTGGCTCACGCCTGTAATCCCAGCACTTTGGGAGGCGGAGGCGGATCACCTGAGGTCAAGAGTTCGAGACCAGCCTGGCCAACATGTTGAAACCCCATCTCTACTAAAAATACAAAATTAGCTGGGCGTGGTGGCACGCGCCTGTAATCTCAGCTACTTGGGAGGCTGAGGCAGGAGAATTGCTTGAACCCAGGAGGCAGAGGTTGCAATGAGCTGAGATCGTGCCATTGCACTCCAGCCTGGGCAAAAAAGAGCAAAACTCCATCTCAACAAAACAAAACATGTTTATGATGCAGCGATACTTATTTCAATTCTAAAAACTACTAGTAAATTCTGATATTAGCTTCTATCTTTCAAAGCTCATGGGCTAAAACTGGGATAGAGAGACTTTCTAGATTGTAGGACAAAGAAGTATTGTTTTTATTAATAAACTTTTTTTTACACTAAGCAAGCATTATAATTTTGTAAAGAAGAAAGTCAGAAATATATAAATAGAAGTAAAAATTTAAAATATTTATTCACCATCATCTCTGTTTTCCTATCCCCAAATCCCATCCTCTGGACACACACACACACACACACACACACCACAACACATTCATATAGACACACACACAGACACATGTTCACAGATACACACATGCACACCCTCATATTTATAAACACACATACCCAAGTATTCAGGTGAGAGTCAAAGAGACATAGTAGCAGTCTTGTTCTTTTGCTGCAATTGTAATAAATTATATGGTTTGTGTCAAATGAATATAAGGCCTTCCTGGTTTATTATATAGTTTCTGGGAATTTGGTTGGCATAAATTGTGATCTCTGAGTCTAGCTCATTCTGGGGACTCAGACACTAAATATTTTTAACTTATAATGTGCAAGGATTGAAACACATTCATCATTGTCAAGATTTGTCACATGCTGGATTTTAGAGAGCCCAGTCAGAAGCTACTAGACCTCTAATAATTGAAACAGTAAATAAAATTATAATCACTGATAAATTATTTAAAAATTCAAATACAAAAGCTATTGAATATCTACTGAGATTCATCCACTGTGCTTATTACTTAGGACATAAAGCATAAACAGGACAAAACTCCTTACTATTTCCAAACTCTCAGCCTAACAAGTGAGACCGATATGTACATGAGAAGCAGCAAATTTAAATGTGCACAGGCCTTGAGCAGGTAATGACAAGATATGAATAGAACACATACAAGGCAGTAGAAAGTGGTGAGGCTTTGTGCTTCACCAACTAGTATATTCCCTTCTAAAGGCAACAAAATATTATAAAATATTCTGAAAAAAGATTTAAAGGTGTTTATGATGCAGCAATACTCATTGTTTCAATTCTAAAAACTGGTGTTTTAGGCCGGATTGAGCCAAGGTGTTGGTGACTTACAACACCTGAGGCAGACAATTAAATAGCATATTTGAAAAGCTCTAGGCAGAAATACAGCAGAAATTAATTATTCCTGTGGAAAGTGGAGGTGATCAGGAAGCTACAGACAGGAGGAATATTCCAGCAGTCCCAGGAGGGTGATTGGACATATACCAAGTGGAATGAGGCCGGCGTGGGGAAGAGAATTGCAGGGTGTTCTTCTAACATGAGACCCTCATTCCTCCTTTATCCAGAGCAGGTTGCTTCTCTCTGAGATATCTGCACAGGGGTGTGTGCCTGCATGTGCATGTAGACATACCTCTACATCTGTGTCAATACGGGATACATATAGGGATTGTATTTAAAAATAATTTACTACTCAAGCAAAAGTGCGAAAGTGCCGGCATTTATCAGCATGAATCACGTGGCGTCAGCTGACTCAGAGTGTTGGGCGTGCGTTGGTGGCGCCATGCTTTGGTGGTGCTGTGATTCCTGACACATAGGTATTCACCAGCTAAGGGCCTCTAGGAATTGTGCTTTACGTTGTCAGATTCACCTCAGGATGGTTTTTTCTTTCCTTAATGGAGTAGCTTCTGCAGAGAGAATCACATCTGGTGCTTCACTCAGTTCTCCCTGGATCCCTTTGGCTTCTGAAGCCTGCCCCAGCTATTTTCCTATCAAGAGTGCCTTCAGGCCACTGCGTCAACTGTCACCAGGAAGGGTCATAGAAAGGCTCGAGGGCCTGGGAGTTTACTCCCTCCCCACAGTGGCTCCCTGCCAGTGACTGATGATTCTGGCATGAGAAAGCCCAGTTCTCATCCCAAGGTCTCTTTATGAGACAGCTGATCTAAGACTGGGGCTGTGGCTAAACAGCACACATGTAGGTTAGCCCGCTGGAGTTCAAATTCCAACTCCACTGACCACGACGTTAACTGAGAAAGTGAGCTAAATATGCTGTCTGTGAAACAGGGTTGTGGTGAATATTAAATGAAAGAATCTCTGTAACATCCCCCAAGCTCGTGCGTGGGTACAGTGAGGACTCGGTGTACAGCGGTGACCCTATTATCCTGCAAAGGACATGAGGTGGCTTCTCTAGCCTGCTCCCACTTTTGATGTCCGAAGAAAGGAATGTTCCTATAGGGTATCAATCATGGCCTGGGTGGCTTGGCTTACTTTTTCTGGGAAGAAAACAAGCCCAGGTGAGCCAGAATGAGCTAATATGCATTAAAGTTCATGCCTGGTGATGTGGAAGCAAAGTGTGCTACAGGAAGATGGGCAGAGGCCAGCATGGCAGAGAATAGGTGCAGGGGATGGCCAGTGAGAGGTCTGTGTAGTCTGTGTGTGTGTGTGTGTGTGTGTGTGTGTGCGTGCGTGCATGTGATCATGAGAGAGGCATGTTTTTTCCCAGACCAGAAATGAGATGGAGGGAGAGGCATATGCTCCCGGAGCAATCTCTTATGCCTAGGGTGCTTGCTGATTTGCAAATGTCACCTTTCAAGGCTACAATATGAAGTCTCCTTTAGTTTTGGGAACAAAGGGATTGAAAGAAATTTACAGGTTTTGTTGTGGGATGGGTGGCGGAGAAGAACAAAATGTACCCAGTCATGCAATCCTTCCATGACTAGGGCTTTAGAAATTGAGGGCACGAGATTTTGCAGGAGTGAGACAAAAGTGGGATCCGAGGAGGGACAGGCATGACTGGCTGCAAATAGACTGCCTTTTCTCAAGGAAGCCTGTCTGATGTATTACGGAGAAGCCGAAGTGAGGTTAGTGGAGGCAAAGATTAAAAACGAAGCTTCACATTTTATGACATTTTGGTGCTCAGGCTGAAAGGGATCAGAAATGATAAATTCTTTGTGACATCTGGGTGTTTGGATCATTCCCTTCTCACCTGCAGCCTCTCTTCACTCACGAGTCAGATGTGGGTTTCTGCACGCAGCCCAGCAAGCTTCATAAACACCCCTTCAGCTGCTGTTGATGTGTAACGATCATGGCCAACCATATCAAGTACTAATGATGCATGTCACAACGAGGCTATATGTTCAATGCTTTATTCTGTGTTTTTTTTTTTTTTGGTCATCTGCACAAATGCCTTAGAATTAGTAAGCTCAAAAATTATTCTCATTTAATTTGTGCATTAACAGGCTCAGAGAGGGCAAGTGATTTGCTTAAAGCCACACAGCTTGATAATAATAAAGCTAGGATTTGAACTCAAGTTTTAACCTGGTATGTATTGGTAGTGTATTCTGACTCTTGGGCTATATAGTAAAAAATGAATCTTAAGTTACATCAGGCAACCAGCGCAAAATTTTCAGCTTCTTAAATTCATGATTTCTTTTTTTTTTGAGACAGAAGAAAAGTCTCAATAAATACAACATTTAATGTGTCAATTATCCATATTGAAATCTCTATGGTAATTACTTCAGAGTGGTAACATTATTTATAATTTCCTAATTCATAGAAAAAATATGTAAGTAAACATTTTCTCATTTGAAATAAGAAAAAACAGGCAAGACACAGAAAAACAAAAGCAGAATAAGTTGACAGCCCAAATATATTAAGAATTGCATTACATATAAGGAGACTGAATCTAACGATTAAACAAAAATAAATGCCCCTTTGAATTAAAATGAAATGATATTTATAGGAGATTCACTTAAAACAGAGATAAAGATTGAAAAAATTATACCATGCAAACAATACCAAAGAAAGATTGTGTGTCCAGAAAAATATTTGACAAAATAATCTTTATAATAAAGCGTGCAACTAGAGTTAAGAAGACTTCATAAAAGTTAAAAATCATTGAGAAGATAGAATTTTTTTTTTTTTTTTGAGACAGTCTCTCTGTGTCAACCAGTTTGTAGTGCAGCGGGATGATCTCAGCTCACTGCAACCTCTGCCTCCCAGGCTCAAGTGATCCTCCCACCTTAACCTCCCAAGTAGCTAGGACTATAGGCATGTACCACCATGCCTGGCTACTTTTTGTACTAGTTCCTTGATTTCTTATAATTATTGGAGACTTTATCCCTGCTCATTCCCTAGTCCCTTGGTGTCAGTTAGGTTGCTAAGGGCATTGCAGACAGGGCAGGTTAAGAGCAGGGCCCTGGTTTTAATACTGCTTTTACTGCTTCCCAACGCTGCCCCTAGACAAGTAGGTTTACATCTCTGAGCTTCAGTTTTGTCATCTCTAATATGAAGATCATAGCATCTCCCTCCCCAGGCTGCTGTTGGAATTCACGTAGGGACCCACATCTATAAATCAGTTTGCAGAATGTTCCACACATAACAAACGCCCATCAAATATGAATCATCATGACATCTTCTTACTGCTTCCCACAAAGACCATTTCTCACATAGTTTTGTATCACAACAGTTTTAGCTACTATCTGACCCTAGGATAATACTAGTCCATCAGTTTGATAACTGTTACGGCAAAAAAGAATGTACCAGCAATTTATAGAAACAGACATGCAAATGGCCATTAAATACGAAAATATAATGAAACTCACTGATATGGTTTGCCTGTGTCTCCACCTAAATCTCAACTTGAATTGTGTCTTCCTGAATTCCTACGTGTTGTGGGAGGGACCCAGTGGGAGGTAATTGAATCATGGGGCTGGTCTTTCCCACGCTATTCTCATGATAGTGAATAAGTCTCATTGTGTCCGGAACTGGTGGGTTCTTGGTCTCACTGACTTCAAGAATGAAGTTGCAGACCCTCATGGTGAGTGTTAGAGTTCTTAAAGGCCAGCGTGTCCGAAGTTTGTTCCTTCTGATGTTCAGATGTGTTCAGAGTTTCTTCCTGCTAGTGGGTTCGTGGTCTCGCTGGCTTGAAGCTGCAGACCTTTGCAGTGAGTGTTACAGCTCACAAAGACAGTGTGGATACAAACAGTGAGCAGCAGCAAGATTTATTGCAAAGAGTAAAAGAACACAGCTACCATGGTGCGGAAGAGAACCCCAACACGTTACCATTGCTGGCTCCCGCAGCCTGCCTTTAATCTCTCATCTGGCCCAACCCACATCCTGCTGATTGGTCCATTTTAAGGAGAGCCGATTGGTCTGTTTTACTGAGAGCTGATTGGTCCGTTTTGACAGGGTGCTGATTGGTGCGTTTACAATCCCTGAGCTAGACGTAAAGGTTCTCCAAGTCCCCACCAGAGTAGCTAGATACAGAGTGTAGATTGGTGCATTCACAAACCCTGAGCTAGACACAGGGTGCTGATTGGTGTGTTTACAAACCTTGAGCTAGATAGAGTGCTGATTGGTGTATTTACAATCAATAAATGCTAGACATAAAGGTTCTCCACGTCCCCACCAGACTCAGGAGCCCAGCTGGCCTCACCCAGTGGATCCCGCACCAGGGCCGCAGGTGGAGCTGCCTCCCAGTCCCGCGCCGTGCGCCGGCACTCCTCAGCCCTTGGGTGGTCGATGGGACTGGGCGCCCTGGAGCAGGGGGCGGCGCTTGTCGGGGAGGCTCGGGCCGCGCAGGAGCCCATGGTGGGAGGGGGGAAGGCTCAGGCATGGCGGGCTGCAGGTCCCGAGCGCTGCCCGGCGGGGAGGCAGCTAAGGCCCGGCGAGAAATTGAGCGCAGCGCCAGTGGGCCAGTACTGCTAGGGAGACCCGGCGCACCCTCCGCAGCTGCTGGCCTCGGTGCTAAGCCTCTCACTGCCCGGGGCCGCCAGCGCCGGCCGGCCGCTCGGAGTGTGGGGCCCGCCAAGCCCACGCCCACCCGGAACTCTCGCTGGTCCGCAAGCGCCGCGCGCAGCCCTGGTTCCCGCCCATGCCTCTCCCTCCACACCACCCCGCAAGCTGAGGGAGCGGGTTGCGGCCTTGGCCAGTCCAGAAAGGGGCTCCCACAGTGCAGCGGTGGGCTGAAGGGCTCCTCAAGTGCAGCTGGAGTGGGCACCAGGGCCGAGGAGGTGCTCAGAGCGAGTGAGGGCTGCGAGGGCTGCCAGCATTCTGTCACCTCTCATCATGAGATCGGATGGATTTATCAGGTGTTTCCAGTTTTGCTTCTTCGTCATTTTCTGTCTTGTCGCCACCAGATAAGAAGTGACTTTCGCCCTCTGCCATGATTGTGAGACCTCCTCAGCCACGTGGAACTGTAAGTCTAATTAAACCTCTTTCTTTTGTAAATTGCCCAGTCTCGGGTATGTCTTTATCAGCAGCGAGAAAATGGACTAATACATTCACTAACAGTTAACAGAAAGCCCATTAAAATCATGAACCATCCAATAATAGCAAATCTTGGCCAGGTGTGGGGAATTATGGGTTATTACTGTCTGCTGGTGGAAGTTGAATTGGCATAGTTACAGTGCGGTAACTATTCGGTAGTATCTATTGAATTATTTAATAAGTAAGCCCTCTAGCCTTTCAAGTCAACCTCTTCTAATACCTTGAGAAAAACGCACATGCATGTATAACGGAGAGACCCAGAAACACATCCCATCATTGTTGGCAGGACTGAAAAGTTGGAAATAACCAGTGTCTATCATTGACAGAAGTGGCTGATAAAACTTTATATCTCTGACTGGGCACAGTGCTCACACCTGTAATCCCAGCACTTTGGGAGGCCAAGGCGAGTGGATCACCTGAGGTCAGGAGTTCAAGACAAGCCTGACCAGCATGGTGAAACTCTGTCTCTACTAAAAATACGAAAATTAGCTGGGTGTGGTTTGGGCGCCTGTAATCCCAGCTACTCAGGGGGCTGAGGCAGGAGAATCACTTGAACCCGGGAGGCGTCAGTTGCAGTGAACCGAGATCGTGCCATTGCACTCCAGCCTTGGTGACAGAGCGAGACTCCATCTCAAAAAAACAAACAAAACAAAACCGTTATCTCTCCATGAAATACTTTGAGGCAGTTGGGAAAAAAAAAAAAGCTACAAATACAGATGTTGAAAAAAACTCCTAAGCCATATTTTTGAGTGCTAAAGTACATTATTAAATAACCATGCAGTATGATATTTTGTAAGGAAGCAAAGACAAAAACATTATATGCTCCAATTCCTATCCGTGGGTAAATATGTTAGCAAAACCTCAGGAGAAGATCTGGAAGGCTGTACATGACATTGATCATGATAGTTACATCAGGTCCCAGGGGAGTGAAGCGGTGACCCGAGGAGCGTGTGCTTTCTCTGCAGCATGTTAATTTTTTACTAGGAACGTTTATTACAAACTACCTACATGATTAAGTTATTTTAAGGATATGACAAACATTTTTCTATAACCTGTTTTAATAACATTTCAGCAAAGTGACTTTCTCTCTGCACCCTGCCTTATCCCTGTTTGAATTATTTTAATGTGCTTATTCCCAGCAGGGCAGAATCCTTGGTGTCTGTAGTCCTCAGAGCCCCTCGGGCACACATCAGTCTCATGGTCCCTGTCCTCATAATCTGTGAGGGACGACCCTGGAGGCTTTCTAGCATTCCACACTTAGGGTGTTCACAACCCATGCGCAGGTCTCCACATCCACTTTCCTCCTCCGCTTTCACTCTCTCTTGTACCTAAGATATACCTCCCTGTACTCTTCAGGCACATTCAAACCCCCACCCATCTTGCAATTGCTAACAGAAACTCAGCTGCTTTCAAGACAACTTTCCCCATTCCTAATAACTTCAGGTGAACTTCTGCTGAATTCTGCTGTCATTCCTTCCTTCTGCTATGTGTCATTATGGAAGCTGTAGGACATGAAGCCGGAAATCCCAGAATCTGAGGTATCTATAGTTGGGTTCAGATACTGTTTCTGTAAATTACTTGTGTGCCCTCAGGTGTGCTATTTAACATCTCTGGTCGTTGGTTTTATGCATCTGTAAAACGAGTTTTAAAACAGTATTTTCCTCAGGTAACTGTGATAATGCTAAAATGCGTTAACATTAGAAGGGGCTCTACAAAAAAAAAAAAAAAAAAGAAGGGATGTTGGGAGCAGAGTCTCTGCCATTTACTTTTACATTTCCTATGGCACTGAGCACAAGCTAACTAGGTAAATAGCAGAAGTTTCCTAACAGGTGGGATTCTTTTCATTGCTAGTTCTGTGAAGTAGAAAAAGAATGCTGTATTAACCAAGAGTGACAAAGGGTCTTAATTCAGTTTCTCTCTCCTGGTGTGTTACCAATGAGATACATTATTGAGAAAAAGAAAAAAAGAAAGAAAAATAATTCCAATGGTGTGGATTTTCTAGGCCAGGCATTTCTCTGATGCACTGATATTGGGTGTTTCATTTTGTTTCAAGTTGGAATGAAATAATGACTTTATGCTCTCTCAGAATTGCTCCTGTAGGACCCTTTGGCAGAGTTATTTGTTTTTCCCCATCTGGCTGCCCACAGGGGTCAGACACTTCTCTCCTTTTAAACCTGGGGGCGTAGGGGGTGGGAAGGAGACAGTAGGGGTCACTGTGGTCCTCAGGCGTGGAGAGAGGTGTTGCCTGAGCAGAGCGAGACAGAAGGAAGACAGCTTTATCTCAAGGCTACTTGCACGTAGGCATCCTTAAAGCACCTTAGGCTCATGGTCTGTAAGACAGAGGGTCAAAATATCTTACTGCATGTTCTCATATGTGGGCACTTAAAAAATTGATCACATAGAGGTAGAGGAGTAGAATGATAGATACCAGAGACTGGAAAGGGGGTGTGCTGGTGGGAGGGCTGGGGAATGAAGAGAGCTTGGTTAATGGGTAAAATCATACAGTTAGATAGATGTGGGGGTCTGTCCTGCAGACCCTGACCCAGCGACGGATGAATAAAGTACACTGACACACAGATATTCTGCTTTGCCAGTTTGGCTGAGCGTCTGGGCCACTTAGTCGCAGCCGTGGCCTTGATCAGTCAGTGATACTTAAATTTATTCAGTAAAGATTAATTGACAAAGGTTGTGAGTAAACACCACTAGAGCGTAATTGACATTGCTGACTTCCCGAGTAGAAAGCAATTAAGCACCCACCGTAGATGAAAGGTTAGTCTTAGGACCACATGAGTAAACAAGCTAGTTAGGTAAACTACCTTGCTTTGTACCCACTTTAGGCTATTTACTCAAAATAAGGATTAGGTTGCCTTCAGCCATAACCTTATCCTGAGACTTTTGCAAAAATCTTCAGGCCTTCCAAGAAGGTTTGTGGCTTATCATTTTCCCCACCATCCTGAATAGATAGAAGGAATAAGTTCTAATGTTTCTTAGCAGAGTAGGTTGACTACAGTAAACAATATATTGGATCTTTGAAAATAGCTAGAAAAGATAACTTTTTGGGGAAGGTTATATATACAAATTTACTTTTTAAGTGTTATTATAATTTACTGGATTAATTTGGATTTTTTTATTTTAGATTCAGGAAGTGCATGTGCAGGTTTGTTTCCTGGTTACATTTTCTGATGCTGAGGTTTGGGTCATGAATGATCCCACCACCCAGGTAGTGAATGTGGTAACTAAGAGGTTTTTAACCCTTTCTTCCCTTCCTCCCTCCCACCTCCAGTAGTCCCCAGTGTCTGTTGTTCTCATTTTTATGTCCCTGAGTACCCAATGTTTAGCTCGTACTTATAAGTGAGAACATGGGATATTTGGTTTTCTGTTCTGCATTAGTTTGCGTAGGATAATAGCCTCCAGCTGCGTCCATGATGCTGAAAAGGGCATGATTTCATCCTTTTTTATGGCTGAGTAGAATTCCATGGTGTATATTCCCCTCTGTGAAACATGGTTGCTTTCTGTTTCCCTGTCTGAATATTTTCTTTATCCAGTCCACTGTTGATGGACACCTGGGTCGATTCCATGTCTTTGCTATCGTGAATAGTGTTGCCGTTAACAGGAGAGTACATGTGTCTTTTTGATAGAACAATTTGTTTTCTTTGGGATATATAGTCAGGAATGAGATTGCTGGATGGAATGGTAGTTCTGTTTTCAGTTCTTTGAGAAATCTGTAAATTGCTTTCCACAGTGACTGAACTAATTTACATTCCCACCAACAGTGTGTAAATGTTGCCTTTTCTCTGCAGCCTCGCCAGCATCTGTTGGTTTTTGACTTTTTATTTATTATTTATTTTTGTTTTGAGACAGAGTCTCATTCTGTCATCCAGGCTGGAGTGCAGTGGCATGATCTCAGCTCACTGCAACCTCTGCCTCCTGGGCTCAAGCTGTTCTCCTACCACAGCCTCCCAGGAATCTGTGATTACAGGTGCCCACCACCACGTCCAGCTAATTTTTGTATTTTTAGTAGAGACAAGGTTTCACCATATTGGCCAGACTGGTCTTGAACTCCTGACCTCAGATGATCCGGCTGCCTCGGCCTCCCGAAATGCTGGGATTACAGGCGTGAGCCACCGTGCCTGGCCTGACTTTTTAATAATAGCCATTCTGACTAGTGTGAGATCGTATCTCACTGTGGTTTTGATTTGCATTTATCTGATGATTAGTGATGTGGAGCATTTTTTCATAGGTTTGTTTGCCACTTGTATACCTAGAAGAGAGGACTTGAAATGTACTCATTGTATAGAAATGATAAACACTTGGGTGTTGGATACCCTGAACACCATGACTTGACTATTACACATTCTATGCATGTAACAAAACCTCACATGGACCCCATAAATATGTAGAAATGCAATGTAGCAAAAACATTTTTTTTTTTTTGAGACGGACTCTCGCTCTGTCACCCAGGCTGGAGTGCAGTGGTGCGATCTTGGCTCACTGCAAACTCTGCCTCCCGGGTTCATGCCATTCTTCTGCCTCAGCCTCCTGAGCAACTGGGACTATAGGCGCCCGCCACCACGCCCGGCTAAATTTTTTTTTTTTTGTATGTTTAGTAGAGACGGGTTTCACTGTGTTAGCCAGGATGGTCTCAATCTCCTGACCTCGTGATCCACCCACCTTGGCCTCCCAAAGTGCTGGGATTACAGGCGTGAGCCACCGCACCCAGCCACAAAATCAGTCTTAAAAGAATGTAAATGAAACGTCTATTTCCTAAGCAAGTAAGGTGCTTGGATTATTTTAAAATTATACATTAGTTATATGACCTTGAACAAAAACTTAACTTCTGTTAGATTAATTTTCCCCATCTGCAAAACTAGGACTTGAATTAAGTGATTTCCAAAAGTCTCATAAGATTGAAAATGCTGGAATTACATCAATTGCATACAATTCAGCTAATTTTTAATAACTGCTTCGCATGTATACAGTGCCCTGTGCACTGAAAAATAAAAAGTTAACATCACACACATACGTGAAATCTTACTGCATCTGTGAGTCTGTCTAGCTTGGCCAGGACAAGATGTAGAGTGTGTGGCCATTGCACCACATTGATGCGAACCCTGAGAGTGCCATTCCTGGCTCAGCTGCTCCCTTCACACTCACAATGTCAAGACCCCTGTTTCCCTGTCTGGAAGCAAGAGCATGGCATCCCCATTCACTCATCTACTAAGCAGGTATTTGCAGATGGCCTGCTGTGCCACAGGCTTTGTGCTGAGTATTGGGGATACAATGATAAACAAGACAGGCATGGAGTCTGGCCATCAGGAGTAGAAAGGAGAGTGAAAAAAGTGAAAAGAGATGGTGATTACAGAAGTCTGAATCTTCACTTCCTCCCTCAGGAGTTCTTAGCAGGAATGCGGGCGGTGAGGGGATCTATCTCACCTGGCCAGCTCCAGAGTGGATGTTGCTCTTCTGCCCCCGGACTGACCCTTGTCCTCCTTTCTATGTCTCCCCTTCGTTTACCTTGCTTCTTCTTAGTGTCCTGGTGATTAGCTGATGCTCTGAAGGAAAGAGTCTGAGAAAGAGAGAACAGCCTCCACTGATGGGAGCCAGGATGGCAGGGATGGTGGCCGTGGGAATTAATGTAGCCATCGAGAGGGAGATGGGGACAGGGAAAGAGGAGGAGAGACTTGGAGAGGAGGTACAGGAAGCATAGTGAGAAGGGAGGAGGGTGAGACTGCAGCCACCCATGTCAATGGGACAGTTTGCAAAGAGAGAGAGAGAGAAGAGAGCCAAGCCGGGTGGAATTAGAGGTGGAGGGGCTTCAGGGAGCTCCAAGAGGGATAGGACTAGAGAGGTGAGGACGAGAAGAATATGCTAATGTTGAGCCATGGGCAATGACCTGAGAAGGGGAAAGCAAAAGTGTTTCACAGAGAGGAACATGAGTAGCCAAGAAGAGTGTGCAGCAGGGAGAACCATTAACTTTGATGGGGACCTTAGCATCAAGTCCACCAAAGTTTTCAGATTGTGAGGTTGTTGTTAGGTAAAGTGGATATGCTTTGTCTCTGGATGGAATGTGAGAGTGAAGTAAATAATAGGTCTAGGATGATTCCAGGTAACTGAGTCAGTATCCCCACAGCCTGTCCACCCAACAGCTTTCTGTAGTATTAAACATTCAATAGAACTTCATCAGTCACTTCAGAAGAGGGGGAAAAAAGAGTTGGGAATTATAATACCCATTTAAGAATTCTGATGTTATCTTCTAGAATTTTTATAGTTTCAGGTCTTAGATTTAAGTCCTTGATCCATCTTTAGTTAATTTTTGTATAAGATGAGAGATGAGGATCCAGTTTCATTCTCCTACATGTGGCTAGTCAATTATCCCAGCACCATTTGTGGAATAGGGTGTCATTTCCCTGCTTTATGTTTTTGTTTGCTTTGTTGACGGTCAATTGGATGTAAGTATTTAGCTTTATTTCTAGGTTCTCTATTCTGTTCCATTAGTCTATGTGCCTATTTTTATATCAGTACCATGCTGTTTTGGTAACTATGGCTTCATAGTATAGTTTGAAGTCAGGTAATGTGATGCCGCCAGATTGGTTCTTTGAAGTCAGGTAATGTGATGCCTCCAGATTTGTTCTTTTTGCTTGGTCTTGCTTTGGCTACTTGGGCTCTTTTTTGGTTCCATAGGAATTTTGGGATTCATTTTCTAGTTCTGTGAAGAATGAGGGTGGTATTTTGATGGGATTTGCATTGAATTTGTAGATTGCTTTAGACAGTATGGTCATTTTCACAATATTGAGTCTACCCATCCATGAGCATGGGATGTGTTTCCATTTGTTTGTATTGTCTGTGATTTGTTTCAGCAGTGTTTTGTAGTTTTCCTTGTAGAGGTCTTTCACCTCCTTGGAAAAACCCTGCTAGACGTTGGCTTAGGCAAAGACTTCATGACCAAGAACCCAAAAGCAAATGCAACAAAAACAATGATAAATAGGTGGGACTTAATTAAGCTAAAAACTTTCTGCACAGAAAAAAAAATCAGCAGAGTAAACAGACAACCCACAGAGTGGGAGAAAATCTTCACAATCTATACATCTGACAAAGGACTAATATCCAGAATCTACAAGGAAATCAAACAAATTAGCAAGAAAAGAAACAATCTCATCAAAAAATGGGCTAAGGACATGAATAGACAATTCTCAAAAGAATATATACAAATGGCCAGTGAACGTATGAAAAATGCCAACATCACTAATGATTAGGGAAATACAAATCAAAACCATGATGCTATACCACCTTACTCATGCAAGAATGGCCATAATCAAAAAAATAATAAAATGACAGATGTCGGTGGGGATATGGTAAAAAGGGAACACTTCTACACTGCTGGTGGGAACGTAAACCAGTACAACCACTGCAGAAAACAGAGTGGAGATTTCTTAAAGAACTAAAAGTAGAACTACCTTTTGATCCAGCAGTCCCACTACTGGGCATCTACCCACAGGGAAGGAAGTCATTATACAAAAAAGATACTTGCACATGCATGTTTATAGCAGCACAGTTAGCAATTGCAAAACTGTGGAACCATCCCAAATGCCCATCAATCAGTGAGTGGATAAAGAAATTGTGATATATATACACCACAGAATACTATTCAGCTGTAAAAAGGAACAAAATAACGGCATTCACAGCAACCTAGGTGAAATTGGAGACCATTATTCTATGTGAAGTAACTCAGGAATGCAAAACCAAACATCGTATTTCTCACTCGTAAGTGGGAGCTAATCTATAAGGATGCAAAGGCATAAGAATGACACAATGGACTTTGGGGACTTGAGGGAAAGGGTGGAAGGGGGATGAAGTATAAAAGACTGCAAATTGGGTACAGTGTGTACTGCTTGGGTGATGGGTGCACCAAAATCTCACAAATCACCACTGAAGAACTTACTCATTTCACCGAATACCACCCATTCCCTGAAAATCTATGGGAATAAAGAGGAAATTAAAAAAAGAATTCTACCTGTTTTTCATTCAACTAGAAGAAATTGAGGTTTATAACAGTAAATGAGAAGCTGAAAAGTTAATGTTAAATGCAGTTAACCAGACCCCCTATTTTCATAATATTTCACAGCTTGAATATATTTGCTCTTTGAAATGTTCTCTGCTTGTTCTCAATAATAGTTTCAACTCTGAAGAACTAGGGGATTTCATCCCAAAATCTGAAAAACAGGACTTTTTAAGAAATAAAAAACATTTCAAAACTATGGCTTGCAAACCTATTTGTAATATTAGATATTATGTAATAAAATTCCAACTTCTGCAATGAAAATGATGCAGAACACTCAGTAGTGAAATAGATGCATATTTAGACCTGTTTGATTCAATAGCATTTCAGTAAAGACTTTCTATGGGAAGAATATCTCCTCAAGTTTTACTCTATAAGTGGTCTCCACTTCATTACAAACCTTTAAAATTACATCAGTTCTTGTACTATTAAAACAAAATATGAAAAATAAGTTATTTTATGAACAGCATCTTAAACTAATCCATTTAAACTAAACGTGACCTGTTTGCAACTAAGGTGGCAAAATAGGATTTTACAGATTTATCTGTGAAAGAGTGGAACAGATTTAAATAAACACTTAACTCCATAACTCTAAAAGTAACTAGAAAGTGACAGAAACATAACGACACTAAGAAGGGGGATGAAAAGAGCTTTGCTCATTCTAATGACACAGTAAGCTCAAAAACAAACTACGTGGGACAGTGAAACTACTCTGTGTGATACTACAGTTGTGGATGCATGTCAGTATGCATTTGTGCAAACCCAGAGAACTTACACCAAGAGTGAACTCTAACATGTACTGCAACTTTGGGTGATAATGATGTGTTAATGTGCGATCATCCATTGTAACACATGGACCACTCTGGTGGCTGATGTTGATATGGGGGAGGCTGATGTATGTGTCAGGGTGGAGCGTATATGGGAAATCTCAGTACCTTCCTCTCAATTTTGCAGTAAACTTAAAACTACTCTAAACATAACACAAAATCTACTAAAAAAGAATAGCAAATGAAAGATGAAGAGAGAAGGGAAAAGAAAAGAAAAGAAAGAAAAAAGAGAAAAGAAAAGGAATTAGGATTCTCTGATAAAATATTACTGTGTATTCCAGAGTCAGCTAATGGATAGTTTTCAGATTGAATTTTTTCTACAGTGAGTTTTTTCTTATGGTGCTCAGTGTTTAAACTTACATTTAATTGGTTACCCCAAAGAAATACTGTGTGGTGCTCTAATGGTGGATACGTGTCAGTATATATTTGTGCAAACTCTTACGACTTCCACATGAACATCTCTATTTCAGTCCTCACCCCTGCCCCTTGGCCCACGTTCTTATGGGGCAAGATCAGTGGGAGCAGAGTCTCAACCTTCCTCCCCTGCAGGGGCTCCCAGTTCTCCACAGGCCTAAATAGTTTTCCTGATTCTTCACTGTATTAGTCTGTTCTCATGTTGCTAGTAAAGACCTGCCCAAGACTGGGTAATTATAAAGGAAAGAGGTTTAATGGACTCACAGTCCCACATAGCTGGGGAGGCCTCACAATCATGGCAGAAGGCCAAGGAGGAGCAGTCACATCTTACATGGTTGCGGGCAAGAGAGAGCTTGTACAGGGGAACTCCCATTTATAAAACCATCAGATCTCAAGAGACTTAGTCATTATCAGGAGAATGGCATGGGAAAACCCACTCCCATGATTCAGTTACCTCCCACTGGGTCCCTCCCATGACACGTGGGGATTATGGGATCTACAATTCAAGCTGAGATTTGGGTGGGGACACAAAGCCTAACCATATCATTCACCTTGCTCACTTCATCAGGCATTGGAGTGGCCCCTCTTAAACGGATTTTAAGTTACTTGTGCTAGTGTTGGCTTTGCCCAGTTGCTGCAGAATTTGCTTGCAAAGAAAATGAAAGCTTGGTTGAATTTACAACAAAAAAAAATCTACAGTGTGTACTTTAATACCTGCTAAAATAGAGTGGTAACAGAGTCAGAGGAGAAGAACACTATCAAGTTACAAGTGGAATAAGAGCCACAGGATATTTCCCTGCAGGGAAAGCCAATGATCCTACGGCACGATGGAGGACCGGAGCCTGGCCGTGGTGTTGGAGGGATAGAAATTACTAAACCATCAGGAAAGATGCATTTTCTAAAAGGACTAGGACTTTTTTTTTTTTTTTTTTTTTTTTTTTTTTTTTTTACCACCAGGAGTCTTTTGAGAAATGGTCTCACCCCTAAAGGGACTGATATTTACACAAAGGGCTATTTTAAAACATAAATATAAAATCATCAGGCTGATGGGCCAGTTTATTCAGCAGAGTTTATCCTATGTAGGAGATATTTGTTAGACTTTGTGGCCACACAATTTGTTTTTGCATTTTTTTATTGAGTGAAATTTACATAACATAAAATTAATCATTTAAAGCATACAATTTAGTGGCATGAAGGACATTTACAGTGTTATGCAATCATCACCTCTATCTAGTTGTAGAGTATTTTTATTATCCCCAAGGGAAACGTCCTGCCCTTTTAGAAGTCACTATTTCCTCTCATGTCCTGACAATCACTAATTTACTTTCTATGTATTTGCCTAATGTCAGCTTTTCATATAAACAATATCATACAATAGATGGCCTTTTGTGATGGCTTCTTTTACTGAGCAGTGTTTTCAAGGTTCGTCCCCATTGTGAAATGTAGCATGCTTCATTCCTTTTTGTGGCTAAATAATATTCCTTTTTATGGATATGCCACTTTTCTGTACCCACTCACCCATTGACGGATATTTGTGCTTTTTCCTTTTTTAAAAAATTGTGAATCATGCTGCTATGCACA
Organism: Homo sapiens; assembly: GCF_000001405.40. Classification (NCBI taxonomy): domain Eukaryota; kingdom Metazoa; phylum Chordata; class Mammalia; order Primates; family Hominidae; genus Homo; species Homo sapiens. The sequence continues at coordinate 127,972,117 of NC_000012.12, read as the reverse complement.
TGCAAGTTCACTTCTTCTTGAACATCTGTTTTTATTTTTGGGGTGTGTACCTAGGAGTAAAATTGATGGGTCATATGATAATTCTGTGTTTAACATCCAATATATGTTAATGAGGTTGTTAAGTTTGGAAAATTTCCTACTTCATGGACACTTTTGTTCTTCAAGGTATTGTCAGAAAAATATTCCAGATTTTACTCTTAAGACAACCCATGGAAGTCATTGATAGGGAAGATGGTGATATGAAGTGGGATGTGCTAATTAGAATCCATTTGGCAGGGGTGGGGGTGAGAGATCCTTGACTTTCAGGGGCTGCAGCAGCAGCAGATGTACTTGGATGAGCGTCCTGTGCTCTACGGTGGCAGTAGGAACTACCATACCAGTGCTAATGATGGCAATAGGAGTGTCTGCCTTGCAACAGCTTGGATGTAATTTGGGCATTTTCCAGCTGTGGATCTCTGCCCCTGTTTCCTTAGCCTTTTGTAGGGTCTATAGTGAATTCATTTGTTTTTAAACACATTATCATTTAGTGCCAAACACATGATGCCAGGCACTATTCTAGATAAAATAGCCTATGATAGTGAATGCACAAATCAATACCTACCGCCTTGTAAGTTGCATTCTAGTGTGTGTGGCAGAGGCAGACAATAAACAAAAACACATATGAAATATCTAGTACATCATTTTTATTCCTGAGTAGTTGCCATCTACTCGTGATCTCATGAGATCTCGTGAGACTTATTCACTATCATGAGAACAGCATGGGAAAGGCCTGCCCCCATGGGGGGCAATTACCTGCAGTGGGAGGTAATTGAATAAATAAATAAATAAACTGAATAAATAAATAAAATGAATAAATAAATAAATAAATTGAATGAATAAATAAATGCATGAACTTTTTTTTAAACATTTACCAGTTGAAGAGCATTTGGTTTGTTTCCAGTTTGGGGTGGTTATAAAGAAATATCCACACAACCATTCATGTACAGGTTTTTGCGTGAACATAAGTTTTTATTGCATTTGAATAAATACTAAAAAGTGGAATTGCTTGTTCACGTGGTAAGTGCATGTTTAACATTGTAAGAAATTTTGGGACATTTTTCTAAAGTGGCTCTTTCAATTGCTGTTCCCACAGGCGTTGTATAAGTGTTCTAGCTGCTCTGTTTCTTCTATTCTTGGTAATGTGAGTTGTCTTAATGTGGTATTTCATTGTAGTTTTAATCAGCATTTCAATAATGGCTAGTTATGTTGAACACATTTTCCTGTGTTTACTATACATCAAAGGAATGAATGACGAATAACATATAAAAACATACATATATCTGAAATTCATTATAATAAGTAAAAGCAGGCTCTGCACCATGTGTTTTCATTTCTATGGCCTTCTGGAGGGGGCATAATTATAGGAGAGAAGATTTGACCCCTGCGTAAGGCCTGGGGCTCTGGAGAGTGAATGACTCCCCCAGATGCAGCAGACAAAGAAGTGTGCAGTATTTCTTAGGGTAATGTGATGATTCTGTGTTTTGAGTGTAGCGGTAATTACATAACTATGTGCATCTGTCAAAACTCAGAAATGCACGCTAAAAAGGATAGATTTTATTGCATATACATTATACCTCAATAAAAAAGATATTTTTTTTGAGTGGCTAAGGATAGAAATAGATAAAACATCACAAGCGTATAGTCTTATCAGGTGGTTAACATCCTTACTGACAGAGTGGCATTTGAGTCAGGGTGAGGATGTTGTCAAAGAGAAATTTAGGTATGTTGCTCCATTTAAAATAAATGTCTTATTTTTAAATGGGCTAAAGTATATGTGCTTCTACCCCAATCAAGAACTTCTACTAGCAACTGTCTCAATGAGAAAGGAGAAGTACAGACAACTTCCTGCCTTTGAAATGTCAGGTGTAAAGGAGAAAAAAAAAAACCTATGATGTGATAATACAGTGGAATGGATTTAATATTGAAATAAGCATATAATGGCAGACACAGATGAAATGGGCTCTTTTTTAATAACTCAACTTTCAATACATGTTATTAATGTGTTTTACAATATTTATCTCTTCCTTATAATAGTTAACATTTTAAATCCCATTTTACAGCAGGAAGCTGAGGTACAGAGAGTTCAAATAAATCACCCAAGACTAAACAGCTAATGTCAGAGCTGGAGTTATAACTAAGCTAGTCTGCCTACAAAACCCGTACTTTTAAGACCTAAATCTATTCCCTTTACATTTTGCCTGAAATTAAATATTCAAGTAGCCATCTTGAATCATACATTAAAATAAGATTGGTGATATGACTAAGATCATATACCTTAGCTACGTTAATGAAGTCAGAGTTGGTTGTTGTCTTCTGCTGGAATCCACATCATGTATGCATTTCCACCACCAAAGAAAGCCATAAGCTCTTCAGGGATTTTGCAACCAGTTATTCCGTGGTGAATTTTCTTATCAACATAAACATTTTCTCACCCGAGCAGCTGTTTATTGTGATATTTGGTGTTAAATCATGGACAACTTTTATAAATAAGAGCGAATTTAAAAAATAATAAAAGGTAGTTTATCTAAAATGAACCTCTATAAACCAACATTGCTGTATATTTTCATGTGCAACAGTGTAATTTAACTCATCAGTTGATTGATTGTCTACAGTGCCTCCCACTGTGCTGTATAAAGATGAAATATGATCATGTAGAATGTAGGAGTTGGTTGTGCTTCCTGGATTGGTGGGTTTCTTGTTTTCATTAAGTTGGAAGAGCATTTGGCCATTATTTCTTCAAATATTTACTTTTCCTCTCCTCATACTAAGCTGCTTTAAGTTGTTCCACACCTCACTAACCTTCTTTCCATTTTGGGTGGGTAGGGGGAGGGATTCTTTTTCTCTCAATGTTCCATTTTGGGTATTTTATGTTGTTATGCATGAAAATTCAGTTATATTTTCTTTTGCAATGTCTAATCACCATTAACCCCTTCCAGCATGTGTGTGTGTGTGTGTGTGTGTGTATATGTCTGTGTGTGTATGTATGTGCGTGCATGTGTGTGTGTGTGTGTGTGTATTTTATCTCAGTATCTCAGGCACTTGGAATTTCCATCTTGGAAAGTCCAATTTGTCTTTTTAAATATCTTTCATGTCTCTGTTTAACTTTTGAACATATAGGTTTATAATATCTGTTTTAATGCTCTTCTTTGCTAATCCTAACTCTGTGTCAGTTGAAGCCTGTGTTGACTGATTATTTTCCTCATGATGAATGGTGAGTTTCTGTCATGTTTTCATGCCTAATAGTCTTTGTTTGAATGCCAGCTGTTAAACATTTTGCCTTGCTTGTGTGCTATTTTTATATTCTGGCACATTTTGAATATTGTTCTGGGATTCAATTAAGTTTTTTGGAAAAAATTTGATTCCTTTGGTTCTTGCCTTTATGGTTTTTCAGGTGGGACCAGAGCAATACTCAGTGATATGGTTTGGCTGTGTTCCCACTCAAATCTCATCTTGAATTCCCACGGGTTGTGGGGAGGGATGAGGTAGGAGGTAATTGAATCATGGAGGTGGGTCTTTCCCATGCTGTTCTCGTGATAGTGAATAAGTCTCATGAGATCTGACAGTATTATAAGGGGGAGTTTCCCTGCCCAATCTCTCTCTTTGCCTGCTGCCTCCATGTAAGACATGACTTGCTCCTCCTTGCCTTCTGCCATGATTGTGAGGCTTCCACAGCCACATGGAACTGTAAGTCCAATTAAACCTCTTTCATTTGTAAATTGCCCAGCCTCAGGTATGTCTTTATCAGCAGTGTGAAAACGGATTAATACAGTAAATTGGTACCGGGAGTGGGGCACTGCTGAAAAGATACCTGAAAATGTGGAAGCGACTTTAGAACTGGGCCTAAGAGGCAGAGGTTGGAACAATTTGGAGGGCTCAGAAGAAGACAGAAAAATATAGGAAAGTATGAAACTCCCTAGAGAATGGCTTTTACCTAAAGCCTGATAGAGATATGGACAATAAAGTCCAGGCTGAGGTGGTCTCAGATGAAGACAAGAAACTTGCTGGGAAGTGGAGCAAAGGTGACTCTGGTTATGTTTTAGCTAAGAGACTGGTGGCATTTTGCCCTCACCCTAGAGATTTATGGAACTTTGAACTTGAGAGAGATGATTTAGGGTTTCTGGCGGAAGAAATATCTAAGCAACAAAGCATTCAAGAGGTGAATTGGGTGCTGTTAAAGGCATTCAGTTTTATAAGGGAAGCAGAGCATAAAATTTGGAATATTTGCAGACTGACAATGTGATAGAAAAGAAAACCCCCCCATTTTCGGAGGAGAAATTAAAGGCGGCTGCAGAAATTTGCATTAATAACGAGGAGCCAAATAATAATCCCCAAGACAATGGCGAAAATGTCTCCAGGGCATGTCAGAGGTCTTCACAGCAGCCCCTCCCATCACAGGCCCAGAGGCCTAGGAGAAAATGGTTTTGTGGGCCCAGGTCCTCATGCAGTGTGAAGCATAGGGACTTGGTGTCCTGCATTCCAGCCGCTCCAGCTGTGGCTGACAGGGGCTAATGTAGAGCTTGAGCTGTGGCTTCAGAGGGTGCAAGCCCCAAGCATTGGCAGCTTCCACATGGAGTTGAGCCTGTGAGTGCACAGAAGTCAAGAAATGGGGTTTGGGAACCTCTGCCTAGATTTCAGAGGATGTATGGAAATGCCTGAATGTACAGGAAGAAGTTTGCTGTAGGGGCGGGGCACTCATGGAGAACCTCTGCTAGGACAGTGCAGAAGGGAAATGTGGGGTCAGAGTCCCCACACAGATTCTCTACTGGGACATTGCCTAGTGGAGTTGTGAGAAGAGGACCACCATCCTCCAGGCCCCAGAATGGTAGATCCACCAACAACCTGCACTGTTTGCCTGGAAAAGCTGCAGACACTCAACGCCAGCCCATGAAAGCAGCCAGGAGGGAAGCTATACCCTGCCAAGCCACAGGGGCAGAACTTCCTGACTATGGGAACCTACCTCTTGCGTCAGCGTGACCTGGATGTGAGATAGGGAGTCAAAGGTCATTTTTGAGCCTTAAGATTTGACTGCCCCACTGGATTTTAGACCTGCATGGGGCTGTAGCCCCTTTGTTTTGGCCATTTGGAATGGCTATGTTTATCCAATGCCTGTACCCCCATTGTGTCTAAAAAGTAACTAATTTGCTTTTGATTTTACAGGCTCATAGGCAGAAGGGACTTACCTTATCTCAGATGAAACTTTGGACTGTGGACTTTTGAGTTAATGCTGAAATGAGTTAAGACCTGGGGCACTGTTGGGAAGCCATGATTGTTTGAAATGTGAGGGCATGAGATTTGGGAGGGGCTGGGGCAGAATGATATGATTTGGCTGTGTCCCCACCCAAATCTCATCTTGAATTCTCATGTGTTGTGGGAGGGACCTGGTGGGAGGTAACTGAACCATGGAGGCAGGTCTTTCCCATGCTGTTCTGATGACAGTGAATAAGTCTCATGAGATCTGACAGTATTGTAAGGGGTAGTATCCCTGCCCAATCTCTCTCTTTGCCTGCTGCCATCCATGTAAGATGTGACTTGCTCCTCCTGCCTTTCGCCATGTTTGTGAGGCTTCCCCAGCCAAGTGGAACTGTAAATGCCCAGTAAATTGCCCAGTCTTGGGTATATCTTTATCAGCAGCATGGAAATGGACTAATACACTCAGTCTAGAGCTAATTCTTTCCTACTATGGAGGGAAGACCTTCTGGAGCACTCTACTCAATGCCCCATGGATTATGAAGTTTTCTGGTCTGAGTGTTGGGAACAGGTACTATTTTCACCTTTGAGTGAACACCAGGCACTGCTCCCCATCATCCTTTTGAATGGTTCTTTCTCCAGGTACAGGAAGGTTCTCCACACACGTGCAGACCAGCAATCCACTCAACATTCCAGGAGGCCCTTTCCAGATCTTCAGGGTCCTCTCCTTGCTTTGTACCCTTTCCCATCAGCTCCAGATTCCTCATGCTTCCTCAGCCACCAGCTCTGTCTCTTCAGCTCAGAGACTCTTCCAGATTCTACTTCAGTTTCCCCTCACATGCTGCAAACTGGGGACACTCTAAGGGAAGCAAGCTGGGGCAACTGCAGGGCTCATATGTTTGTTTCCATATCTCAGGGATCATTGTTTATTACCTGATGCCCAGTGTCTTTCCAGCTGTTGTTTCATAATTTTTAAATGGTAGATCCCTCTTAGTTCATCTTGGCCAGAAGCAGAACGTCTTCATTTATTTTTAAATGGTGCTGAAATGGCAAATACTCACTGAGACTAGCAGTTCTTCTTATGCATGTTTCTTTCTTATCGTACTTTATTACCTTTTGGTAGCTAACTCATATTTGCCATCATTTATTCAACCTTGTCTTCTAATTATGACGTGCTGATTTTAATGAATATATGCATTCAGTATTAACCCCATGTGTTTTTATTTTTATTTTTTTCAATCAGACACTCAAACATTTATTAAATATCTGCTCCAGGACAGCCACTGTGCTAATGATAAAACTTTTTTAGTGGATAAAATGTTGTATAATACAGCACTCTTTCCTTCCTGGATCATGCAATGTATTTGCGAAATAATTAAGTATAAAATGAGCGTAGGAAGTAGAGAAGATAAAGGAACATTTTTAAAAACACCCTCATTTATTAAAATCAATATTTGAGATAGTGTCTAAACTTACCTGAAATAAAATTCAATCTGTACAAAAATTAAGAATTTTAATTCTCTATCTCAAGATCCTAGAAGCATCTCTAATTTCACAATTCAAGGCCTATGGAAGACAATTTGGATTGAGCACACCAGAATTTATTTTTTCTTTCCTCTTGTCTTCTATTACAGAGGTTGAAAAGCCAAAAACATAAACAACATAAACAAAAACAAAATGCTTCACAGGTTTTCTTGTAACTGTGAGTCACCATATGATTCACTTTGAGCCAATGACCCCCAATGACAGCAAAGTGGAAATACTTAGAACAGATATCTGTGCTCTCTGTCCCCTGCAAAACAACAACAACAACAAAACCCAAAAACCTTTTTGAGTAAAGTGGTTTTTTTTTGTTTTTAAATATACCACCCTTTTTCTTTCTTCGGATGTAGCTGTGATGCCTGGAGAGAGGTGCCATTTTGTGGCCATGAGGGCAAAACATCACATGCTGATATTGATTGAGGCTAAAGAGAGCTGAATACTGGCCTCTTGATGGCGACATTGAGCCACATCAACAGCCAGAAACTGCTTCATCTGATGAGAAGACATAACTCCTCCACATACTTATGTCGCTGATGTAGAGATTGATGTTATTTTCAACCAAACACAATACCTCATACTATTATGTATTCACTTACAAACTATTTTCTTTGTCTTAACTCTCAGTAAAGCAACTCTTAAAACTCACACCTTTTTTTTTCCCTACATACTTTTCACATCTTTAAGGAAAGGATTCTACTTCCTACTGGTAAAAATAGAGGCAGTGGGGTATAATGGGACAACAATAGGTTTTAGAGTCTGATAAATGCAGGTGACTCCTGGATCAGTGACTTTTAGTTGAAGCAGAGCTTATTCTCTGGTTTCCTTGGAGCATCTGTCAACCTCGTGTAGGTTACTTCATTTCTCTTCTGATTTCTGTCTCTGAAATCACATTCGTTATGGAAATCAAGAATAATTAAAAAGCCTAGTTCACAAAACATGCAATTGTGGTCTTCTAGTCCTCAGAAATCACGTAAGAGAATCTTCATACCATGTGATTCTCTTACATGATTCTGCTTAGGTGAGATGAGCATAAAGGTGAAGGAAACACATTTCCAGACAGACTCTGTGTCTATCGTCCATTGCTGGGGCTCTTTGTTCTTGTTCTTGGAGCATTTACTGGAAATTAGAGGAAGGAAGATTCTTAGGTGGAAGCCAGTAACACTCTACAGCTGCATGTGAAACTCTGGTATGTGGATACTGGTCTCAGAGATGGTCTATGATTAAGAAGTTAAGAAAACAACCATGCAAATTTCACTCATCTGAGCCCCAGCAAAATTATGGCTTTGCAAAATAGCATTAAACTGTCATAGCCCAATCGTCCCCATGATTATGTAAAATACTTGAGCTATGTTTGTCCAAACCAGTAAGATAAACTTCTTATGTAAAAAATGTATTGATTAATGAAATATGAGCATTTTTAATTCAGCTGTCTTTGCCCATCTACATCCCAGTAACTTTTATTTCTCTTATTCATACAAAGCTTTTTGAAATTTTAGTTTTTCAAATATAGTTATGATTTAGTGCAGTCATAGACAGTTATTGAAGAGAGGTGCTGTTCATGATTTTTCCAGTTATGATTTTCAAAAGGCGTTTCATTAAAATGCGTTTTGCACCAGGGTTCACCCAGTGACTTGAATCTTTGACAACAGAATAATGTGCCACTTGCTCATAGCATAGTTTTTGGGCTTTTTTGTTTTTTGTTTGTTTGTTTGTTTTGAGACGGAGTCTCGCTTTGTCGCCCAGGCTGGAGTGCAGTGGCGCGATCTCAGCTCACTGCAAGCTCCGCCTCCCGGGTTCACGCCATTCTCCTGCCTCAGCCTCCCTAGTAGCTGGGACTACAGGCACCCGCTACTACGCCCGGCTAATTTTTTGTATTTTTGGTAGAGACGGGGTTTCACCATGTTGGCCAGGATGGTCTCGATCTCTTGAACTCGTGATCGACCCGCCTCGGCCTCCGTAAGTGCTGGGATTACAGGCGTGAGCCACCGCGCCCGGCCAGCATAGTTTTTTAAACTCCTTGTACATAGTATCAATGACTGTTTCTGGAAAACATCATGGTTTTCCCAGGAGTGAGAACTGGAGATCAGGGTGGTATAAATGCAGAAGCAACTTCAGCACAGAAAGTGCACATAGTTCTTTTTAAGAGCTCTTTAAACCTTCTGATTTATACTGAGAAAAATAATGAAACCCTCGGCATCCCAGCAATGGCTTGGGTAAAAGAAAATGGCTCCTGAAGAACTCTTTTTTGAGGTCTTTTGTTGAAACTTCAGTCATTTGGCCTGATGCAATGCACCGAAACAGCCATCTTCACCAGCTTCTCCTCGTGAACATGGCTGGAGGAAGTACTGGGAAGCCCCTGGGTAGAGGGCACTGTGAGTTATGAAACAAACATTGTTTACAATGAATAAAAGTCCTTGTGGAGGCTGGTGGTTTATCTGTGGCATCTTACAATGTACACCGCATACACTTAAATGGAGTGAGGGAACCGTAACGTAACATTCAATTTCCCTCTAGTTAAAAAATCACTTGCAATAAATTCTTTCTATAGGCTGTCTCTGACTTTATATTCCCAGTACAACATTTTATGCAAAAAGCTCAGCAAAGAGGTTGCGCTCTTGAGCACTCTTTTGCATGGTTCACATTTGAAGTTTTCTCCGAAGTATTATTACATCCCTGTAACTAGCAGCCCCTGGTGAGTAGAAAGTGACGATGGGAACTGCAAGATGCAGGATGGTATTGTCTTCTCTGTGTAAAGAGAATCGTGGAGAAAACACACACTTGTATTGCTTTTTGGAAATGAGTGGGCTGGGTTTGCAAGGGACTTATCTGTGAGCTACAGGGGGAAAGTCACAACAGTTGAGTTGTGTTGCTTCCTGCCTTGTAAGTGAAGTCAGATAACTTCTGCAATATTGGAGTTACAGAACAAACTCAGGGAGGTCACAGGCTGCCAGTTAATGATCACAATGTTGAAGGTTAAGCCAGTTTCTCACGGAGCATGCATTATTTCGTAAGGGATCAAATGTATTTTTTAATAGAAGGCATCCTCACAAACACGGTGAGCATTCATAGTCTCAATATTATAAGGCAGTGATCCTGCAGCTATTACAACAAACCTTTTCATATCCAGGAAACCTCTTTGCCCTTCTCCATAAATGATATACATTAACCTCAATTTTATGATGTATATGTATGATACATACATCAGGTCAAGATTCAACTTAAGTGTCACGATAGCTGGTATATAAATATAAATATTCACTAGCATACTCCTTATCTCTGTACCATGATGGGAAGTATTCTCCATGCCAAGCACTTGAGTCCACAGGTCCCTTAATAAAACGATTAACTGAAACTTCTTGCTGTTGGCTTCAGCGCTACTTTCTAGCCAACACCGAATTTAAGGAAATGGAGCAAGGCTTGTAATTTTCAGTTTTCCCAAAACTCTTTTAAAGTATCACCAAACAAGATTTTATAGATTTATCTCTCTGAAAATGTCACTTTCATTTTTGCATAATGCCTGAGATTTCTCCCCTCATTGAACAGATGCCTCTGTCTTCATATTAGAGCATTGAAAACATAGATGTGTATGTCACAAAAACCCTTGTCCCAACCAGTCTTCACCATGTGGCCCTGGTCAGTCATTAAACATCTTTAACACCTATTTTCCCATCAATAAAATTATAGTAATAACTACCCGGTAGGGTGAGAAGATTAAATAAGGAGACATATGAAAATTCTTAGCGGAAGGCCTGGTAATTGGTCGTGTTTAATATATGCGAGTTGTGTCTGGAAGTTTTTGTCTTATCCTCACATTCCACAGAAAACACTTGTTGGGGCAAGTGCAGTGGCACTCGCCTATAATACCAAGGTTTTGGGAGGCTGAGGCAAGAGGATTGCTTGAGGCCAGGAGTTCGAGACCAGCCTGGGCAACATAGGGAGATGCTGTCTCTACAAAAAATAAGAAAATAAAGAAAATTAGCTGGGTGTTGCAGCTGCACCTGAAATTCTAGCTATTTAGGGGCTGAGGCAGAATTGCCTGAGCCCCCAGCTGTCTGAGGCTGCAGTGAGCTTATCCTGCTGCTGCACTCCAGCCTAAGTGACAGGATGGCATCCTGTATTTTCAAATAAAGTAAAGAAAATACTTGACCAAGTTGAACAACCTGAATGACCTGAAGTACAGGTGCCTTGGCCTTCTCAGACACGTGGGTTGAATGTAAGACAGAAAGGGGCTGCTTTTTGACAACCAAAAATAGATTAAATGTGACTATTTAGATATAGATTTTTAAAAAACACTATTTCCTCTTTTATTGTGGCAAGAACACTTAAAATGAGATCTACCTTCTTAATAGATTTTAGGTGTAAAATATAGCATCATTATCTATAGGCACGACGCTGTGTATCAGAGCCTGGGATGGATTCTTCCCACAGAACTGAATTGGAACCTCAAAGAGATGCTAGCATCCCCGTGTTATTGCAACATTATTCCCAGTAGGCAAGATGTGGGAACAACCTGGATCCTGAATCCACAGATGAGTAGATAAAGTGCTTGTGTGCATGTGTGTGTGTGTGTGTGTGTGTGTGTGTGTGTGTGTGTGTGTATAAAACTTTCCAACTTTTAAAATGACAGACATGTTCAGGAAAATGGCCTTTCAGGGACACTCTTGAACCTGAGCATGGTAATGAGTTGGAGCATGAGTGGTGGTCACGTGACCACAGTTCACCGCCTGGACAGGTCTATGGCGTGGAGCAGTTTGAGGACAGCTGCCCCGAGAACCAACTCCAACACTAGCAGGAGGCAGATGATATCCTCAGTCAAACCTGGTCCCTTGTTATCAGTATGGTGAAGAGAACACAATCTCTGCTGTTAAAATGACCTCAATTCATACTTTGGCCTCACGACTCACTACATGTATGACTGACAAATGCATTCAGCTCTCAGCCTCTGATTCCTCATCTGTAAAATGATTTGACCCCACCCAATCCTTAGAGGTGCTTGTGTAGACTAAACTTAACTGTCACACATTGGAGCAAGAGTTTATCATTTTCTCTCACCCCTTGCTCCTTTAACTATCATCTCCCCTACCCCTGAGTGATCCTGTCTCTGCCTCAATTGGTCTCAAACATAGGGTAATGTTACCACCTCCTAGACTTGGGTCCTTAAAACCCAGTGACCTGCTTGTCCTCATCCCAGCTCTACTCTCCTGTCCCACCCTAGTCTATGGCCATTCCTGGCCCCTGCATGTGGCCTCTTTCCCACCCACTTCCCAGCAGCAAAGCCAAGGACAACACTGACAAATGCCAGGAACCTTAGACTCTTAAGTGTGAACAGACTTTAGTTTTTATTTTTTGTTTGTCTTCTAAGCAGATTCTCCAGAAGTAACAGCTGCCCATAGGACCACGATAAATCAGATATAAGTACAGATATTATCACTCGTTTAAATAGCTAGCTAATGAAACAATTTCTTAGGACATATATTTGACAAAAATTGACACAAAGTGTCACTCCATTACTAATTTGAATCCTCAATCACAGTAGTTTTATTCCTAAATTTATGCTTTATTTGGAATACTCCAGGAAAGATGAATTACTGTGACCTATCTTGCTAAGTGAAAATTATTGGCCAATGAAGATGGGTTTCTTAGAATTCTATTCTCTTTCTTGCATCAGGTAGGATTAGTTTGGCTTCCTATTAATAGACAGATTTAAAACAAAGAGTGGTTTAAATAAGATAAAAGTGTATTTGGTTCTAATATGGTAGAAGTCTGGATGGATGCTGCACAGGTCCGGTATGACAGCCTAAAGGACATCAGGGATCAGGCTGCTTCAGACATTCTCCCTCCCTAACACTAGGCAGAGCTCTGCCTTCCCTTGGTCCACAACAGTGGCTGGAAGTAACCATCACACCTGTTTCAGGTTAGCTAGAGGAGAAAGAAGAAAGAAGACAGAAAGGGGAGATGTCAAAGGCTTTTAAGAAAAGTTCCTTGCAGCTCTCATATTTGGTTCCCCTGAAATACATAGTTGGAATTCTTTTGGAGACACAGTGGGCAGATTTGCATGAGGACCAAGGAGCATCCAGGAGTGAAGAAATAAAAAATGTAATCCCTTTCCTTTGGAGTTCTTGGAGGAAGTCAGACACCATGAGGGATAGGACAATCTATAGAGAGGGTGTGGTAGGCAGAATAATAGTCCCTCAAACTTGCCTGGATCTAACTCTTCAGAAAATGAATATATTGTCTTACCTGTCAAAAGGAACTCTGCAGATGTGATTAAGGTTCAGAACCTTATGATAGGGAAATGATCCTGCTTATTTAGGTAAGTGCAATCTAATCACATGAGTTTTTTGTTTTGTTTTGTTTTTTCTTGACGGAGTCTTGCTCTGTCGCCCAGGCTGGAGTGCAATGGCACGATCTCCGCTCACTGCAACCTCCACTTCCCGGGTTCAAGCAGTTATCCTGTCTCAGCCTCCCAAGTAGCTGGGATTACAGACGCCCACCACCATGTCCAGCTAAGTTTTTGTATTTTTAGTAGAGACAGGGTTTCACTATGTTGGCTAGGCTGGTCTTGAACTCCTGACCTCGTGATCCGCCCGCCTCGGCCACCCAGTTTTTAAACTGAAGAACATTTTCAGCTGTGCATGGAGGGAACTGTGAGTGCAGAAGGCTAATGTGAGAGATGGTCACATAAGGTGGCCTCATGTTCCTTCTCCACTCCCGCTGCTTCACTTGACCAGCCTAAAAAAAAAAAAAAAAAAAAAGCAGTACTTATGTTAATGTACAGTTTCTGGCTTTAAAGATGGAGGAGGAGGGCCAGAGGCCAATGAATGTGGGTGACCTCTAGACGCTAGAAAAGGCAAGGAATTGGATTCTGCCCTAAAATCCACAAGTTAAACTGCATCCCTGCCAGCTCCTTGATTTTAGCCCAGTGAGACCTATGTTGGACTTCTAACCTACTGTGAGATAATAAGCGTGCAGTATTTTTAACTGCTACATTTTGGATAATTTGGTATAGTAGCAATAGAAAATTATTACAGGCACCGATGCCCATCAGAGATACAAGCTGTCGTATGGAGTTCGTGTTAGTGTCCTAGGGTCATCTCAGCAAAGTGCAACAAACAGAGTGGCTTAAAACAACATAAGGTCATTCTCTTATAGGTCTGGAGGCCAGAAGTCTGAAATCAAGGTATCAACAGGGCTGTGCACCCTCTGCGTGATCTAAGGGAGAATCTGTTTCATGCCCTTCTCTTAGCTTCTGGTGCTGTCGGTAGTGCTTGGCATTCCTTGCCTAGTAGATGTATCACTCAAATCTCTGACTCTGTCATCACTTGGCCTTGTCCCCATGTGTCTCTATTCACATCGTTTTCCTCCTGTGCATTCCTGTCTCTGAGTCTTCTTGTTCTGAAGAGGACACCAGACATATTAGATCAAGGACTCACCTTATTGCAATATAACACGTTTTAACTAATTACATCTGTAATGACCTAATGACTCTATTTCCAAATAAAAGTCACATCCTCAGGGGGACACTCTTCAACCTGCATGGGTGGTTGAGATGCTTCTAAGCACATCATGATATGGCTGTCCCATGAGAAGTTCTTGCTATGTGTGCAAACGGAAAGAAACGTATTGCCTTAGAGTAGCAATGAACAGGTTTTTTTTTTTTTTTTTTTTTTTTTCCAACTACCCAATACTCTAAGAAAACCCTGCCAGGCTGGCATCTATGGGGTATGGCTCTGTCCACACAGTACTTCCTCCTAGGGACAAAGATGTGTGGGACTTCCAGGCCCACTGGTTTTGGTAGAAATACACTTGCACATCGTGATGCTATTCAGCCAGAATTGTTACTTATCCACTCACCTTGTAGGAATTTATTTAGAAATACAAATGTGACATTCATTTGCTGTGCATCACTGCTCATAAATATGTGTGCCAGTGGTCAGTGTAGATCTTTGGTAAAGGACCTAATAGTAAATATTGTAGGTTTGCAGACCGTGTGGTCTTTGATGCAAATGCTAAGCTTTGCTGCTGCATGGCAGTCATAGATTATATGTAAACGCGTGAGTGTGTCTGTGTTCCGAGGAAAACTGAATTAACAAAAATAGGTAGCAGGCAAGATTCAGCCTAGGCACTGTAATTTACTGAGCTCTGAAGTAGGCTGATGACTAAACTCTGAAGCTGTCTAGATCATTCCTCAGGGAGCAAATTCTAACCCACATTCCTTGTGCCAGAGCATGGTTTTAATCCTGCTTGTCTCTTGGGAAGGCTAAAAAAATCTATTAAGCAGATGCTGCATTAAAAAGTACAGTGTTAATTAAGATACAAAAAAAGGATTATTTATTTCCTTTTGATATGAAAAGAGGTATTTGAGTCTTTTTACCTCTTAAACCCATCTACTTTGCTGGGTGGTTTGTTTTACTTGTACCCATATAGGTACACACAGAACTCAGGGACGAGGTACTCCTTGTCCCTGTCTGGACACTCACTGCTGGATAGTTCTGTTTGGAAGGAAAAGGGCATTTTAACTGCCACCTCAGCACCTGCAGCAGGAAAGGGTCAAGACTACCATCACCAAGAACGTGAAGGAGCTCCCACCTTTAGAAAAACCCCTGAAAAAGGACCCAGCTCTCATCCACTCTTGCTGTATTTCGCAGCCCTTGTTTCTTGTAGTCTTCTCTTGTCCAACATGGTTCAACACTTCCAGGACAAATCTAGTGAATATTCAGATTCTTCCTTTTTTTTTTTTTTTGAGACAGGGTCTCACTCTGTCACCCAGGTTGGAGTGCAGTGGTGTGATCATGGCTGACTACAGCTTTGACCTTCTGCGCTCAAGTGATCCTCCCACCTTAGCCTCCCGAGTAGCTGGGACTACAGCTGCACACCACTATTAACACCCAGCTAATTTTTGCATTTTTTTTTTTAATAGAGACAGGGTCTTGCCTTGTTGCTAAGGTTGGTCTCAAACACCTGGGCTCAAGTGATTCTCCCATCTCGGCCTCCCAAAGTGCTGAGAGCTCTATTTTTTTCAGAGACTATTTTATCTTCTGTATTCAAGTTTTAGGTTTAAAAAAATGAATTTCAATCCAGGGATTGATCCATAGCAACATAATATCTAAAGTTTAGCATATACCAAAGTTTCTTCACATGTCAAATGAAATTAATTATGAGAAATTATAGAAAATTACTATGGAGTTGCAAAAATAAATATCAATTCAAGCTCAGAACACATTTCAAATGATTCACTTGCAACCATAAAATTGAACAATTAACCCAAAAGAAACTAAAAGTTGATCTATATCAGCCCACACTCTCCTTTTGTGGGTAACAGGACTGAGGATCAGAGAGGACAGTAATCGGCTTAGGGTCCCACATCCAGATATTGGCAAGATTTTCCTTTTGCTTTATTATCATATTGCTTTTATCACTGTAGGCTTTTAGTATATGCGAATCAGCAGGCGATGGTGAAATGGGAAGGTTAATGTAATCTAACTAAAGGAAATAGTGGAAAAGGCTGTCAATTGTCTTATTCGTCTCTATGATAACCAATTTAGAGGCATCTGATCATGTCCAGCCCTTTAAGTACTTCAACATTTACAATCTTTTTTCTTCTTTGGTAGGGATATAAGAAGACTCAAATTTCTTTGGTCCTGTAGAGGTACAAATGTCAATCTACAAGCTCAAGTATAGAGAAAAGATACATTTCTTTTTTTATTTCAGTAATTTATATTACTTTTTTTTTTTTTGAGATGGGGTCTCACTCTGTGGCCCAGGCTGGAGTGCAGTGGCGCGATCTCAGCTCACTGCAAGCTCTGCCTCCCAGGTTAGCGCCATTCTCCTGCCTCAGCCTCCCGAGTAGCTGGGACTACAGGCTCCTGCCACCACGCCTGGCTAATTTTTTTGTATTTTTATTTGAGACAGAGTTTCACCGTGTTAACCAGGATGGTCTCCATCTCCTGACCTCATGATCTGCCCGCGTTGGCCTCCCAGAGTGCTGGGATTACAGGCGCGAGCCACCGTGCCCGGTCTTATATTACTTTTTATAAGTACCCTTGCTATTAGATACCTGCATGTTACTCTCCATCAGTTCAGAAATCCCACCCGCAGTGACTTCCAAAGTCAAGACTGAGACAAAGGTTACGATGTAACCAACCCTTCCCACCAGAGCCTCAGTTTCTTTCAGGTCCTCTTTTTTCTCTGTATCTTGCCTGGTCTTGAAGACAGAAAACCTTCCTCGACTTTATCAATTTTTAAATGATATGCTCTGAGTTATTTTAGAATTCAGAATTTTAAAATCCAGGAGGCTTTCCTTTGACATATCACCTCTTCTCCAATGCCATGAATGCTAGGTGAGTTGACCTCACAAATGTGAAAAAGAGTGAAGAGTAAGAAGAAATACCAAGGAAAAATCAGTTAATGTTTCAAAACATGAATTCCCCACAGATCCATTTTTAATGTCATGCTTTTATCTGGATCAGAAATACAAGTAACAGGCATAGGTGGAAAGGCATTGTTATAATCGCTTCCTCCCAGTGGAAGGAAGAAAACCTCCCAGCAGTTCTCTTCCAGTTTGCAGTGGACATCCATGTACTCGGGGCACTTAGAATGAGATTGGAGTCTCCTCTGACCCATCCACTCCTTTTAAGCTGGGACTCAGTTTTTGCCTTGATAAAATGTGATGGCTGAAGAACATGATTTTTAAATAACAGGTGCTGGTGAGATTGGAGAGACAGAAGAACACTTAAACACTGTTGGTGGGAGTGTAAATTACCTCAACCATTGTGGAAACCGGTGTGGCAATTCCTCAAAAACCTAAAAACAGAACTACCATTCTACCCAGCAGTCCCATTCCTGAGTATATACCCAAAGGAATATAAGTTATTCTAATCTTAAAGACACACAACATGCTAATGTTCGTTGCAGCACTACTCACAATAGCAAAGACATGGAATCAACCGAGATGCCCATCGGTGGTAGACTAGATAAAGAAATGTACATATATACCATGCAGTACCATGCAGCCGTAAAAAAGAACAGGATCATGTCCTTTGCAGGAACATGGATGGAGCTGCAGGCCATTATCCTTAGCAAACTAACACAGAAACAGAAAACCAAATACAGTATGTTCTCACTTATAAATGGGAGCTAAATAATGAGAACCCATGGACACATAGAGGGAAAAAACAGCCACAGGGTCCTACCAGAGGGTGCAGGGTGGAAGGAGGGAGAGGACCAAGAAGAATAACTAATGGGTGCTAGGCTTAATACCTGGGTGAAACAGGCATACCTAGATGAAATAATCTGTACAACCAACTCCTGTGACACAGGTTTACCTATATAATAAACTTGCACATGTACCACTGAACTTAAAAAAAAGTCAGAATGAAAAAAAAATTAAAAATACTTTATTTTTAGGGCCATTTTAAATTCAGAGCCCATTGAGGAGAATGGACAGAAAACTCCTGCATACCTCCTGCCCCAACCTATGTTCCGATATGACCTGCTGGACTATCAACGTCTCTATAATTGTTTGTTACGATTGTGGTACATTTGTTACAATTGATGAACCAGCACTGATACATTCTTATCACCCAAAGCCACAGCTTACATCAGTAACCCTTGGTGTTGTTCATTCTGCGGGTTTTGACAAGTATATAATGACTTGTACCCTCCATTATATTATCATACAGAGTAGTTTCACTGCTCTAAAAATCTTCTGTGCTCCATACACTTAACTGTACATTTTCCCAGTCTCTGGAAACCACTTATCTTTTTAATTTGCCTTTTCTAGAAAGTTACATAGTTGGAATCATATGGGTTGTAGCCTTGTGTGATTGGCTTCTTTAAATACACATTTAAAGTTCTTTAGTAGCTTTTCAGGACTTGATAGCTCATGTCTTTGTAAAGCCGAATAATATCCTATTGTCCGGATATATCTGTTTACGTATCCATTACTTATTGAAAGACATCCCAAATTTTGTTAATTATGAATAAAGCTGCTATAAACATTCATGAGTAGGTTTTTGTGTGGACACAGGTTTTCAGTTTCTTTGGGTAAATGCTATGGAGCGTGAATGCTAGATTGTATAGTAAGCATACGTTTAGTTTTTTGAGACTGCAAAACTGTCTTCCAAGGTGAATATACTATTTTGCATTCCCATCAACAATGAAGGAGACTTCCTGTTTCTCCACCTCCTCGGCAGCATTTGGTGTTGTCAGCGTTTTGGATTTTTGCAAGACTTATTTTTTGGTACTTTTCTTTTATGTTGCTATTGTTTGGCTTCAAGTAGAATCTCTAGGTTTTCTTGTTTTGAGTGAAATCAAGAAACAAGAATGAGCTGGCATGGTCAATCTGGTTGGCTTGTAAGAACTGGAAAACAGGAGACTAGAAGATAGAACCCAAAATTGTGACAATAATCCTATACACACTTTGGTTACCTATCCACCAACTGTTCTGAATTATGATTTGGTTAAGACATCTACTCTTTCTACATACAGCATGTACCCCAGGAGAATCTGAATTCACTCCAACTCGAGGAATGGGCTAATTCTATCCTCATTTCCAGTGAGGGTGTAAATGGTTATGTGACCCAATTTTGGCCAATGACAAGGAAGTTCTGTTTGTGGGTATCCGGGAGAGAAATGTCCAGATTCCTAAGAAAGAGACACAGGATGAAGTGGTCATTTCTTATGCCTGCTATTACGTCTGAATGAGACACTTGGGATTGCTACAGCCATTTGCAGCCCTTGTGAGGACAAAGTCATCAGCAAGAATGAAGGATCAGACAGATGGAAAGAACTTGGGGCCTTGGGTACAATATTTAGCCCTTGGATCAACTTCCCCCAAAGCCATTCCTACTTGACTTCTTGTTAGGTGAAAAAAGATGTATCTTTATGGTTAAGTTGAGTTAGAGTTCTCTCATGTATATTGGGAGTTGTCCTCACTTATAAATACTCATGCTATTTTCTTTGTATGGAGAGTAAAATAATTTAGAAGACTTGAATACTTAATATGGGTCTTGAGTAGCAGTGCCAGGGAGAAGGAATTGACTTTCATGGTTCTGGGTTTATGTTTAGTGAAGAAGGGCAGAGAGGAAGAAAATTAGGAGAAATATTCTTATATTGGAAGGTTGGTGATAACTAAGAATTGCATTATTTTCTGGTAACAATTAAAAATTGCATTAATAACATTCTAACTTTTATTAGCTTTAAGTCATTCTGTATTCCAGCTATTAGACTCACTTCAAAGACGGAAGGTACATTGAAAGATGGGATCCCATCTCTTTGTCTTTTTTATTCTTCTGAGACTAGAAGTCAACTTCTACTTATCCCCATCCCATTCTTTTCTGACATCTCTTATTATTCACTAGTCCTAAGAGACTGAGGTCACTGAGTCCCGTGCAGACACACAGATGGGATATAGGTCATAGAAGTGTATTTTATGTTGCTGTTATGACAGTGTTTAAAAAACAAGATTTTTTTCCCACTTTTCCCTACATATTGAAAGACGTCACAAAAAAGAAGCCTCTGGAGTTGTGTCCTGGGTGCCCCACATTAGGCAGAGCAGAAGCTCCCTCATTTGCCACAGTCCTCACCATTCCCTATTGCCTTATGATCAACCTCCCAAACCCACTCACACTGCTTTCCTCGACACCTATTAACATTTGAGTTTATTGCCTATATAATCATTCTAAGCTGGCATCCTGCTTGCTCCCTCATTGGAAGGACTTCTACCACCAAATATTCTACAGGGTAATGTTCTCATTCCAGGCACATAAACATTTGTAAGAAAGAACAAAACACTGGTGACTGGAAAATTCAAACTTTAATGAGGAAATGAGCCAAAACGTTCACTTTATTTTTACAACTATAAGGAAAAATTTAAAAAGAAGAAATAATCGGAGCTAATTTATTTATTTTAGAGGGGATATTTTGATTTAATTTATTTAGCATTTTTTAAAAGTTGACATTTATCTCTGAGAATTATCTCACAGTTAAATATATAATATCTGAATGGGATGAAAATATAATTTTTAATCATTTTTAATTTTCTGAAAATAATTACTATGAATGTTGCAAACATCCATTTTTTAATAACTGAACTTGATTACCCTAAAAGTTTGTGAAGAAAGGGTCATTTGTAATTTTTTCTTCTTAATATATTCATTTACAAAAGCAGTAAGAAATTGATATAACATGTCAAAAGCCATTAGATATAGCTAAGGCTTGTCCAGCTCTATCTGTAACCAAATCCAGACTCATGGAATATTATGAAGCCATAAAAAAGAATGAGTTCGTGTCCTTTGCAGGGACATGGATGAAGCTGGAAGCCATCATTCTCAGCAAACTAACACAGGAACAGAAAATCAAACACCACATGTTCTCACTCATAAGTGGGAGTTGAACAATGAGAACACATGGACACAGGGAGGGGAACATCACACACTGGGCCCTGTCAGGGAGTTGGGGGGCAACATGAGGGAGAGCATTAGGTCAAATACCTAATGCATGTGGTTCTTAAAACCTAGGTGACGGTTTGATAGGTGCAGCAAACCACCATGGCACATGTATACCTATGTAACAAACCCGCATGTTCTACACATGTATACCAGAACTTAAAGTAAAATAAATTTAAAAAAATGAACTTTTGCACTGTTACATTGTAATATGGAGCTTGAATCACAAGTCATTTAAACCCTATCAACCACCATGAACCTCCACCACCTCAAAGGTGCTGGAAATTTAAAATGTGTTTGGATAGAAGTATCTTTAAATCTCTCTCTTAATGAATGGGTATTCAATCTATGATTTGTGGGGCTTGCTCCAGAATCTCCCTTACTAATAGAGTAAACTGTAGTAAACTCTTTACCATAGAGTTGGGAGGCTGATCAAGTGAATGAATGTGAACAGAATAATGGGTAAAGACTAAGTATGCCTTACACACAGAAATTAAGGAAGGTTTGGAGCACATAGGATGTGCCAATTAAGCATTCCGTTCAGTTGCAGGTAACATAGATCTCTTCTAAAATAGGAGTTTATTTCTCCCTCACATATCATGAAGTCCAGAGGTTGGTGGTAGAACTTGTGCAATAGAAACTTAGTTCCGTCAATATCCACCTACATCCTATCTTTCTCTCTCTTCTCTGCCATCTGTAATCGCCGACTTTTATTCTCATGTTTATCTCAACATCACAACAGGGCATCTGTATACCAGCCATCACTTCAGCATCCCAGACAGGACAAGAAGGAAGGTGAGAAAGACAAAAGAACAATTGCTACCAGAGTCACCTCCTCATCTAAGTATTCCTTGTAGATGCCATCCGATAACTTCATGGCCTTTATTTCCATCTTATTGGCTGCTGTTGAGTCACAAGGTGATGTCTACCTGTAAGAGAAATTGATCCACGCAGTTTTTGTTTGTGTGTGTGTTTAGGTATATTTATTTTTCCACTTCCAAGAAAACTACAGCACTTTTAGAAAGAAAGGTGAATACACAGTAGACAGAGAGGTTCAATTTTAAGATGACAAGGGTCCGGACACACCAGCATGCAGGGTCCCATGAATATCACTGACTTATGCACTACCAGCAAATATTGCCGCTCCTGAGTTCTACCTATGCTGTTTCTCAGTATTTGTCTATAAATTGACACACTGTTGTGTTTAAATTCATCTACTTAAAAACGAACCTTTTCTTGAACTCTAAGTGAAAAAAAATCACTACATCTTGCCATAAAAATAAATATAATAAAGATGAACAATTTTATAGTGCTCTACCTACATAATCATACCTCCAAAATTCTGAACATGGATTTGCTGTTTTAAATAGGAGCTCAAAAAGTGTGAAAAAATGCTATTACAGAAAAGATGATCCTTTCGTATCACCAGAAGGATAAAAGAAGATGCTAATGGGAAATGATTCCTCATAATATCATTTAACATTTTTGGTTGTTTAGAGACGGAGTCTCGCTCTGTCGCCAGGCTAGAGTGCAGTGGCGTGACCTCAGCTCACTGCAACCTCCGCCTCCCGGGTTCAAGAGATTCTCCTGTCGCAGCCTCCTGAGTAGCTGGGATTACAACCGTGCTCTAATTTTTGTATTTTTAGTAGAGATGAGGTTTCACCATGTTAGCCAGGATGGTCTGGGTCTCTTGACCTCGTGATCTACCCACCTCGGCCTACCAAAGTGCTGGGATTACAGGCGTGAGCCACCGTGCCCAGCCATATTATTTAACATTAAGAGTGATGACACCTAAAATTATCTCACATTCCAGCCAAAGCATGTGTCCTCTGTGCTGACTTTGTCTAACAGTTTCATTTACAGATGAGATAATGAAACCTAAGAAGGGCGTATTGTTTTCCTGAGATTTACCGCAGACAAGGGGCTAGGACACATGTTACCAACCTCTAAGTTTATGGTCATTCTACTTCATCTCATCACCTTTTATCAACACCAATACATTCAGGAGTTCTGAAGTTCCTGGAACACAAACTTCACTGCCTCAACACTACGTGGATTGGAGCACCCATGTCTGGTGTTCTGCAAAGCAATGGGTAGACACTGGTTTAGAAAACACGTATGCTGCCTGCCCCTGTGGTGCGCAAAACTGAATGCCTGATTTGTTAGCAAAACAGATCAAAACAAAATGAATTCCAATGCAAAGCAAATGGCTGAGATTATCTTCAAATAAAATAAAGCCAACTGATTGCTAAAAATGTTTTTTGTGGGTTCCGATTCACAGTTCTCATTCACTAAAACGACCCTGGCTGGAGATCGAGACCATCCTGGCTAACACGGTGAAACCCTGTCTCTACTAAAAATACAAAAAATAGCCAGGCATGCCAGTACTATACTGCATGTACTACAGGCACGTGCCTATAGCCCCACCTACTCGGGAGGCTGAGGCAGGAGAATCGCTTGAACCCGGGAGGCAGAGGTTTCAGTGAGCCGAGATCACACCGCTGCACTCCAGCCTGGGCGACAGAGTGAGACTCTGTCTCAAAAAAAAAAAAAAAAAGACCCTGGTTGTGAATTTGACTCAGTCCCTTCATCATCAGAGTGCATTTTTTCTTTTTTCTGTACATGTTAGCATTTAATTTAACATAAAGTGCAAAGAAATGTTCAGTTGCTTTATTTCCTCATATAGAAAAAAAAAGACTCATCTTTAAGTTAAGCTTGATTTTTATTCTGTTATATCATTTAACACATTTCCATGAGTCTATTTAAAGATATGGGCTAGCACATGGAATATTAGCATGTGGCCAGACTGTGAACATTTAGTGTGGACCCCAGGACTTCATTTGCAAGTGTAGATTTCGTTAGGTTAATGGGAACAGTGACCACACAACAGCAAGGGAGCCTGTCCCCAGGGGAAGGACGTTCAGAGGAAATATTACAATCAACATTTTCTTACTTTTTTTTTTTCCTTCTTGAATTCATAAGTCAAAGTTAAGATTTGCTTAAAATGTCACAGAGTTGAGGCATTTGTTGAGGGTGAAAATAACTCCATTGTCTTAGATGGACAATTTCTGAATGTGTGGAGATGCTCACCAGACACGTTCTTCCTGCCCATTGCACAGACAAAACCAATTCGCTGAGACTATGGTATGGCAGTAAAGAAAGAGTTTAATTGACACTAGACCAGCCATGCAGGGAACAGAGTTATTACTCAAATCAGTCTCCCCGAAGGCTTGGAGGTTAGGATTTTTCAAAGATGCTTTGGCGAGCAGGAGGCTAAAAAATGGGTGCCGTTGATTGGTTGCCTATGAAATCATAGAGGTGTGGAAAATGATCCTTGTGTGCTGAGTTTATCCCCAGGTGGGGCCACAGGACCGGTTCAGTCATGACTCGTGATTCCAGGTGAGGTCAGTTGATTGCCAGAATGCAGAGGTCTGAAAAACATCTCAAGAGACCAATCTTAGGTTCTACAGTAGTGATGTTATCCATAGGAGCAACTGGGGAAGGCTCAAATCTTGTGACCTCTGGCCACATGACTCCTGAGTAGTAAGGATGATAGAAACTGCCTACATTTTAGCAGAATTCAGACTCCTCCCATGATCCTCATCTTGAGGCCTTTCATTAGTTTTTGGTCCCTGAGCAAGGAGGAATTAGTTTTAGGAAGGGACTATTGTCATCCTTGCTCTAAGTTAAACTATAAATTCCTCCCATGGTTAGCTTGGCCTGTGCTCAGGAATGAGTGAAGATAGCTGGCTTGTGAGGCTTGAGGCAAGATGGAGTCAGTCATGCAAGACCTTCTCTCACTACCCTGATTTTTGCAAAGGCAGTTTCAGTGTTTTGCGTGATGTGCCTTCTACTCAACGATCCAGGTTCATTCTTCCACACTTCTAGGCTGAGACATAGGTCCATGTCTGAAGTAGCAAAAGATGGTCCCACCGGGCGGGGTGGCTTATGCCTGTAATCCCAGCACTTTGGGAGGCTGAGATGAGCGGATCACAAGGTCAGGAGATTGAGACCATACTGGCTAACACGGTGAAACCCCGTCTCTACTAAAAATACAAAAAAAATTAGCCGGGTGTGTTGGCGGGCACCTGTAGTCCCAGCTACTCGGGAGGCTGAGGCAGGAGAATGGCGTGAACCCGGGAGGCGGAGCTTGCAGTGAGCCGAGATCGCGCCACTGCACTCCAGCCTGGGGGACAGAGCGAGACACTGTCAAAAAAAAAAAAAAAAAAAAGATGGTTCCTCTGGCCTTGAATTAGGACAGTAAAAATATTCAGGACCAACAACTGCCACCCCATCAGGCAGAACTCACCACTCACCTGGAACAATTCCATGCAGCTCAAATTCGAAATCAAATCTAGGTTCTTAATGTGCTACTTGGAGCCTGTGCTTGCCCCCGGAGACTTGTTTCTTACCTGCTTTCCCCCTTACACGCTGGCCTGCAAAGAACTGAGGGAAAAAAATCAGTTGTTTGCTGACATTTAAAAATAAAAGGATCTAAGGCCAGGTGTAACGGCCCAAGCCTGTAATCCCAGCACTTTGGAAGGCTGAGGTAGGTGGATTGCTGAGCTCAGGAGTTCAAGACCAGCCTGGGCAACATGGTGAAATCCCCTCTCTACCAAAAATACAAAAAATTAGCCTGGTGTGGTGGGGAGTGCCTGTTCTCAGACACTCAGGAGGCTGAGGTGGGAGCATCACTTGAGCCTGGGAGGCGGAGATTGCAGTGAGCTGAGATCCTGCCACTGCACTCCAGCCTGGTTGACAGAGTGAGACTCTGTCTGAAAATAAATAAATAAATAATAAAATATAAAAAATAAAAATTAAGAATTTAAAAAATGAAATTAAAAATAAAAGGATCTGACAGCAAATGACAGATTTCTGGCACTTTCTGGCAAATCTAAGGGATCTACTACCACATTTCTTCAGAGTAACAACCATGGAGCTTTTAGATGGGTGCCTTCATTTCCTGAGGCAGACACAACAAACTTAACGGCCAGAAACAATACAGGTTGATTCTCTCACAGTACAGGAAGCCGGAAGTTTCCCCGGCAGAGTCGCACTCCCTCTGAAGGCTCTAGGGGAGGATCCTCCCTTGCCTGTGCTGCCTCCAGGTCTTCCTGCCTCTTCTGGTGGCAGCTTCACTCTCATCTCCACCTCTGTCTTCACAGGCCTCCTTCCCTGTGTCTCATATCTTCCGCTCCTTTATTTTATAAGGACACCACTATTTGGATTTAGGGCCCACCCTAAATCAAGGATGGTATGATCTCAAGATCCTTAACTCAATTACACCTGCAAAAATCCTAGTTCCAAAATAAGGCTCACAGGTGCCAGGAGTTGGATGTTAGATGTAATTTTGCGGGGACACTATTCACTCCCCTAGTGGGGTCTCCACCTTCCAGCATCTTCCCCATTCCATCTTGTATATGGCCAAATTCTCCTTGCCTATCTCATTCACCCATGCATTAGAGTTTCTAAACCTGATTCCACTGTATCTTCTAGCCCACGGTTTTGAACGGAACTGTCAAAACCAAATTGCACTGGGCAAAGTTAAGGAAGGCTTCATTCAAAGCTACTGCAATACGGTAAAGAGACCAGAACTCAGTTTGAGCACAGCTCCTCTGAAGAAAGTGTGTGTGTGTGTGTGTGTGTGTGTGTGTGTGCGCGCGCGCGTGCGCGCACATGTGAAGACCTGGGGTCAGGGAATTGTAGGCCATCCGTCTTGGTGAATCAGCTTTCCCCAAAGGAAAAGTGAACTTTCTCGTATCTTTATGACAAGAGGGAGTTTTAACATTTGGAGCAAGACTCCCGCTGAAGTTAGGCAACTTCCCTCCCACAGAGATGGGGAGATAGGGCAGCCCATGTTCCTGGATGTCTACATTTCAAATGAATGTCTCCCAGGTCCTTGAGAAAGACAGGTCAGGTTTTTAGCACTGGCAGGAGGATTTGGAGCAGATTTCCCTCTCCAAGGGGCAGAGAAAGAGCCGCAAAGGCAAGTCTTCTGAAGTAAATGCTCTAAGAATAGGGAAACCAGGGAGCTGGTGGCAGCAAGAAGAGTTAAGCTGAGAGGAACATTAGGGCTGTCTTGGTCTATACCCATGTATCTTACCTGAGTCCTTACATTTATTCAAGCAGTTGATTTTCACTTCCCAATGGCAAGCTCAAGAGCTATTATGCGTCTGTTTGTTCACCTGTCGAAGAGGAAAATAAGGTCACTGCTTCGTAGGGTTGATATGAAGAGCAAATGAGACCAACTATTTAAAACACCATGGTGACAGGGGGTCACAAATGACCGGAACACAGCCCTCAAATCTCGGCCGCATTGTTGCCAGTGCAGAAAATCTTTCCCATGAAGGTCATGCCGTTTTAGGGGTGGCTCATAACCAATAATAGTAATAATCGTGAAACAGCCTTTGCAAAATTATGACTGAGACCTAACTTAATCGACTCTATCTTGCTTCTAACCTCCAAGCTGTTCTTGTTCATTCCTAGGCTTAGGCTGAACTAACCTTGGGAGAAACTTAGTTTATAGTTTAAACAAAGTTTATAGTTTTATATAGTTTAAACAAAGTTTATAGTGTAAACAAAGATGGGAACAGCCCTTTCCCAAAGCAGACCTCCTTCTTGCCTGGGGACTAGATTGCCTTTGTAGGACTAACATTAGCCACAGGATTAGAAATTATGGTTTGGGAGTCATGCAGCTGGAGGCTACAAGATTCTGACCCTCCCTAAGCTGCCCCTAAGATCAGGGCTTGAGACGTTTTGCAGACCCTGCACTTGATGAGTCAGCTGGCACCACCCAGATGGATAAACTGGCCCATATGATCTTGTGACCCCCACCCAGGAACTGACTCAGTGCAAGACGACAGCCTCGACTCCCTGTGATTTTATCTCTGACCAATCAGCACTCCTGGCTCACTGACTTCCCCCAACCCAGCAAGTTGTCCTTAAAAACTCTACTCCCTGAATGCTCGGGGAGACTGATTTGAGTAATGGTAAAACTCTGGTCTCCTGCACAGCTGGCTCTGCGTGAATTACTCTTTCTTTGTTGCAATTCCCCTGTCTTGATGAATCCACTCTGTTTAGGCAGAGGGCAAGGTGAACCCCTTGGGTGGTTACCATTGCTGAGGAGTAAATGCCTGACCCGATGGAGCACAGCTCTGACAGGCCATGTGGGCTCCTGAGCACCAACAGAATGGGCTGAGGCCGCCAGGACCACCTCCAAGCTCAACCTCCGTCTCTGCCAGCTTTCTCCCCCTTCTCCCATAGATGTTTATATCAAGGACACTCCCAAATAAATGTCTTGCATGCTAAACTCAAATTTCAGAATCTCCTTCCCCGCAAAAACCAAACTGCAATGTGCACTCAGCACAGAACTTGGAGTGGGACGCCTCTCAGCCACCCATGGTGACTTCCACCACTGCCAGGGCTTCCGCTGCTGTCTCTGTTGACCTCAGCAGCCTTTCCCATGTCAGGCCCTGGGTGAAACCATCCCCCCAGGATTGATAAGAATTGTATACAAGGTTTTGGACAGAAATAGAGTTATGGTTAAGGATGCATCTGGCTGCACTCTGGCTCCTTCCTTGTTGCTAGAAGCCCGGTAGCACCAGGTCCTCACCAGGTGCTTCCCTGTTGTTCCTACAGACAGGATTTAGGACACAGGGTCATGAGACTGTTGAAGGATTGACTTGCATTCCCATTGCTCCTGTCGACAGGACCTCTGACAATCAGCTCATGGGGCTTTTGTTTAAGGATTGCTTAGGATGTTTTTCAGACCACACATTCTAGCAACTAGTGTGTAGGCCCCCACAGAGGAATGAGATCGGCATGAAAATACAACTTCTTCCTCTCTCTGGCCCATGACTTCACCCTGTGCTCCAACCAATCAACAATTTCCACCCTTCAGCCCACTCCAAATCTCTTCAAACCTTAGCCCCGAATTCCTGGCGGAGATGGATTTGAGGTTTCCTCCCATGTCCTCCTTCGGTGGCCTTACGATTAAAGCTCTTTCTCTGCTGCAACCCCGTGCCTCCAGGTGTTGATTTGCTGCATATTTTGGGTAAGGGACCCATTATGGTTACACAGGGAGGCAGTGCCCCCCACCATCCTCTTCGCATTCTGCTGCTGAACAGATGCTTCCTACACGGCTGGTAATGTGGGCCCTCCTGTTTCAAGGTCCCCAATTCAGAAGTCTCATTTTCCCAGAGTGTGCTGTCATGGGACCATGTTCTTCCCTTTGCTCTTGGAGAATAGACAAAGCCACTCAGCCCAGCCACAGCCTGAGTCTTGCCCTACCTCCCTCTCCAGCCTCAACTCATTCCAGGCTCCAGTTCAGCATCTGTCTCTAGCCACACTGATTTTCCTTGAGTTTCCTGTGTTTGCTGTTGTCTCTCCTGCCAGCAACATATCGGGGTGAGGCCATAGCTTCTTTACTTATGTCATTTTTTTGTATGTTTCTTATTTGCTTCAATTCAAACATCTTGTCTCAAATGGAATGCAGAAGGAGAGATGAGATTCCTGCTGTCTTCTATTAAAGAAAACATTATGCATAATTGCAAAAATATAGTACAATGCTGCTATCCTCAGAGTAATTTTCTTTTGAAAAATATATTTTTTCATAAAAATATTTTATGTATATTCACCTTTAATTGGTTTTTGTTATTTTTAAATGAAATATTTTAAATATCTCAATGTTTAATATTGTATTAATATTATATATTAACATCACAATAATAAATTACATTATTGCAATAATGTATTAAATATAGATGCATCTGAGGCATAGAAACAAAACATCTTTGGGGTCCTCAGTAATTTCTAGAGTGTAAGTCACCAGTGAGAATACCTGAAATGGACAAAACATGACAGATCCTATGAAGCTCAGATGTGGGTGTAGCTCTTTCCATCTCTAGCCTCATTCACCTCTGCCTCCTGCCCCAGTGAATGTCATTCTCCAACAAAGTATTTGAAAAGGTATTTTTCTTTGAAAAAAGTACACAGATGGATAGTTAGCAAAGGAAGAGATGCTCAACGTCGTTAGCCATGAGGGAAATGTAAATCAAAACCACAGTAAGGTTATACTTCACAACTACTAGGGTGGCTGTAATTAAAAGACAAGTAATAACTAATGTTGATGAGGATGTGGAGAAATGGAAAGCTTCATAATTCCTGGTGAGAATATAAAATAATGCAACCCCTTTGGAAAACAGTTGGATGTTCTTCAAAAAGCTAAACATAGTTGCTAAATGACCCAGCAATTCCACACGTAGGTATATACTTAAGAAGGATGAAAATGTGTGCACACAAAAGCTTGTACAGGAATTTTCAGAGCAATATAGTCATAATAATCATGGAATGAAAACAACCCAAACGTCTGTCCACTTGAATGCATAAACAAACTATGGTCTATCTAGACAATAGCATAGCACTCATCCATTAAAAAAAATGAAGTACTGACTCATGCTACAGCAAGGGTGAACCTTAACAACATTATGGTAAATGAGAGGATCCTGTCCCAAGAGATCATCATATGTTATGTGATTTTATTTGTATGAAACGTCAAGAACAGGCAAAATTATAGAGATGAAATGTAAATTAGTCGTTACTTAGCACCCGGAGGGTGGAGATGGAGGGTCATGGGAGTGGCTGGCAGTGGGCACAGAGTTTCTTCTTGCAGGGTGAAAATGTTCTAAAATCAGATTTTTCTGGTAGCTGTGAACCTAATAAAACCATTTAATTGTACCCTTTAAATGAACGGTTGTATGGTCTATGAATTATATCCCAATTAATTTGTGAAGTTGCATTTTCAAACATTAGTAACAGTGAGTTATGTTTAAAATTGATATTTTGGGAAATTCAGAGAATGTCCTGGTTAAACTTGAAGTTCTTTACCTCAACATAGCTACCCAATAATATGCTACTAATGAAAACTTAAATCCCATTTATAATTTATTCCTCCAGAGGAGAGCAACTTTAGTCAACAACTTCCTTTTTGTGGGTGAAATAAAAGCATGAAGCAATTCTCTGTCTTCTTCATCTCAGTGTTTTCAATACCTAAATGTCTAAGACAAGTTCCAAGACAAAATATATAAAACCTACTTTAGATATCATAGTATGGACATCTTGTCAAGTGATCATGTTTAAATGAAATTAAATCCTCTTTCCTTCTCACAGTCTTTGAGTATGCTCAGCGCGTGCCATCATGGGGCCATGTTCTTCCCCTTTGCTCTTGGAGAATAGACAAAGCTACCCAGCCCAGCCACAGCCTCATAATCTTGTTCTACCTCCCTCTCCAGCCTCAACTATTTCCAGGCTCCAGCTCAAGTCATACATCAGGTAAGTGGCATTCTGTAATAGCTGTCTATTTGATACTCAATCCCCTTTACTTCTCAAGCTTAAAATTGCTTGAGATGAGAGTGATTGTTTGACCTAAGTTAAATTACAAGTCTACATATAAATCACTGTGAGGCATTTCTTGCCAAACTTTTGTTTATGGATAATAGGAGAGATATGGCTGGCATCATCTCTTTCAGATATTTTTGTGTTGATTAGGATGTGATGGCTTGAGATACAGTGGTCATTTTTCAATGATAAGGAAAAAGCCAAAGGATTCCAAAACATTCTCTTGATTCCTCTAAACTGCTGTACTAACTCTTCCAAAACATTCTCTTGATTCCTCTAAACTTCTGTACTAACTCCAGTAACCTCTAGAAATGCTGTCACATGAGGAAAAACAATCTCTAATGTTTAATCCATTATGATTAATTTCACCGTTACTTGTAGATGAACTCAATTCTGCTTGATAGAAAATAAATATCATAATGGTCTTCCTATTTCCTATTTTTCCATGGATTATACCTTGTGTGTACATCTGCCTCTTCTACTATATTTAAAGCTATCTAGGGATATATTCAAATCTTATTCACCTTTATGGTCTTCAGAGTGCAAAGCAGAGAAAATTGCTATAGTATACTTGCAGAGGTGGCCTTAAGAATACCACGAGTTATCCCAAAATGTAATGAAAACAAAACTAAACAAAACAACTTCAAAAGGACTCACTGTGCCTAGTTCTGAGCATCATTAAATCACAAAATACAATCTCTGCCCTCAAGAAGTTCATGGTCTTCTGAGGAGAAAATGAATTTTTCTAATACAATTAATTTTCTGTAAAACATGGCCATTTACAAATAAGTTGTATCATTTCAATGTTTTCAGCTGTAGCTACAGAAAATCCTGGCTCATCAGACTTCTGCAATGAAGGGTCTTATTCTCTCTCTTAGAAAGCCCGAAGATCCAGTGGCGGGGAGTGGGGGTGCTGAGTTGGCAAAGTAAACAGCTCAGCAATGTCAACTTGTCCCAGGTTCCATTCATCTCTCTGCATGGCCATCCTCCTCAGAATGGCTTCTTCCTTAGACTAGTGGTAAGGTAGCACCTGAAATTCCAAGTGCCATCAAATGAGGTAGGAAGCTCCTCGTAAAGAAGACAGCAGGTAGCTTCCTACATCTTTTTTTTAGAAGAGCAAAGCTTTTTACTAGAATTCCCCTAGTGAAATTCTCCTTATATCTTGTTCATCTGAGTAAGTTCATAGGTTTACACATTCCTGAACCAATGAGTGCAAGGGAACTAGAATACTCCAGGGTCAAGCAGACCTGTCCCGTCCAAGGCTGTGATGGTGAGAAGTGAATCCCTGGAAAATATTATGGCTTAGCTAGGCAGGCCTGAGCAGGCAGTAGATTCTACGTGTGTGACCAACACTTTTCATGGAAGACGTAACAATTCTAGAGTCAGCCACAAGTTAAGTCATTCATGAACATTTCAGAACATTTGAGCACAAATTATATTGGATCTCTTCAAAAATTACAGAGAAACCCTTTATTTGATATGCCAGACGTGTCCAAGGCTGACCCTTTGATTCTCAGAACACATGTGCATTTGTGTGAGCTGTAATGGAAAAAAATAGAAGAATATTTGATATTTTTAATGCATAAAGCCCTTGGAACTGAAATAGGGATTATTTCAGGAAAATTCAGCTTTCTTCGGAATGTTTATAAACCTCTTTCCAAATTTATTCAACAGAATTTTATTGATTTTACAGTATGTGCCAGGCACATATCTTCATTTCAAAATGGAAACATGAAGACTCACATTGCTAGCCATTTCGTCTACATGGAAAATTTGAAAAATCCATGCCATCTGAAACACCACCTCATCAAATACACAGCTATTTGTCATATTCCTATCATTTGACTTTCAGGAGCATCGACATATTTGAGAAATAGACCCCAGTATGAACAAACATGAGGGGTGAAAACCGAAAATAAAATTCTAAGCCCCTCAACCAACTGGAGGGGCTCCCTCTTGGCCAAGGGGATTCCGAAGAAATCTGCAAAACCAGTTCAGGCCATGGCTGGGAGGTGGTGGGTTGGACATACCTGGTTACACCTTCCTCCCTTTGAAGTTCAGGTACAATTGACCAGCATTAACATTAAAACAGAGATCTCAAGACTGACAGAGCAGACTCTCTGTAACATTAAGTTACCAAATTCCAACCCTATCTGTCATATATCACATGACAGATAGCAGGCTCTGAGGGAAATCAAAGTATTTTACCCCAAAATGTATTTATTTGACATGTTTTAGAATGGCCCTGCACAGTTGTCTCTTATGAGGGATATTTGCATTCTGTAGCAAATTCTCTTTCTTTACTAGGTCTTTTCCAGAGAGTCCAGAACATTTTAAAGGTCTGGATAGGAAACATTTGCCATCTATTGCCTCAAAGCATAGCTACCTATGAGACTTCATCTACATAATAAGAACCTTGGTCTCCACAACCCCTTATCTTCAGTCAGACACTCTTTTGTATTAATTCCAGATCTTTAGATAATAACTGTTTCAACCAGTTGCCAATCAGGAAATCTTCGAATCCACCTATGATCCCCAGGTCCCCACTTTGAGTTGTCCTGCCTTTCTGGACCAAACCGATGTAAACCGTACATGTAGTGACTAATGTCTTTTGTCTCCCTAAAATGTATAAAACGAAGCTATACCCCAATCACCTTGGGCACATATTCTCAGGAACTCTTGATACCATGCCTTGAGCCAGCCATGGTCGCTCATATTTGGCTCAGAATGAACCTCTTTAAATATTTTACAGAGTTTGACTTTTTCCATCAATAATGGTGAACATACATTTTCCCTGAGAGAGGGGATCTTTTTAAGTAAAGATGTAATGATTGAAGACCCAGTTTATGGGGAAAACTTGAGTATTTAGAATTTAGGAAATTGAGAAGTATTGATCGTACAGAGCTGGAAGGAAGGTTGACAAAGATACTTAACTGCCACTGTCTCAGACAAAATTGCCAGACTATGCCATGTTCGGTTTCCAACAGGGACCTCACCCACACCTAGCACAACTCCAGGGGGCTCCATTTACATAGAATTCATGGGAATGGACTGCTGCAGATGTGAGTGAGGCTGCCCTGGCCCTGCATCTGCACACTTGGCAGCCCTGAGCTCACACCTCTGGACTGGAAATCCTTTAGGTCCCAATCATCTAGAAGCTGTCAGTCACCAGATTGGCTGTCTGTCCTGGTTAGACCCTGTTACAGCCATTCCAGAGAGGGCCTCCCTGACCAAGACCCCACCCTAGAGTTCCTCTGCCCTCGTGTTGAAATGCTCACCCTCTAACCTGAAGTTAAGCTTTCTTTCTGCTACATTAGAACACTCCTGTCCTTTTGTGAGCAGGTAGTGGAAATGAGCTTGGTGTTCCAGGAGCAGGCACTTAGTCGGTGGCTTCAACTACAAACTGAATTGTTGGTTCTTTTCGTAGTCTGCCTCCACCTCCTCATCTCTTGAATTTCATTAGATCCACATTTCGCTCTGTTCTAACTGAGGTCATTTCTAGAATTTTGAGAAATTTCTAGAAAATACATAGGGTTATCTGTCATTCTGGTTTGAAAAAGTAGAGGAAAGGAAAGTCTGAACTCATTCTATCTCACAATGTAGTTCAGTGGAAAATGCATTATTTCAGAGGCTGGGTCCCCTTGCCCTTCTCTGGGTGCCTGGAGAGAGCTCACAATAACATAAGCAATTTCTATTGCATCTCCTGCCAAAGAGGAACAACTCTAGGCAAGACTGTGGTTGTCTCTATTTAAATTTTTACTAAAATATTTATTCAAATTTAATTTAAATGCAAATGAGTCCCTTTCCACTTGGCTTCTGGATATCCATGAAGGCAGCATATTGTTAGTAGGACCTGGAATTTCTGGTTGGACAATGAATAATTCCAGACTTAAACAGGATCTGCCCAGAGATTTCTCTTCTCACAGGCCTGATCCATCTGACCACTTTCTCAGAACACAATGATGCGGCATCTAATGCACCATTATCTTCGTGACAGCTCAGTACTCCATGTCAAACCACCAAATCTAACATGTGTCTTTCTCATTTAACCCCTGATTGTGTCCTGTGGACTCCATACGTGGTGCTTCTGGACACACAAGGGAAAGGCATGCTTCCATAGTTATCTATTTCAGTTAGGTCTTTCCAAATATTGGTTACATTTTCTGTTCTTCAAGCGATAAAACAATAATATAATAAATAGTAGCAGATTCGTAGAAGCAGGCTTTCTGAGCCAGCAGTAAGGAGGGCGTAGTGGCAAGCTTAGATGAGCCTTTGTGTGGCTGTTGACCAGTGGAAGTTGTCAGTCGTGTGTAATAAATTGCACCTCTTCTCAGTAACCCCCATGCTCAGTTCCCATCCCAACAAATCTAGTGGGACATAAATGTCTTCATTTATTACTTAATTTTTCAAAATAATAGAAACAAAATATTTAAAAATATTTGTAATAAATACAATAACATAAGCACATAGTTTAAAGATTTAAAAATATATTGTGGAATATCTGCCCATTTAAAAAAAAATCTGATTTCCTCACTTTCTAAAACCAACAATAAAGTATTTAAAAATGTTTCAGGCGTTTCCCAATAAGACAGCATACAGCCAAATCGCAGCCCAAAACTTACTTGCTCCTAATTTCATGAATTGCGGAGACAAACAAAAATAGTAAGTTTTTGAATATACTGAGCTTTTGTTTAGTGCCAAGTGATTCGCCCACATTATTTTATCCTAATCTAATTACACTGTACAATATGTTCAACGCCTCTTTTACAGGTGAGGAAATTGAATAGTTAGGAGGTAACATGAATTGTATGAATTTATTTATTTATTTTGAGACAGAGTCTCGCTCTCTTGCCCATGCTGGAGTGCAGTGGCGCAATCTCATCTTACTGCAACCTCCACCTCCCAGGTTCAAGCAATTCTAGTGCCTCAGCCACCCAGGTAGCTGGGATTACATGTGTGCACCACCATGCCCAGCTAATTTTTGTATTTTCAGTAAAGATGGGGTTTCCCCATGTTGGCCAGGCTGGTCTTGAACTCCCAGCCTCAAGTGGTTTGCCTGCCTCAGCTTCCTAAAGTCCTGGGATTACAGGCATGAGCCACCATGACCTGCTGAATTTAGAAAGATATTAAGTAGTACAAGAGCTGATGTTTGAACTTAGGGCACTTCAACCTCAGAGGCTGTAATCTTAGCACCCCTCTACTAAGTCCCTAAAACAAGGTTAGCCCTTGATAAAGAAAGGACTGAGATGAGAGTTCTTTGGTGCCCTCATGAAACAAAATCTAGTTCATGAGATGGGGAGTTAAAGGAGGGCAGGAGACCAATGTTTGGCTTCTTCTTCTCCTAATTAAAAGGCTCCTCGGGAGGCTGAGGTGGGCGGATCACCTGAGGTCGGGAGTTCAAGACCAGCCTGACCAACATGGAGAAACCCCATCTCTACTAAAAATATAAAATTAACCGAGCATGGTGGCACATACCTGTAATCCCAGCTACTCGGGAGGCTGAGGCAGGAGAATGGCTTGAACCCAGGAGGCGGAGGTTGCAGTGAGCCGAGATTGCACCATTGCACTCCGGCCTGGGCAACAAGAGCAAAACTCCGTCTAAAAAAAAAAAAAAATGCTTCTCAATGTGGAATTTGGTGAACCACTAGCGTAATTGTTCTATGTATTTATTTGACAAGTGCCATAATTGTTTTCTTTTAGTGTTTATGACTAAATCATGAAACTCTGTATACTCAAATGTATTCCAGAAAAAAAAACATTCAAAATATGCTATTAGGATATTCAATAAAATATTTAAATATTCGCAATATTTAGAAAAGAATATGTACATTCTTCTGACTGCTCTGAAAGTTGATTTTCCATGTTGATCATGACAATGAAGTGGTTTGGAGGGTCCTCTGGCTGAAGGCAATTTAGAAACTTCATCCTGAATTGCATGCTTTTTGCAGATGTTAATGAGTGGATTGTTGTTTTGGGTTATAATTATAATTTCTGGGAATATGGCCAGAAATGGAATGCAGTGCTGAAGGTTGGCCTTTTCCTCCTCTGGACCCTCCTTCATAAATTGGTTTATTGGAAATATTTCTAAAGCAAAATAGAGACAAAAGGGTAGGGGTATAGTATTCACAAACTAGTGAGATAAATCTTGGATGACTTACATGTAAACATTGATGCGTCAACTTGATGACCTCTGTAGTCTCTGGATATTCTCAGGTAGCCTTTGTAGGGAGAGAATACAATTCTTAATGCTAAGACCTGACCGTATATTTTTGCTAATTTCTCTTCTTTCCTCATTGAACACCAGGATGGCTTTTCTATGCAGATAACTTGACACACAGAGCCCAACTTTGGTCCTGAATTCTGAGAACCACAGTTCAGAATAGACGCTAAAACGTCTCAATGTTAGCAGCCTTCCCCTATGACTTTATGAAGTGCAGCCCTACAGGAGAACTCAGGAAGCCACATCTTCCATCTGTCACCTTCTGACTGTTGATCCTGTGAGTTCACAGGCCAGGGGGATGCTGGTGAGGACCCTTTTCACTGGGACTCCCAGGTGTTCCTGACAGAGACAGACTTGGAGACACCAGTAGTCTGGTGAGAAAGGGGCTTAATGTCATGAAGTATTAAAAAATCTAATATATTCAAAAATTTACGAGAGAATATTTTGGAAGGAAACTTCAAGAAATGTAGAAGAGAGGGAGAAGAAAGAATCTCTGAAAGTCACCTCTTTGGGTGGAATTTTCTCATTTCTATATTTGTGGTCACCATTGTATACTGGTAACAAGATTTCTTGCCATAAAAATTTCTCAGATGGTGAAATTATTTACAATATGGATACATTTATTTCTTCCTGTGTGCCTTTGTTTGTTTAAACATTATTTTTGAGTACT
This sequence comes from Homo sapiens, assembly GCF_000001405.40. Lineage (NCBI taxonomy): Eukaryota > Metazoa > Chordata > Mammalia > Primates > Hominidae > Homo > Homo sapiens. Next base: position 127,933,617 of record NC_000012.12, on the reverse strand, counting down.
TAATGTGAGTCAGTCTTACTCTAGATACCAGTATTGTGGAGTTGATCAAGACAGAGAGGACTCTCATCCCCTATTACTTAATTTTTCAATAGGATCAACATAAAATACTTCTAAATAGATGTTTATAATAAATATAATGACATAAACACATAGTCTGGAGATTTAAAAAATATAATAGACTATCTGCCCATAAAAAATATAGCTGATTTCTCTACTGCCTAAAATCAACAATAAAGCATATCCAAAATGTCCCAAGACTCTAAAAAGAGTTATATTTTTGTGAAAGGAGACAGGCAGTAGATATATAGACGATGATATAATTTTAGGTAGTGATAACTGCTATAAAAATAAAACTGGATGATATAATAGAAGATAATTAGGGAATTAGGGCTAGCTTAGATAAGGCTCTAAGGAAAATTCATGCACTTCATTTATTAAACACAGATATAGTCCAATTTTCTCCTTCTTGTATCAGATTCATTATATATTCTCAGTAGTTTTCTAGGAATTTGGCTATTACCTGAATTTTTTTCTTTAAAAATAATATTGTTTATATTATAAATTTCTTATTTTAAATGTGCATAGGATCTTTAATGATGCCCTATCTTCATTGTCAATATTTGCAATTTATTCATTCTCTTACTTTCCTTCATCAGTCTTCCTAGATTCAAATCAATTTCATTAGTCTGCTCAATGAAATACCTTTTGCATTTGGTGATTTTTTCTATTGTATATTTCGTTTCTATTTCACATATTTCTGTCCTTATTTTCTTCCTTCGGTATTTTCTACTTTTAAGAGAAGTTACTTTCTGCGACTTGCTGGTTTTTGAAAATAACATCATGGCATGAATATTTAGTTCATTGATTATGGTATCTTTCTTTTTTTCTGGATGAATATTTTCATTCAAAGCTATTATTCCACTCTCTGCATCCATTGTGCATTTATTCCTGGGCTAGGGCCCAAGTAGAGGCTAAAGAAAATAGAATATGAAGAAGTAGAACACCTTTGTTGCTCCGTAGGACCTCTCTGTCTGGCAGTGGACACAGGGCTTGTGAGTCCTGCATAATGAGATCATATACGATGGACTGCCCTGAGGATCAGACAGATACTTCACTCACATTTCCATGGCTCTTGAAGGAGAACTTCCAACTTGATGGATTTTATTACTGCCCTGGATTTGACAGGTCCCCTGTTGGTGGGGAATTGAAAAGGAGCATTTCCTGCCTTTCCTAAGTCCCTCCACAGTCTATGGGCCCTATGCTCACACAGACCCCCATGGAAACCCACCCACAGTCTGCACTCCCCCGTTCCCAGCTGCACAGACAGATCAACATGCAGAAACAGATGCACACAATGATGCCAAACTCAGGTTCCAACCACGTATCAAGAAAGATGAGAAATTCTGAAATAGTATCCTGAATCTGCTATGCATGGGTTTTTCAAAAGAAATAATACTTTTTTTTCACAATTATTGAAATCTTTTATTTGCTTTAAGACTTTAGAAGCTTTGAGAGGTGAGGAAGAAAGATTCTTGGAGGTGTATTATCTTTGAAAAATCAATTGTGCTGTTACCTCTATTCCCTCCAAAGGGAGAGAAAGTGCCCATCTTCTTATCCCAAACCCCCCAAAGGAAGAGGATCCAACAGGGCGGGCTATTTGTAGGCATTAAGATGCAACCCCTATGACTGGGGGAGATGGTGGCCTGAGTATGATTTTCCAGGGCAGTGAAAGGGAGATGTGCCTATAAAAGCTTAGCTCTGGGGAGCAACCCTGGGCTTTCAGATTTTCCCAAGACCAGAGACACAGGTATGTTTTATCTCTAAGCAAGGCAAGTGATACAATCTACAAAGACATTGGCACAAAAGTTGAAGGCATTTTAATTTTTAGCATCAAAGAATAAAATAAAACAAAGCGAAGAGCACATGAAAAGAATAGTCACCTTTTCTTTGGAAATGAAGCTGATGAGAATATCAGAAGGAACATGCATTGCTCAGTAAGTTGTTTTCCTGCAAAGGTTCCTAATCATCTCAACAAATCATAGTTCTATTAATTTGAAATTGATGTAAAGTTGGAGGAAGAATCAGGTCTAGGAATACGTGTGTGTGTGTTCACTTTTTCTTATAAATGCCTCCAGAAAGATACAGCTCAGCAGGACATCCAAGATGATTGCTTATGTAAAAATTCTAATCCAACTTGTATTAGGCCATTCTTGCATTGCTATAAAGAAATACCCAAGATTGGGTAATTTATAAAGAAAAGAGGTTTAATTGTCTCACACTTCTGCAGGCTGTACAGGAAGCATAGCTCTGGCATTAGCATCTGCAGAGGCCTCAGGACGCTTGCAATCATGGCAGAAGGTGAAGTGGGAGCAGGGTTTTACATGGTGAAAGCAGGAGCAAGAGAGTTGGCAGGGGGAGGTGCCATACACTTTTAAATGAGCAGATCTCCTGAGAACTCACTATCATGAAAACAGCACCAAGCCATGTGGGATCCACACCCATGACCCAAAAACCTCCCACCAGGCCCCACCTCTAGCACTGAGGATTACAATTCAACATGAGATCTGGGTGGGGACGAACATCCAAAATATCTCACAATTATTATATACTGGGTCAAGTACAGTATATGAGGTTTACCAAGAGAAGTTTGGCTAAAAGTGTCAATATCTCACTAGATAAAAATCTCAGGCTTCAAGGGGCAGTGCGTTGAAAAGAAAAGCCTTATTAAGATATAATTCAGTCTCTACTGAAAATACAAAAACTAGCTGGGCGTGGTGGTGCCCGCCTATAATCCCAGCTACTTGGGAGGCTGAGAGGCAGGAGAATTGTTTGAACCCAGGAGGCAGAGATTGCAGTGAGCCGAGATCCTGCCACTGCACTCCAGCCTGGGGACAGAGCCAGACTCTGTCTAAAGAAAAAAAAAAGATATAATTCACATAACATGCAATTCATTGCAATGCAATTGGCTTTTAGTATATCCACAGAGTTATGCATTCATCACATGACCAATTTTAGAACATTTTCATTACCCTAAAATTAAACCCCACATCATTTAGCTGTTGATGCAGGATTTTTCTCTGCCCACTTTGCCAGACTCGTGGAAGGGATGCCCATCTACTCAGTCTGCCATGCTCAACCCTCTGCAGAAGGGAACAAGTGAGTGAGCAACAACGAGATCTGGCTGACTGCTTTGGGCGTCAACACAGGAGCAAGCTCTGAGTGAGACCTGGGGCCAGTCCAGGCATGTCACCTTCAGGGGAATGTGGCAGCGCCCAGGTGAGGGTGCCCATGACCCTGAAGCCTGAGAGGAGGTGTTGCAGAGCTCCTTTAGTTCAGCCGTCCACAGGGTGTTAGCAGCTCAGTTGGCCCCTTGCCTCATCCATGGGGTGGTTGCCCTCTGCCAGCAAAGGCAAAGGGCTTGTGTGACAGCCTTTCTGGGTACCCACACTCAGTGGGTCCTGAGCTCTTGTCTGACATCCAAGAAGAATGAAGTCATGCAGACAATTGAAGGATGGTGGAGGTGCAGAATTTTATTGAGTGAAGAAAACAGCTCTCAGTGGAGAGGGAAGCTGGAGAGGGGACAGGAAGGGCAGGTCGTCTTCCCTGAAGTCAGGTTGTCCCTTCCCCAAAGTCAGGTTGTCTCTTCCCTAAAGTCAGGCCATCTCCTTCCCTGAAGTCAGGCCATATTCTCCTCTACTGACTGAGTCTGGGAACTTTATAGGCACAGGATGGGGAGTGTGTGCTGATTGGTTTGTGAGTATGCAAAAAAGGTTAAAGTGAAGACACCATCCAAAGGTTGGCATGATAGTGTAGAAAACCAATTAGGCAAGGGTAGCTATATGTAAAATAGGTGAAGGGTGGGCATGAATCAGAGGAAAGTGTGCCAAACAGGAAGACAAGTTCTCAATCCAGTCCAAGGATTTAACTTGTAGCCTGGCTTTCAGGCTTTCAACTGTCTTCGGCTTGGAGATGGGGTCATGGGCTCCCACCCCTGTCTGTCTGGGCATTTGGCTGCCTCCTGCTGCTATCACTGTCACTCCCAATCTTCTCATTCACTCATCACTCCTGCCCTAAATAACCATTAATCTACATTTTTCTCTAGATTTGCCTAATCTGGATCTTTCATACACATGGAATCATATAATAAGTAATTTTTTGTGACTGGCTTCTCTCACTTAGTGTAATAATTTAAAGATTCTTTCCTGTAGCATAAATCAGTGTTTCATTCCTTTTTATTGCTAGGTAATATTTAACTGTATGGATATACAATTTTATGTATCTTTCAGCTGATAGGCATTTGGGCTATTTCCACACTTTGGCGATCATGAGCAATTCTGCTGTGAATATTTATGTCCAAGGTTTTGTGTGGATACATGTTTTCATTTCTATTGGGACATAAACAACTCTTTTAACTTCTTGAAGGACTTCCAGGCTCTTCCAAAGTAACTGCAGCTCAAAAACATGCAGGGCTTTGTTTTTGTCACTGCTGGATCCCCAGTGTCTAGAACAGAGCTTGACACATTACAAGCCTCACAACACATGACTTGAGTAAAACAAGTAAATTCCACATCTTGTATTCCTGAACACTAACATGTAATATCAACATTTTTCATGCATTCTCTTGGAAATTTAAGCAAGAATTGCACAAGGGATTTTGAAAACTAAACACTTCTCATTTTAAAATGGAAATAAATACCTACCTTCCAATAGAGTTATTACAAGGCTGAAATGTGGTTATATACATGAAAGCGGCTTGAAAATTACCAAGTATTATAGAAATGCCAGTTGCTGTTACTATTTTTATTCAAGTTGTTTTTGTTAGGATTATCACTCTTCCTGTTCACAGTCCAGAACCAGACTCAAAGGCACTGAGTCACTTCCACAGTTATATTTGTTCCCTTAGTGTTTCTTGGCAGTGGGGTATGCAGCTATATTGGTAATATTTGCTCAGTTTATTCATACTGATCGCATGCATAATATAGATTGCCCTAAGACCACTCTCCTTGGGGGCTGATATTTGCCAGTCTCCCCTCCAAATCTATTCCTAACCCTAGTGCACCCTGCACTACTCTAACCTGTAGGCTGACCTTTTCATATCGCAGCACCTGGCTTCCTCTGCTCTCTGGCTTCTGGTTAGATTTTCTGATTGGAGACGCTGGGTTTTCAGGGTCAAAAGAAGAGAGAAGTCAAGAGATTTATTACCCTCCCTCTCTCCCTGCTCTCCAAGACTTGGCATCGTCTGTGTTCCTTTTATGGAGGCCACAGCTTCCATGGCTTCAAATGCCAAGGTCTTCTTAATGCCAAAGCTCCTGTGTGGTGTGGCAACTGTCCCCTCCTCTTGTTCGTTTGGTTGGAGTAGTGGTACGGAGTTAGTGTAATGGCTTCCCACTGTTGCTAGGACCTGGGTGCAGTGCCATCTCCCATTTATTTAATGTTGTCCAATCTATTGAAGTACTATCTTTATTAAATTTATTAAATTCAGTCCCATTTTGAGTGTACCATGTGTTTCCTGTGAGGACCCAACTAATAAACTAATAATAATAATAATAATAACTAACACTTACTTTGCACTCTTTACATGCCAGGTTCTACGGGGTGCATTCACACACAAGCTGGTTCACTTTGTCCTCACAGTGACTGAACGAGATTGGCACTCTTTCTGTAATTCCCATTTTGCAGATGAAGAAACTGATCCTCAGAGAGCACCCCTGACTCCCACCAGGTCATACAGCTAGTAGCTAGCAGAACCAGCGTTTAAACCTCCTTGGCTTGCATATAGGATCCATGCTTCAGCCCATCTGTGGGGTTCCAAGTTATGACATGAGAATGGCTCAGGCTGGTGACTTTCCTAAGCAAAATGTTGGCAGTGGGATCCATGACACTATTTAGCTTTTATTATTCATCATTAATTGTAAGAGTGCATGTTCAATGTCACTAGCTGAGGTTCTCAAGCTTGCACAGGGAGACTTTCAATTAATCCACTAAAAAAGCTCTTTGTGCCACAACTAATGCATGCCTATTAATGTGTGATTACTGTAGAAGGCCCAGTGTTCTTTGTCTGAGACGATGTGAAACTGACCAGGAGCGGGGATGATTTAGACACAATCAGAGTGCATTACACAAGCTCATTTTCACGTTAATAGGAACAATAAAAGGCTTCTCACCATATTTACACCCAGGCCTTCTCATATTTTAGAATAAAAGCAGGTTATAAAAGAAGTTGTTCTACACAGCACATTTACTATTTTCCAGAGCTATCTGCAGCTTCCTGCAGTGCTGGCAGAATGCAAATAGCCCCCATAATTTGTTAGGGATTTTTAAAATACATGTGCAGTAAATTAGATTGATTAGTAGCTTTATTAAATTGTATGAGTCACAATTTTAGGATTTAATAACAATGCTCACATATTAAGAAATTGTTCTTTGCAAGGAACTGTTCTAACATATATATATATATATATATATATATATATATATATATATATATATATGCCTTAACTACTTCCATCCCATAATAATCTTATCATGTAGGTCATATTTTCAGCCCCATTTCACAGACAAGGAAACTGAGGCACAAAGGTGTTATTTAGCTGGGATACAGATGTACCACTAGGAGACGAGCACAGGTTTATGAGACAGACTTCAATATCCAGGCTCCTACCCTTTATGCAAATCTCCCATTAGGGCTTCCACTCACTTTATAGATATCATTTTTTTTTCAATTTGGCTACGCAAAAACTTCTGGACTCATGAGCCTGAAGGGTGAATTGAGCTGTGATTTCTCTCAAATGTGTAAGTGAAGTAACTCAGGAATGGAAAACCAAATACCGTATGTTCTCACTTATAAGTGAGAGCTAAGCTATGAGGATGCAAAGGCATAAGGATGACATAAGGACTTTGGGGACTCAGGGAACATCGGGAGGTGGAGTGAGGGATACAAGACTACATATTGGGTGCTGTGTACACTGCTAGGGTGACGGGTGCACTAAAAGCTCAGAAATTACCACCAAAGAACTTATCCATGTAACTAAACAAAAAAAATATCTATCAGTTTTTTAGTCTTATGAGCCTGCCTCTGGCTGCAGTTTCGTTGCCTTGCTATAATTTGACAGGCAATGCCATTTTTGTTAATTCCTAAATGGCTGGTAATTGGGATATTAATTCTTACTTTAGCCTGATGGTTATTTGCGTGTTTGGACATTTATTTTCCTTATCATTTCTACTTATAGTTCATGAATATTAGAGAATGCCTGGCCTTTTAATAGTTGAATTTTTAAATTCTTTATTTGAGATAAACACTATAATAAAGTTTTCTAAGTGTTAAAAAAACCCAACACAGAGGTACTGTCTTGAGTGAACATTCTCTGGCTCTCAGCATGCAGTGTACAGACCAGGAGCACACTGGCCAGCAGATGTCAGGAGTTCCTCATGGAAACCTAGGCTCTGGGCTCCGGACTGAATTCCGTGGGAGAGTAACAATAAACAGCTGGCCTGTGAAGCCCCTCTCCTCAAGGCCAAATCTCCCTCACATGACCCCAAGATACGATCAGGTACTTGGAGTTCTAGAAACACAACTAAGCCTAACCGGATCAAAGACAGGGCCTACAGCAGTGATGGAAATACTAAATAGTGGTTATATTTTTGTATCTTCCATGACTTGCATCTGATGAGCCCTAAATGTCTCAGGGAGGATGGCTTATAAATGCCGGGTGAGACAAATGACTCTCATGCTTTGCTTTTATGACTAAATTATAGTAAAAACAATCGACTCTGCAGGACTCCAGTTCCTACTTTTTCCTATTTGACCATTGTTCTGTTTCGATTACGAAAAGGTTAATGGTGATGGAGATATGTGTGACGATGCCAGTTACCATGTATTGAGTGCTCGCTAGGGGTTAATTGCACGTTGAACAAATATGAGTAGTTTCTATTTAATCCTATAGCAGTTCCTCATATATTTATTGTAAACAATTAAAAATACAGTGATATGGTTTGGCTCTGGGTTCTCACCCAAATGTCATCCCAAATTGTAATCCCCACATGTCAAGGGAAGGAGGTGATTGGATCATGAGGCTGGTTTCCCCATGCTGTTCTCATGATAGTGAGCGAGTTCTCATGAGATCTGGTGGTTTTATAAATGGCAGTTTTCCTGCACTCACACTTCTCTCTCCTGCCACCATGTGAAGAAAGTCCTTGCTTCCCCTTCGCCTTCCGCCATGAGCGTAAGTTTCCTGAGGCCTCCCCAGCCATGTGGAACTGAGTCAATTAAACCTCTTTCCTTTATAAATAACCCAGTCTCAGGTAGTATCTTTACGGTAGTGTGAAAACAGACTAATAGACATAGATTTAAAAACATAAAGCAGAATACATATAGAAGCATATAATCAATGTCACCCAAAATAACCACCTTTTGAGGCTAAACCATTTAGGTGCAAGCACATTGAGAATCATTCTATCTTCTCAATGATTTTAAACTTTTATAAAGTCTCTTTATCTCTAGTTGTACATTTTATCTTAAAGACTAATTTGTCAGATATTTTTCTGGACACAAAATCTTTCTTCGGTATGGCTTGCATAGTCTAATTTTTTCAATCTTCCTCTGTCTCTGTTTGAAGTGAATCTCCTATAAATATACATTTATTTTAATCCAAAGAGATGCTTATATTTGTTTTGTTAGATTCAGTCTCCTTATACGTAATGCAATTCTTAATATATTTGGGCTGTCAGCTTACTCTGCTTTTGTTTTTCAGTTTGTCTTGCCTGTTTTGTCTTTTCTTATTCCAAATTAGAAAATGTTTATTTACATATTTTCCCTATGAATTAGGAAATTATAAATAATATTACTCTTTCTAAGGGATTATCTTAAAGATTGCAATATGGATAACTGACATATTAAAGGTTACATTAATTGTGGCTTTTCTTCTTTTCCAGGAAAAAGCAAAAATCTTAGAATTGTTTAACTTCATTTATGCACTTTTTGAATTAAATGTCATTTTGCCATGCATGTTAATTCTGTTTATGTGTGCATTAAATTTCTCACATGACTATTTGTATTTGTGTTACTGTTTTATGTGGTCATTATTCATTCTGCATATTCACCCTTTGTGGTGATTTAATTCCTTCTTGGTTTTTTGTTATTGTTATTGTTTTGGGGTTCAGGGTGTGTGCGTGTGCGTGTGTGTGTGTGTGTGTGTGTTTTGGCCAAGATTTGGGATTATTTCATTCTTCCTGAATAACAACCCTTGATATTTTCTTTAATCTGGGTCTTCTGGTAACAAAGACAGTTTCTCTTTGTCTGAAATGTCTTTATTTCACTATCATTCTTAAAGAATATTTTTGCTGAGATACTTTCAATTATTTTGGTTGAGAAGTCACCTGTCAGTCTACACATTTTTTCCCTCTAATTGGAAAGATAACAATGAATTTTAAAGAACTAGACTTTAGTTCTGGAGGGACATGGCTGAGAATCCTGGCTCTGCTATAACTAGTGAGTGCCTCAAGCTTTCACACCTGTGAAATGGGGATAACAATATCTCCCTTGCTGTGATTTTGTAAAGATTGGAGATAAATTATTATTATTTTTTAGACATGTGGCCTAATGGGCACTTAAAATAATAACAATATTATTATAAATGTTAATAAGTTAATAACTTTCTTATAAATCCTTCTTGTTCAGAAAAACAAACATCTGTATAGCCCCTGCACATAAGAGCAAATGGACCAAATTTGATATTGTAAAAATGATCAGATTGGATATTTTAAAATTATTCTTACTACTAAATTCTTTTCATTCAAGTCTTGCTAACCCTTTTCTCTTCAATCTTTATCTCCACCATAAAAGCTCTCCTCCTGTTAATACATAAAGGGCGGAGTGTGGGCACCAGAGCACGTGCAGGTTCACGTGAGCACAGGAAGGTCACAAAGAAGGGGAAGGCCACACACAACCTGATTTGGTTGCAAGACAAATTTTCTATCAGAAACTCATTAGTAGGCTGAATGCGGTGGCTTATGTCTGTAATCCCAGCACTTTGGGAGGCTAAGGCGGATGGATCACCTGAGGTAAGGGGTTCGAGACCAGCCTGGTCAACATGGTGAAACCCTGTCTGTACTAAAAATAACAAAAATTAGCCGGGCATGGTGGCAGGTGCCTGTAGTCTCAGCTACTCATGAGGCTGAGGCAGGAGAATTGCTTGAACCTGGGAGGCAGAGGTAGCAGTGAGCTGAGATCGCGCCATTGTACTCCAGCATGGGCAACAAGAGTGAAACTCTATCTCAAAAAAAAAAAAAAAAAAAAAGGAAACTCATTAATGCTGGCTCAGGAGTTCTGACAACATTACCTTTGTTTTTATAGGTTCTTACAGTAGAGATAAGTTTGCAAAGGCCAGTGTTTGCCTATTTTTCTAATAATTAATTCCTTTCCTAATACCAGATGTGATCTCAATCATTCCATAATGCCACACATTTTATTAGCTTTGTCTCTCATATAGGGATTACTTATTTGTTTTTTAGAAGGGCTGAACGAAATAGAAGTTTAATTCCTTCACACGTGGCCTGTAAGAGAGTCACCATTCTTACTGAAGCTGAGAAGGAAGTTCAAGAATGAGAAGGAAAACTATCTCTGATCTTCTCCAAAGACGATAATTTATTTACAGCTGTCTCTTCTCTTGTCTTTACCTTTATTATTAAACACACACAGGCACACGCACGCACACAGGCGCACACACACATATACACACATGCACACCACACGCACACACATGCACACCACACGCGCACACACATACACACACATGGTTTCTTTTGTTCAGTCATTCAAATGGTTTCACTGTTTCCTTGGTTTCTTCAAAGATTCCGTGATGGTTTTATTGGTTCTCTCAATTGCCCCTGTGATTTCCTTCGAACTAATTTCTCTATTTCTAATTCTTTTCTTTTTTCTACTCACTGTTGCTCTTTTGTTCTATTTTTTAAAATTCTCACTTCCAGAATGCACGTATGGTGATGTGTCCTCTACACACCGTTTCAGTGCCTGTCCCAGGATCTATCGGCCTTGTTTTCATTGTGGTTCAACTCTAAATGTTTCTCATTTTTATTATAGTTTCCTGTTTTATATAAATTCCAAATCTATGAAGATTTGGTTTACTTTTAATATTTTCTGATTTAAAAATGTGTTTTCAGCACTTTGGGAGGTTTGAGGCAGGGGGATCACTTGAGCCCGGGAGTTCAAGACCAACTTGGGCAATATAGCAAAACCCCATCGCTACAAAAAATACAGAATTAGCTGGGTGTGATGGCATGGCCCTGTAATCCCAGCCACTTGGTAGGCTGAGGTGGGAGGATCACCTAAGCCCAGGAGATTGAGGCTGTAGTGAGCCAATGTGGCACCACTGCACTCCAGCCTGGGTGACAGAGTAAGACCCTGTCTCAAATAGAAAAAAAAAAAGTCTTCATAGAGGGGAACAACACACTCTGGCCTACCAAAGGGTGAAGGATGGGAGGAGGGAGGGAGTCAGGCAAAGCAACGAATGGCTATTAGGCTTAATACCTGTGTGATTATAAAATAGTCTATACAACAAACCCCCATGATGCAAATTTACTTATATAATAAACCTGCACATGCAATCCTGAACTTAAAATAAAAGTTAGATAAATAAATAAATAAAAAGAATATTTATATGGATGAAATCAACTGCTCAAAAAAGTGTTTTGTTTTATATTAATTGTTTAAAGATTTTTTATATCATTAGAAATGATATTTTGTGTTTAGAGGAAATGCATATTCTTTCATTTAAGGGAATGGGTTGTATATAAGTCCTTTAGTTAAAATTTGCTCAACTAGTGCTTATACTTACTCATTTTCATCGTTTGGCACATCAACTTCCAAGTAAGGTATGATAAACCTTCCTGCTCTTATAATTGTTTGTCAAATTCACCTGATATTTCTGACAATACATATAGCAACTTACATTTAAATTATGTTCTTAGTTAGTTACAATTTTAAATTTCTCACAAACTTGTAGGTTGTCTCTTACTCATTTAGTATTCTATTTGTATCCAGAACATTTTTGCCTAGAATACTATTTTCTCTGATATTTAATAAAACTTTATCAGCTTTTCCCTGGTTGGCATTTATTGTACATACTTTTCCCATTAGTTTTCTGGTATTTTGTCTATATCATTGTATTTTTTTCTTCACCTTTTATTTTAAGTTCCAGGGTGCATGTGCAGGATGTGCAGGTTTGTTACATAGGTAAACGTGTGCCATGGTGGTTTGCTACCCAGATCATCCCATCACCGAGGTATGAAGCTCAGCATCCATTAGCTATTCTTTCTGATGCTCTCCCTCCCACTACCTCCCCCTCCAACAAGCCTCCGTGTGTGTTGTTCTTCCTCATGTGTCTATGTGTTCTCATCATTTCAGCTCCCACTTATAAGTGAAAACATGCGGTGTCTGGTTTTCTGTTTCTGCGTTAGTTTGCTGAGGATAATGGCTTCCAACTCCATCCGTGTCCCTGAAAAGGACATTTACAACTGTATCTTTAAATGACTTTTGTACTATGCTTGATTTTTAAAATCTAAATATTAGGACACTGTAACATAATTTCAAATTATACGTACTTAACCACCATAAACTCAAAATACACAATGCCAAATTGTTAGAATTATATATTATTATTATTACTTGGAATTTTAGCATCACTTGATTTTTAATATTTGTACATTTAATTATCATTAAATTTATCATAATTCTTATTATTTTCTGACACACACATATATATACACACATACACACACACACACACACACACACACACACACACACACACACATATATATATATATATATATATATATATATATATATATATATATATACTTTTTTTTTTTTGAGACAAGAGTCTCTCCCTGTTGCCCAGGCTGGAGTGCAGTGGCACAATCTCGGCTCACTGCAACCTCTGCATCTTGGATTCAAGCAATTCTCCTGCCTCAGCCTCCCAAGTAGCTGGCACAGGCCACCATGCCTGCCTAAGTTTTTGTATTTTTAGTAGAAATGGGGTTTCACCATGCTGGCCAGGCTGGTCTCAAACTCCTGACCTCATGATCTGCCTGCCTCAGCCTCCCAAAGTGCTGGGATTACAGGCGTAAGCCACCACACCTAGCCACTATTTTATATTTTTAAAGCTTGCTTGAATTTACTCACCAAGTGCTATCTAGACACGGGCTTAGAAAAATTCTGCTTGGGGTTTTGATGTAAATTCTTGAATCTGAAGGTGCATTTTAAAAAAATGAACTTCAGATCATGCTTAGATTAAGCTCTTCAAATGCTGCGTCTCTTCGTCCTTCTTCTCTCTCCTTATGGAACACCTGCCTATTTTATCCTTCATGTCTCTTAACTTCTGTGGAATATTTTTCAGGGCTTTGTCTCTCTGTGTTCTGGGTAATTTCCTTAAATCTATGTTCCAGTTTGTTGGTTCTGTTTTCTCCGAAGTCCTTGCTCTTTAAAGAGGAAAAATACATCTCTGTGTCTGTCTATGTATAACCCGTACCTATATCCACCTACACCCACTCCTGCATCTAAATGTGTATATTCACATAGAGGTACATGTATGGGGATACAGTTATTCTCCATTATCTGCAGAAGATACAGCCCAAGACCCTCAGTGTATGTGTGAAACTGCAGATAGTATAAACCTTACATATAGTATGTTTTTTTCTATACGTATATAACTATGATAAAGCTTAATTTATAAATTAGGAAGTTGGATATGGTGGCTCTTGTCTGTGATTCCAGTGCTTTGGGAGGCAGAGGCCAGAAAATTGCTTGAGGCCAGGAGTTCGAGACCAGCCTGGGCAACATAGTGAGACCCTATCTCTACAAAAAATTAAAATTGTAAAAGTATAAATTAAGCACAATAACAGACTAGCACTAACAATTAATAGTAAAATAGAACAATTTTAACAATATACTGTAACACAAGTTTTATGCATGTGGCTTCTCTCTATCTCAAAATACCGTACTATTTTTGAACTGTGGTAACTAAAATCAATGAAAGCTAAGCCCCAAATAAGGGGGCCCTACTGTGTACATATAGGAATAATTAAACAAGTTTAAAATAACATCATTACTAGCAATAATTACAGTGGTTAACACACAGCTTGGGAGTCACACTGTCTGAGCCATTCTATAAATGTAATAGTAGCATTATTATTACTTAAAATTTTCTAGGGCCAATTATGTGTCTTGCACACGTTATGCAAAACACTCATTGATTTCCTTACAAAACAATTCTGAGGGCGATGCCACTGTAGCGCTTATTTTAGAGAGGAGAAAACTGAAGTGCAAAGGATCTGTAATTCAGCCCAGCTCACCCAGGTAGCAAAAAACAGGGCTGAAATTTGAACTGAGTGTGGCCAGAATGCACAGCCTGCCATGCCAGAGTCCTGCACCCAGTAGATCATCAGTGGAAGCTGGCTTGATTAATGAAACAATGAATGAATCATTACCAGTCACATCTGCCATTTCCTGGGAACCCGCAGTCAAGAAATTGCAGGACTTCAGGGGAGCCATCATACACTCACAATACTGATAGGCAGATTGGATTGTTCCCTCTTATGAAGATTAAAAAATGGAGGCCTTGGAGGCGTGGAAAGACTTTGGCCACAGCCACGTATCAGTAGAACCAGATTTTGGAGTCCAGATTTTCCTGAAGGAGGCAGAAGAGAGAAATCATTTCTGTGATTGTCTCCCTTCTTGGCCACACCCCAACTGAGTTGCTTCTGGAATATATAGGAAGAGCAAGGTCCATAGAAATATAATTCTGGGGAGGGGAGGGCAGGCTGTGTCCACAGCAGTGACATCACGAGAGGCATGCACCGACAGCAACAGCACAGAACACGGGGTGTGTGGAGGAGACAATCACCTGTGAGCAGACCTCATGGAATGTGCTCAAAACAGACTTAGTGTGTTAAGCCATTTTTACATTACTAAAAAGGAATATCTGAGACTGGATAATTTATAACGAAAAGATGTTTATTTGCCTCACAGTTTTGCAGGCTGTACACAAAGTATAGTGCCAGTATTTGCTTCTGATGAGGACCTCAAGAAGCTTAACAATCATGGTGGAAGGCTAAGGGGAGCCAGGGCATCACACAGGGAGGGTGGGAGCAAGAGAGAGAAGGAGCGAGGCAGTGAGAGAGTGAGAGGAGACCAGACTCTTTTCAACAATCAGCTCTTCTGTGAACTCACTCATCGCCAAAGGAATGGTGCTAAGCCATTCATGAGGGATCTGCCACCACGATCAGGATGTGCCACCACGATCGGGATGTGCCACCACGATCGGGATCTGCCACCACGATCCAAACACCTCCCTCCAGACCCCACCTCCAACACTGGGGCTCCCATTTCAACATGAGACTTAGGGGGGAAAATGTTCAAACTATAATTACCCAGGATGGCATAGGCTACGCCTTCCTTGCCAGGGTTCAGGTGTCAAAGAGGAAACAGGGAAAACACAGGCAGTGGTGTCCAATGGCTAGGCCTACAGTGTGTTTGCGCAGGGGGAAAGGACAAGGGCAGGCAGGAGGGGCAAGATGTAGGGAAAGAGATGCAGAAAAGCCCTTTCTCCTATCAGAACCTCTCTGGAAAAAAATAATGTATTGATTCTGAGATTCCCATTTCTGTGCTTTATGTGTGTGTGTGTGTGTGTGTGTGTGTGTGTGCGCGCGCGCGCATGTGGTCTTCTCACATCGCCTTTGATTTCTCTTTGCAAAGGAAAACTGAAGTCTAATGGTGCAAACGCACTGGCCTTTGCAGAGTTTTAAAGAATAATGATGATTCTCTTGTTAGCCCAACATTATCTTTGTTCAGATTTCAATTCATGAGGCACGTATCCCAGGGGCCCAACCCAAACAAAAGAAAAGCTTCACAATTAAAGTCTTATTAAGAGAAATCAAAATAGGCCAATGAGATTTTTTTCTTTAGACCCTTGAAAGTGAAAGACTGACAATGCACTCTGAAATGGTGCTGTCTCTGCTTGCATAATTTTCAAAAGCATAGTCACCCCATCTGCAATGATACTTCATCTGCAAACCGTTAAGTATGTATCTCATTTTGTTCCATAATAAGAAACCAAAGACATATTTAAAGTTGCTTGGAAATAAGGATGAGTACTTCAGGAGCCCTAAGTGGACAGAGATAAATAGAGTTGATATTTCTCACACTTCTTGCCGAAGAAGAATAAAGAATGCACATCATTCCTTGTACAAAGACAACCATTGATGTAGCAGTTTTCCAAGGGCTAAAAAGCATTACTTTAATCCATATATAATGAGTCTTCTCTCTGTGTCAGGTGCTGTTTTAAGGTCTGAGATGCAGAGGGGGCACAGTCTCAATCCCCTTTGAGACTAATGTCACACAGCGTACATGCGCCCTCTGCACAGTGGGGGCCTAGAAGATGAGTCTGTGTTTGATGGAACAGATTATTTCTTTCTCATTGAGTTGATAACCTGTATTAGCTCCTTTTGCTGCTGCAACAAATTACCACTAGCATAGTCTTACAACAACACACATGTATTACCCTCCAGTTCAGAAATCTAAAATGGGTCTTACTGGATTTGCAGGTGAAGTATCACTGCGGATGGGGTGACTATGCTTTTGAAAATTATGCAAGCAGAGAGAGCACCATTTCAGAGTGCATTGTCAGTCTTTTCAATTTCAAGAGTTTAAAGAAAAATCCTCACTGGCCTATTTTGATTTCTCTTAATAAGACTTTAACTATGAAGCTTTTCTTTTGTGTGGGTTGGGCCCCTGGGATATGTACCTCATGAATTGAAATCTGAACAAAGATAATTTTGGACTAACAAAAGAATCATCAACATCATTATCCCTTAAAGGTGTCTTCAAGTCTCAATTTCTTCTGAGGCTCTCAGGTAGAATCTATCTCCTGGCCGTTTTCCACGTCCAGAAGCTTCCAGTGTTCCTTTGCTCATGTCCACATCACTCCTATCTCTGCTGCCTTTATCACAGATCCTCTCACTCTGACCCTCCTTCCTCCTTCTAATAAGGATATGTGTGATTCCAATGGGTCTGCCAGGATAGTCCAGGACAAGCTCCCAGTCTCTCCATTAGATTAACGCTCATCTCAGTCACATCTTCACAGTCTCTTTTGCCACGTAAGGTAGCCTATTCATAGGTTCCAAAGATTAGAACATCTTCGAAATGTTTGGAGAACAATTATTCTGCTTATGTATTGGGGGCATCTTTGAGGGAATCAATTATTCTGCCTATCACAGTGATCAATATTTAAATACCAGAACATTTACCATTTATACTTTTGGTTAAAATATGAGCTTTAGTTAATAATAACAAATACACCATACTAATAATATACCATACTAACATATAGTAATTATTGCTACTACTAATACCAATGTATAATACTATACAATATGTATTATTAGTATGTATTATTATACATACTAATATATAATAATTATTAGTAACACGCATAGTAATGAATAATGTATGTCACACATACTATGCATATGTATAACACTATACTAATGTATAATACTATACTAATATATAATAATAATATACCATACTAATGTAAGATGTCAATAATAGGGGCACTGGGTATCCCCATTGGGTTTACAGGAACTCTGTACTATCTTTGCAGTAATTCTGTAAAGCCAAAAATAAAAGTATTAAAAATGACATTTCCTGCTGCCTTGAAAATGTGGGAAATCAATTAACAGTGGGGCATGCCAGCATGGAGACAGTTGACTGTATGAGTCTTTGTTGGGACACACCCCTTTCCGTTAACTGAAGTCCCTAAAATGACCTGCTTCATTCATTGATGCCATTTCTCTAGTGGCTTATGGAATTTGAGATTGTGACTCTTGAGTAAAGTAATTGAACAGACAATTATGTAATTACCTCTGCGCTCTGCACCATGGAGAAAGAGGTCCGTAAGTTCCCAGTGTGTCCTTGAAGGGGAATCTTGCCTCTTCTCAGGCTCAGGTTGGTCCCTCAGAGTCCCTCCAAGTCAGATGGAGAGTCAACGACAGATGTGCAGGCAGGTGAAACTTCTTCTTCTCGCTGTACTTTACAGATTATAGTAATTTCAAGCTCTATTAAATGAGGATGCATCTTTGCTGGTTGATGTCCCTGTTTTTCTGGTTAAGTGCATTTGTTTCCAGGAGCTGATGTGCTAAGAGAATTGTTGCCTAAGATCTAGACAAGTCATCCCAGTTATTGTGTGGGAGGGAAGGGGAAAAGGAGGTGGTGGGTTGTTAAAAGCTGGTGGAAAATATGCCTGTGGCTAAGAATAATGTAAATCCTGGTATTATAACTTTAAGCCAGGTGCTGAGCCATTACAGTATTCAATTATTTTGATGCTTCAAGGCAAATGTTTCCAGGTCTGAAATTCTAGTCTACTTGACATTCAACAAATGATATTGTGTTTTCATGGAAAGATGCCCATTTATGAAGGGAAGAATTCATGTCATTCAGCCTGTTCCCTGCCTGCCATCAGCACCCCCATTAATACACCTGTTACTAATGTAAGGTAGTCACCTTTAATGTTTTCTAAAGGAGAAAGAGTCTACAGCCTTCTGCGGAGATACTGCAAGGTCAGGGAAGGCCACATCAGGAGAAAATCAGCCTTTCTTCCTATTCTATTTTGAACTAGGAATCTTGGAACTGTAACCAAATTCTGTCATTTTCCTTACCTTTATTCCTGCACGTAGTTGCTTCTTAGCTAAGTTAACCTTACTTCTTAACCTTCCTTGATGAAAATTAAGAAGGAAGAACAGAGGGTCTGAAGATCTGAAAGCCGTATGTAATTTTCTAGGTTACATATAAAATATCTGCCTTATCATCATAACTATCATTCGCTGAACACCTTTCACAGGCAAGATACTGTACCACACACTTCTCGTATAGTATGCCACTAACTTCTCATCGAAATCCTTTGATGATATAACCCACATTTATCTTGTGAAGCAGTCAGCAAACCACAATCCTGAGGTCAAATCTGCCCCACTGCTTGTTTTTGTAAATGAAGATTCATTGTTAACACAACTGTGCCCGTTCATTTCTGCATTTTGTATGGCTATTTTCCCATGAAAAGAAAAGAATTCAGTAACTCAGTGGCTGCAGTTCTGTCCTGGTAGCCAACAATGTTGAAAATATTTCAAAGTCTCACCTTTTACAGAAAAGAGCTGGTGAACCCCTGATCTAGTACCATGTCTTAAGAAATACATGAAGACTAATGCATTTAATCCTCCCTCACAACTTGGCAAGCACATATTGCTATTTTCCCAGTCTTGCAGATAAGAAAATGAAAGATACAAGGAGTTAACTTGCACAAGGTCAAAGAGCTTACAAATAGTAGAGACAGCAATCAAATCCAGCCCTTTACTCCATAGCTGGTTATCTTTATACCACAGAACATGACAATCACCTGCACTCAACAGCCCAATCTATTTTCCTACTACCAAACTTCTTTATCAAATATGTGTGTTTATTCTTTCCAAAAGAGATCTAATGTGCTTGCAAAACCATCAGTCTGTAGGAATTCAATATATATGGGCCTGTATCAGCACACAGACGCATGCTTTGTAACATGAGGACATTATAACTTTAAAACTTGTGTTTCTGTCATTTTTATTCCTCTGAATAGTTTCTTTCCTAATTTGTTTCCCACACTTACTCATTTAATAAACTTTGAAATCAACTCACTAATAACCATGCTTAATGAGAACAGCACAGGCTCCCCCAGGCTCCAAAGAGTTACATTAGTTAGTTTCCTTTTAAAGATATATCACATATTTCCAATAATTTTATTCTAGAGGGCAGTAGGATATGTTTCCAATAGAATAAAGCTTTTGGCTATCTGCAAGTGTCACAAGTGAGCTATGTGTTGTGGTACTTAAAAGCAGGGCTGGGGCTCGGCTGCTGGGGTTTGAATTCACACTTCATTACTTAGTGGCTCTGTGATTTAAGAAAGTTACTTAATTTCTCTGAGCCTCATTTTCTTTGTCTGAAATGAGCACCGTCAAATGCTAGATAACAATGCCTGTTACATATTAAGAACCATGTATCGGCCGGGCACTGTGGCTCACGCCTGTAATCCTAGCACTCTGGGAGGCCGAGGCGGGGGGATCACGAGGTCAGGAGATTGAGACCATCCTGGCTAACACGGTGAAACCCCATCTCTACTGAAAATACAAAAAATTAGCTGGGCACGGTGGCGGGCGCCTGTAGTCCCAGCTACTTGGGAGGCTGAGGCAGGAGAATGGTGTGAACCCAGGAGGTGGAGCTTGCAGTGAGCAGAGATCACACCACTGCACTCCAGTCTGGGCGACAGAGTGAGACTCTGTCTCCAAAAAAACAAAACAAAACCACGTATGAGACCACTAATATGTGAGGGAGATAGAACTGTGCTTAGACATATTACTGTATTCCTTGACTCCATCAACTACAAGGATTATCAGTCTCCTCAGGGCATCTGAACATTGTAATTATGAACATGTTTCTTGACAGTGTGATGAAATTTGTAGATACACGTAAGACCTGCTGCATCCTGTAGAGCTATTTGCTCCTACATTTAATGGCCCAAACGGAGATGTTCTTGGAGGTCCCGTGCCTGCTGTATTTGCATTATTTTCCAGAGTTTTCTTATTGCCCATTGTCATTTCCTGTATACTTTGCTCTGTTTCATTTTGTAATTTGCTATTTCTGATCTGCTGTGGTTTTGTAAACCAGAAAACCAAACTCAGAAGATTCACGTGCAGAACAAGTTGTTAGTTTTTCATGGATGAGCTTTCAGGTTTGCACGAGGTATTTTCATTTCGAATTTTCCTCCATTGTTCTGGATAGGTGGGGGACCACAGGTTTCCTAGGCTCGTAAAGACATTTAGCATCCCCCCAAAACCTGGGCAGCCAAAACAGAACACTGACTCTTTTGACCCTGAATCTCCAGGTGATGGAAAACATTCTTTGCACTCGCATCTTTTCACGGTAGCGCACTCAGGCTCCCCTCAGAGTGTATGGGCCCGACGCTGTCCAAGAAAACCCACGACTGCCAACCCTCATCCCAGCCAGGGAAATTGTGCTGGATTCTTCATGAACCAGCACATTTCATTTATGACACCCAGTGATTAATCTCATCACCTCACTATGAGTACCATCGTTGCCAAATTACAGCATACTTGGAGTCCTCATTACACTCATTGATTCAATTTTAGTGTGACTGAGTTATTGACGTGGATGTGAATTAACTTATTTGTCGGCAGCCAAAGGCCAGTAATAGAATTTAGAGAGAAATTATGTCTAGATAACACTCAGCGTGGGTGAGAGTGTCTGATTTCAGTGACTTAACACAACAAGGAGAGGTCTTCTGGGGCTTGCCAGTAGGCAGAGGTTCTCTGGCATATTATCCTTAGCTATCGTCAGCCACTTGGATGCACTGTCTATCAGGGTAGTAGAAAACTGCAAAAGAAGTAAGAAACAAAGCATGTGAATTTTTTTTGCATGGGTAGAACTACTTAGAATTCTAGGAAAGGAATCTATTTTATATCCAAAATCAAACACTTGCTTTATTCCTCAGGCCAAGGTTCCATATATTAAATATGACAAAATACAACTGGTTCAAATATCATGCTAAGTGAAATACACCATTCACAAAAGACAAATACTGTAGAATTCTTCTTATACCAGGTAC
The DNA here is from genome assembly GCF_000001405.40 of Homo sapiens. NCBI lineage: Eukaryota > Metazoa > Chordata > Mammalia > Primates > Hominidae > Homo > Homo sapiens. The sequence goes on along the minus strand of NC_000012.12, from coordinate 127,911,892 downwards.
CTGCAATGGTCAAATCCATAGAGACAAAAAGGAGAATGGTGCTTGCTGGGGGCAGGGGAAATAGGAATAGCGTTTGGTTTTGCCAAAAGGTGAAAATAGTTCTGAAGATCAATTGCACAACAGTGCGAATGTGCTGCACACCTACCAATGATTAAGAGCGTAAATTTTTATGTTATGTATATTTTACCACCATTTAAGAGATTCCACAAAGTTTAGTAGCTTAAAAGACAAAACCAACCAACCAAATATGAAAACACTAACTGATTTAGACAATAAATCTGAAGTCACTAGATGCTTTTAGCAGGGATTGTTTCATGTAGAGAATTAAAGGTTGACTCAGCAAAGGAAGGACTGAGCCGGCAAAGTCAGAAAGGCTGCTATAAATCTTGCAAATTATGTTGGCACCCAAGTGGCTGATGCCCAGGAGGAAGTCAGGAAACTGGCACCGCTTCGTGCTCACCATCCACCAAGGCCCACATGCGTTTCTGCACCTGCCACTGGAGACCAATGCCTTCCCTGCTTTTTACCTTTTAAACCTCATGCACCTGACGTTCACTTGGAGACAAAAATTAGGACTCTACTAGCAAGGCAGCCTAGATCATCCTTAGATAGAGTTTTAGAAGCACAGAGGTAACATTAAGGCTTAATAAACAATCAGGTGCAATCTCCACTGGAATTTTTTTTTTTTTTTTTGAGGCGGAGCTTCACTCTTTTGCCCAGGCTGGCGTGCCATGTCTTGGTCTCAGTTCATTGCAACCTCTGCCTCCCAGGTTCAAGTGATACTCCTGCCTCAGCCTCCCTAGTAGCTGAGATTACATGTGCTCACCACCATGCCTGGCTAATTTTTGTATTTTTAGTGTAGACAGGGTTTCACCATGTTGGCCAGGCTGGTCTTGAACTCATGACCTCAGATGATCCGCCTGCCTCAGCCTCCCAAAGTGTTGGGATTACAGGCTTGAGCCACCACGTCTGGCCATCCACTGGAATATTAAGAAGTGAAAATTAAGAAGCAAACCCATGTTTTTTGAAATTACCACCATATTTAGAGAAAATACAGCAAGTGTGAGGTAAGAGAGGAAGGTAAATGAGATGGAGACAGGCACTTCACTATGGACATTAAGCTCTGACTGTGTTCCACAAAGAACATCAAACTGGTAATACAAAGATGATTTTTAGGAAATAGAGTAGACTGTGAAAAAATAGAAATTTATTTTAATGAGTATTGAAGATCATACAATTAGCACAGAAAACTGTGATTTCAGAGATGTTATTGATGATGGCTGCTAAATTTGGTAGTAATGAGTTCATGTATCTTCCACAGACAACAACATATTTTAATTCCAGGGCCCAGGAAGGAAACAAATAAGCTTCCTCTCCCACCAACAAAAGAAATATAAAAGAAGATTTCCAAAGTTTGGGGAACCACAACATTGGTGACTCACAACTATTTGCAAATACTTTTCTGTTACATCTGGTTTGTTTGTTTGTTTGTTTGTTTGTTTGTTTGTTAACAGAAAAAGTGGCAAATAAATTGTGGACAAGTATTTTTTAGCAGCTTTATTGAAGTATAATTAACATACACTAAACTGTGCACATTGAAAGTGTGCAGTTTCCTAAGTTTTGCTATATGTATGCACCTGTGAAAAACTCCCTTCAATCAAGACAATGAGCCCATCCATCTTCTCAGAAAGATTTTTGTTTTTTGAGACGGAGTTTTTCTCTTGTTGCCCAGGCTGGGGTACAATGGTGCGATCTCGGCTCATGGCAACCTCCGCTTCCTGGGTTCAAGCGATTCACCTGCCTCGGCCTCCCTAGTAGCTGAGATTACAGGCATGTGCCACCACGTCTGGCTAATTTTTGTATTTTTAGTAGAGACGGGGTCAGAGAGATTTTTCACCTTGATTTGTAATCCCTCCCTCACACCCCTCCATACCACCCTCCTCAGACAACCCCTTCTCTGCCTCCTGTGACTATAAATGAGGTTGCATTTTTCTCAAACTTCATTTAAAGAAATCATAGAATGCGTACTATTTTTTTGGTCTGGATTTTTTTTTTTTAGACAGGATCTTGCTGTGTTGCCCAGGCTGGAGTGCAGTGGTGCGATCACAGCTCACTGCAGTCTTGAACTCCTGGGCTCAAGTGATCCACCCACCTCAGCCTCCCGAGTAGCTTGGATTGCAGGTGTGTGCCACCACAGCCGGCTAATTTTAAATTTTTTTGTAGAGACAGAGTCTCACTATGTTGCTGAGGCTGGTCTCAAACTCCTAGCCTCAAGCCATCCTCCTGCCTTGACTTCCCAAAGTACTGGGATTACAGGGGTGAACCACTGCACCCAGCCTGGATTCTTTTACTCAGCGTGGCTATTTTATACTTCATCCATTTTATTCCTAATATTTAATAAAATGTTATTCAATATTAAAATATTGAATAATATTTTGTTTATTGTTGATTAGTATTCCTTGTATGAAGATACCACTCTCTGTGCATCCATTAACCTGTTAAGGGACACTTGGCTGGCTTCCAATTTGGGGCTATCCACAAATAAGGCTGCAGTGAAAATCCATGTGCTGGCTTCTGTGGATATACCTTTTCATTTATTTTGGGCAAATGCCTAGGATGGTTGGATCATATGTTAGGCATATGTTTAACTCGAAGAAATTGCCAAAGTACTTGCATTCCAAAGTCATTGTGGAGTATTTCTTTCACATTCCTGACATTAGTCTTTTTATTTATTTATTTATTTTTGAGATGGAGTCTCACTCTATGGCCCAGGGTGAAGTAGAGTGGCATGATCTAGGCTCACTGCAACTTCCGCCTCCTGGATTCAAGCACTTCTCCTGTCTCAGCTTCCCGAGTAGCTGGGATTGCAGGCGCCCACCACAATGCCCTGCTAATTTTTGTATTTTTAGTAGAGACAGGGTTTCGCCATGTTGGCCAGGCTGGTCTCGAACTCCCAACCTTAGGTGATCCACCTGCCTCGGCCTCCCAAAGTGTCGGGATTACAGGCGTGAGACACTGTGCCCGACCCCATTTGTCTTTTTAATTTAGCTATTTAAATAGATGTGTAGTAATCTCTATATGTAGTAATCTCTTATTTTTCTAATGGTTAATGGTGCAGAATACCTATTTGTGTGCCTGCTTTCCATATATCTATGTTGCTGAAGCACCTGTTCAAATTTTCCTCCCATTTTTCACTCATGTCATTTTTTTTCTTCTTGAACTTTGAGAATTCTTTATATTCTAGATACAAACTTCTTGTCAAATTTATGATTGCAAATGTTTTCACCCAGTCTGTGGCTTGCATTTTTATTCTCTTTAGTTGTGTTTTATATAAAAAGCATGTTATGATTTTGATTAGTGCTAATTTTGTTCTTTTTTTTTCAACATTGTTGTGGCTATTCTAGGTCTTTTGCCTTTCCATATAAATTTTAAAATCAGTTTGTCAATTTCTATTTAAAGTATCTTCATGGATTTTGATTGGGATTTCATTGAATCATAAATTGATTTGGGAAAAATCAACATGTTAACAATTTTGAGAGTTCTCATCTACGAACATGATAGATCTCTTTGTTTATAGTTTTCCCAGCAAAATCTTACAGTTTTCAATGTAGGTCTTTCCCATTTTTATTATTTATCCCTAAGTATTTTATATTTTTGATGCATTATAAATGGAATTTCAATTTGGAAGTCTGACTGTTCTTTGGAAGTATGTAGCATCTTTGAATTTCAATTTGGATGTCTGATTGTTCTTTGAAAGGATTTTTGTAGTTTGATTTTGCTGAATCTTGTGCTTGGACCCTGCCAGTGTTTTAAGCAGTTCCAGTAGGTTTATGATAGAGTTGATTGGGTTTCCTACATGGAGTTTTTCCACTCTCTATATGGTGTATAAATAAAGGCAGTTTTCCTAATCCCATTCCATCTGGGTGCCTTTTATTTCTTTTAATTGCCTTATTGCACTGGCTAGAACTTCCAGTACAATATTGAATACAAGGGATCTAAACAGGCATTTTTGTCTTGTCCTTGATTTCATGGGGAAAGCATTCAGACTTTGCCAGTAAGAATGATGCCAACTACTGGTTTTTCAGTAGATGCCTCTTACAGATTGCAAGGATCTTCCTTGATGATTAGTTTGGTTAGAAGTTTATTTATTTATATTTTAATCAGGAATGAATGCTGAATTTTGCCAAATGCTTTTTAACATCTAGTGAGATTATCTTATGACTTTGCATTTTAAGTTTGTTAATATGAAGTAAATAATTGATGAATATATAAATTTTAAACCAACTAGGCAATCCTAAGATGAGCAACACTGGATCTGGAGGTATTATGATTTTTTTACACTGTTAGATTCAGTTTGCTAAAATTTTATTTAGAATTGTTATGTTTATGTTCATGAAGGATATCAGTCCTTAGGTTTATTTTCTTGTAAAGTTTTGTCTGGTTTTTTGTATTCTGGCCATGTTGGCCTCATAGTTTCTTTTTTCAATGTTTTAAAGTAAATTTGTAAAATTAGTATTGTGTCTTTCTTAAATATTTGGTAGAATTCAACGGTTAAACCATTTGGAACTGGAATTTTCTTTAAAGAACTTTTTAAACTAATAATGCAAATTTCCTTATTAGATATAGGGCTGTGGAAGTTAGCTCTTTGTTCTTAACTTGAGCTTCAATAGTTTTGTTTTTCAAGATTTTTTTTTCTATGTATGTTTTCAAATTTACTGCTACATAACTGTTCGTAATATTGTTAGCAGCATTTTAGCGTCTTTAGAATGTGTAGTGATGCCATCTCTCTGCTCCCTGGTATTATGAATTTGTGTGCCTTTTTTTCTTGATCAGTGTGAAAGGTATTTATCAATGCTTTTTATATGCTTTAAAAACAAGCTTTCAGATTAATTTCCCTCTTTTTTTTTTCTATTTTCCATTTCATTGACATCTACTCTGAGCTCTTTTAAAAACCATATTCTTTCTTCTGCTTCCTTTGAGTTTTATCTGTTTTTTCTAGTTTCTTAAGATGGAAGCTGAAGTCATCGAAGGGCTTTTCTTCTTTTCTGATACAGGCATTTAAACTTCCCCCTCCCAAATTCTGGGTCATTGACATCCTGCAGATTTTGATATTGTGTTAAGATTTTCATTCATTTCAAAATTCTTCCTGATTTTCCTTTTAATGTCTTCTTTGACCCATAGAAATCTAAAACTGCATATTTAATTTCTGAAAAATTTGAAAATTTTACGGAAATCTCTCTATTATTGATTACAATTTTTAATTCCTGTGTGGTCACAACATATATTTTGTATTACTGAAATGCTTTTATATTGACTGAAACTTGTTTTTTTTTCCCCAAGGTCACAGATTATATATATATATATATATATATTACTTGAAGTTCTAGGTTGCACAGGATGTGGTTTAACTTGATGATTATTCAATGTACAGTTGAAAAAACTGTGTATTCCGCTCTTCTTTAGTGGACTATTCTATGAAGCTCAATTAGGTCAGGTTCATTGTTAGTGTTGTTCAAGTATATTATATTCTCACAGATTTTTCCATTAGGCCTATCAATTTTGGGGAGGAATACTGAAATCTCTGATTATAATTGTGGTTTTGTCTACTTCTAGTAGTTCTATCAGCTTTTGCTTCATATATTTTCAAGTTCTGTTAATAGGAGCGTAAATATTGAAGGTTATTATAGCCTCTCAATGCATTGACTATTTTATCATTTTGAAATAAACTTTTTTATCTGTGATGATATTCTTTGCTGTAAAATTTACTTCATGAGATATTAATGTATCAATTTTACTTTTCCTTGGTTCAGTGTTAGCAGGAATTTTTTCCATTATTTTAATGTTAACCTATATGTTTCTTTATACTAAAGTGGGTTTCATAGTTGAGCCTTCCTTTATATTCAAAATAAAAATATCTGCCTTTTTAGTGGGAGTATTTTTACATTTACATGTAATATAATTACTGATATGTTTAGAATTAAATCTATCATCTTACTATTTATATTATAGTTTCCTCAAATGTTCTTTCTTCCTCTTTTCCTCTTCTGCCTTCTTTTGGATTAATTGAATATTTTTATGATCTCATTTTATATTCTATGTTTGCTGATTAAATCTTTGTTTTGTTATTTTGATGCATTCTTAAGAGTTTAAATTACACAACTGTAACTTATCACAGTGTAGTTTTTTTCAATAGATTTAAGCGGTATAAGTGCAGTTTTGTTACATAGGTATATTGCCCAGTGTGGCAAAGTGTGGGCTTTTAGTGTAGCCATTACTTGAATAGTGCACATTATACCCATTAAGTAATTTCTCATCCCTCATTCCCCTCCCAGCCTCCCTTCCCTTTGGATTCCCCAGTGTCCATTTTTTCACTCTGTATGTCCATGTGCACACATTTTTTAGCTCCCACCTGTAAATGAGAACATGCCGTATTTGACTCTCCATTTCTGAGTTATTTCACTTAATATGATGATCTACAGTTATAGGTGTGGCAAAGGACAATCACAGTATACTTTAAAGTGATTTATACTACTTTGCTTAAGTATAAGAAACTAAAATAGTGTACTTCTATTTCTTCCCCTAAACCTTTTGCAATTGTTGCCATACTTTTACATAAAACTCACATTACATTGTTTTTGTATTTGTTGCAATAGTCAATTATCTTTTAAAGAGATTTATAATGAGAAATGAGAAAAAAATTTTAGGTACTTATCCATGAAATTATCATTTCTAGTATTGTTTATTTCTTTGTGGACATCCATTTTTCCTTCTGAAATCATTTTATTTTTGCCTAAAGGAGTTCTATTAATATTCCTTGTAGTGTGGGTCTGTTGCTGATAAATTCTTTTATCGATCTTTTGTGTAAAGAAATCTTTATTTTGCCTTTACTTTTAAAATATTTTTCTGCGGATAGACAATTGTCTAATACACAAACCATTTTTTTTCAGTTTTTAAAATATGCTGTCCGACTCTCCTCTTGCTTGTCTTGTTTCTGACAAGAAATGGTTCTCATCATTATTTTGTTACTCTGTATCAAATACTTCTTTTCTCTGACTGCTGTTAATATTTTATCCCTGGGTTTGTCTGATTTGATTATGATGTGCTTTTGTGTATTTTTCTTCCTGCTTCTTGTGCTTTGGGTTGGGTTCATGGAGCCTCTTGGATCTCTAGTTTTGATAAAACTAGGTGAAAAAAAATTTAGTCACTATATCAAATCTATTTTTTTCTGTCACCCCCTCTTCATCTTCTCCTTTTGGAACTTCAGTTACTCAAATATTAGGTGACTGGGATTGTTGTGCAGCTCACTGATGCTCTTCTCATTTTTCTGTTTTCTCTTTTCTTTGTTTCATTTTGGATAATTTCATTCTACTGTTACAGTTTTATGTTCACAGTTCTTATTCTGTGATGCTTAGTCTGTTGTTATTCCTCCCCAGGGTATTTTCCATCTCAGACATTGTGGTTTTTATCTCTAGAAGTTTTAATTGGGAGAGATACGATTTTCTACATGTTAAAACACTTGTATCTATTCATCACATATGTAGATATGTAGATTTTGACATATATGCATGGAAGTATATACAAATGCACGTACTTACGCAGATAGTTTCGGACTTACAATGTTTCAACTTAGGATTTTTTTAACTGAACTATGGTGCAAAAGCAATATTTATGCAGTAGAAATCATACTTTGAATACTCATACAATACAGTTTTCCACTTTCAGTGTGGTATTCAATAAATTACATGAGATATTGAACACTATATTATAAGATAGGCTTTGTGTGAGATAATCTTGCCCAACTGAAGGCTAAAGTAAGTGTTATGTGTATGTATGAAGTAGACTAACCTAAGCTATGATGTTCCGTAGACTGGGTGTATTAAATGCATTTTTTACTTATAACTTATGTTGAGTTTATCTGGACATAACTCTGTAGTAAGTTGAGGAGCATTTCTATCTGTATGTGTGTGAGCGTGTCAGTGTTTATGTGAGGGAGAGAAAGAAAGAGAGGAAATAGCTTTATTTACCTCGTGGAACATATGAAATGCAGTTATAACAACTTCATTCATGTACTTGTCTAATAATTCTAACGTCTGTGTCAGTTCTCTTTTGTTTCTGACTGATTGGTTTTCCTCTTTATTATGGTCATATTTGTGTGCTTATTTCCATGCCTAATAAATCTGGATCAGATGCCAGACACTGTACAGTTTACCTAGTTGGGTGAGGGTTTTTTGTTTTTGTTTTTTGGCATTACTAGAAATAATCCTGGCTTTTGTTCTGGGATGCCATTATATTTTATGAAAATGGTTTGTCAGTTTTAGAACTTACTTTTACAACGTTTTCGTTGCAACTTGAACAGTGCTCATTGTAGGTCTAATGATTCGTCCCTTCTTGAGTGAGATCCATTCTGCACTCTGTGTAATACTCCATGAAGCATGAGGCTTTCTGTTCTTGCTGGCGAGAACAACAACTACACTTGGCCCTGAATACGGTTATCACAAATTATTTCAAATATTTCTTTCCTCTGGCTTCAGGGAGTTCTTCACATTCCTCTGATGACCGGAATTCTGTTTCATGTTGATTGAGGCTCCCCTGAAGAATGTGGGAGTTCTTTCTCTCTCTCAAGAGAGTGCTGCTCTCTCTCTTCTTCAGTATGATGTCCTCTTGATTCTGGTCTGCTGGTCTCTCAGAGTCCTCAAATCAAAGAGCTTTCTTTTTCCCTGTACCACAAGAATACTCTCTTGAGGTCGTGAACTAGAAGCATTGTAGTATCCATCTAGTTTGTCTTCCATCCCTCAGGGATCAGCGTTCCTTGTTGGCTAATGTCCAATGTCTTAAAATCTATTGTTTTAAATATTTTTATTTCTAGGCTTTTTTTTTTTGTCTGTATCAGGTGGGAGGGTAAAACCTGCTCTCATTACTCCATACTGATTGAAAGTGGAAGTGTTCCTACTCTTTTGTATAGTAAAATTTAAATAAATGATTTTAAATGGAATTATATATACAGTTGATATAAAGAAAAAGGCACAAATCATAGGTGTAGAACTCAACAATTTTTTTACAGTTAACATGCTTGTATAACCACCATCAAAATTAAGTCTTACTATACTACTGGCCCCCAAGAAAGACCCCTTTTCAACCCTGTAAGTCACCACCACACCCAGAATTAACTAACTGCTATACTGACTTTCAGTGATCATTTGGATGTGTTTTTTTTTCTTTGTAGGAAATGCTTGTTCCAAAATTTCCCAGCATTTCTGTTGAATCTCCTCTTTTTAAAAAATATATTTATAGTGTTTCTACAGCTTGCCTTTTCCTACTGGTATTTTTGTTCCAACAGTTATATTGAGGTATTATCGACAAACAAAAACTGATATTTTTTATGTGTGCAGTGTGATATTTTGATATTCATGTGCGTTGTGAAATGACCATAGTCAAGCTAATTATTGGTGTTTGTTTGTTAAGTAAAACTCTCCAATTTAATGTAGCTAAATTTATTTTTTCCTTTAAGGTTTTTACTTTCCATGAACTAATGAGAAAATATTTTCCTGACCCAGTGTCATAAAGAGATTCTCCTATACTCCTTTCTAGAAGGATTATCATTATATCTGTAACTTATAGAAGTGCAGGCAATTTAGAGTTTTGTGTATAACTTTTAGATAAGTCTCAAGAATCATTTTTTGTCTGCATGAATATTCATTTGATCTAGCACCATACATCCAAAGAATGATTCTTTCCGCCACTGTACTATGGTGTCACTCTTGTCATAAATCAAGACAACGATTAACTGTAATTTTCATCTCCCCGAAACTACGAGACTGCTGAAAGCTATGTTTAGCTTTTCAGTCTTTTAATGAGGTTTCTCTGCAGGTTCTTTGCTTCTTTCACTGTGCAAATAAGGCATTCTCAAATGCCTTGAGTTGAGAAGAATCTCTGAGTTCATTTCTGTTTTTCCCATTTCTCTGAGATCTTAGTCTTTAAAGTTCTAGCTACCTTGATGACCGTGAACTCCAATTTTTATTTCCTTGTCCTTGAGAGGCTGCTGAGAATGCTACCTTGCTTCTGTTTTATGCTAGGATTTCTACTGAGATTCACAGTCCCCCATCCCATCACACTTAAGCTGGTAAGTGCCTAATGGATAAAGGTTGTGCAAAACAGTAGCTGACACCAACCGGGCTCCTTTATACCGAGGTCTTTGTCGCTCATGGTCTCCTACCCTTAGGGCTCTCCAATGTCTTGAAAAAGGTAGCTTAGGCCAGGCGCGTCGGCTCACGCCTGTAATCCTAGCACTTTGGGAGGCCGAGGCAGGCGAATCACAAGGTCAGGAGATAGAGACCATTCTGGCCAACATGGTGAAACCCTGTCTCTACTAAAAATACAAAAACTAGCTGGGTATGGTGGTGTGTGCCTGTAGTCCCAGCTACTCGAGAGGCTGAGGCAGGAGAATTGCCTGAACCCAGGAGGCAGAGGTTGCAGTGAGCTGAGACCACACCATTGCACTCCAGCCTGGCAACAGAGCGAGGCTCTTTCAAAAAAAAAAAAAAAAAAAAAAAAGCTTAAAAATATTTTGGCTATATGCTTTTAGTTTCTCTTGTTGGGAGATTTGGTTGGCTGCAAACCCTGGAGCAATTCACTTTTCATATTTTCCGTTATGTAATCTTTTACTCACTTTCATTTCGTATCATATACTGCCACCATTTTTGGCTTAGACACAATCACGAACCTCTGAATCTCCCTGAATGTAATCATGGAGCAGTGGTCTACACAACTCATCTCAGACGATGTATTTGAAGATTGAAACCAAATTCACATTTATCTGAGTACAGCTGTAAAGTGAGTAGCATTAGGATAAACATCATGTCTTCCAGCATTCACCTGGAGGTGTAGACAGTGAAACCCAAGGAGTACATTTGTTAGTTCCCAAAGAAGAGTTTTTGTGATTATCTGAAAGAAATCTTTGATTGGCACAGAAAATAAGCTTTAAACAAGGGCTGACTGGAAGACAGGGAATGGGGAATTCAATAGTGATTAACACAATCCAAATATTTCCTGTGACAATATTTCTGGGGTCTAGGGAGATGCCATTTCAGTTCTCAAGGGTTTATTTCTGCCAGCTTTCAAATGGCATATGAGCCACAATATGAAAATAGGAGTATTATATATCATGGTGCCCACATCCCATTAAAGAGTCGTCTTTGAGGATCTGTGCACATGACCTCACATCTTAATGGGAGAGCAGCAATGACAGGTCCGCTTCTCTGGAGGGTGAGCAGCCCCCATTAGGATTTGCCTGTGCTTCACATGCCGAGTCATCTGTGTTTGCCAACCATATTACACGCAGGCATCCGTTAAGTTTTCTACAGTGTCATTGTGTTTAAACTATGGGTCTTTTTCTTTTTACATATGTCCCTTGTAGATAGGCCAAAAGAAGTCACAAAAAGATCACTCATAAACCCATTACATTCTTGAATATTTGAAGTATTCCTTTCCAACATTTCTTTCTATCCATGAATGAGAATGTATTTTTTTGCATGCATGTAATATATTTTTCTTTACTTATTCTTCAGTGATACATTCTCATGAAAATAAACAAACATAAATCATGCTTCCTTACTGAGGTGGAAAGGAACCAGGAAGACTACTTCTTCCTTGCCCCCACCTCAGTTCCATCTCGTACTGTTTTCCTGTTACTCACGACATGCCCGCCACACAGGAACTTGTTGGTTCCCTGCGTGCACGAGGACTTTCTTGTGCTATGCATGGCTGGTTCCTCCTTTTTTTTTAAGTCTCAGAGTCAGTGCCTCCTCTGAGAGACCTTCCCTGATGACCCCTGTGGAAAATAGGCTTTCTCTTTTCTATTTCTTATCACAGCTCCCTTTTCTTTATAGAGTTGCTATAGTTTGTAATTATTTAGCTTATTGACTTGTTTATTATCCACCTTTCCCACTGGAAAGCAAGTATCAGTTACTCAGAGGCGAGGCAGGCATTTTCTTAAACCATTATCTTCCAGGGCCAGCTTGGGAATCTGGGAACAGGGCACAAAAAATATTTGTTAAGTGAATGAATTAAATGAACTTGGTTTTAATAACTGTATAATAAACTATTGGATGTGCAGGGAGTGGTGGCTCATGCCTGTAATCCCAGCACTTTGGGAGGCTGAGGCGGGTGGATCACTTGAGGTCAGGAGTTCGAGACCAGCCTGGCCAACATGGTAAAACCCCATTTCTACTAAAAATACAAAATTAGCCAGGCATGGTGGTGCATGCCTGTAATCCCAGCTACTCGAGAGGCTGAGGCAGGAGAATCGCTTGAACCCGAAAGACAGAGGTTGCGGTGAGCTGAGATCGTGCCACTGCACTCCAGCCTGGGCAACAAGAGTGAAACTCCATCTAAAAAAAAAAAGTTCTTATTTAATCTATTGTTGGCTATTTATGCTGATGCTATTTTCTATCATTGTAAATGTAAACAGGTTTCCTGGCTGGATATGAGCTGAACCTCACATAGGTTATGTTACAGATTTGGTAACACACACTCACTTCACAGATTCACAGGGAGGTGGACCTAAGGGGATATTGTGAAATCCCATCCCAAGGCATAAAGGGGCTGTTGATCCCCTGGACCCAGAGAAAAACTGGCCCTGGGATGTAAAATCTCAAGGCGTCTCAGAGAAATTTAAGGTGATTAAGGTGACACCCATAAGCCCCTTTAGGGGTTCTGGGAAATGCATGGGTGGACCAACCTACACAAGACTAAACATCTTGCTCATTAAATGCATGGCATCTAAGAGCATCTCTCTGTAACAGTGACCCCATTTGTTGTAGGGCTTTCTTTTTGGTTCCGCTAAAAGCCGGGTTCTTGTCAAACGGCCGTGAAAGATGAGGCTCGCAGACACCTTGAAGGGTGAGAAAAATAAAATTCACTGGGCGAAAAGAAAAAATAAAAAAGGAAAACAGGGACTCTCAGCAAAGCGAGAGTCCTGCTAGCCGGTTGCCTGCCTCCCAGATGGAATCCCCAGTTCCACCCCAGAACAGGAGAGGCCAGGCTCCTCCTTCCTGCAAATGACGCGAATTTCCCGAGGCCGCACCCCAGCGCGCACTCCTCCCAATGAGCAGGCCGGACGGAGCTTCTTCCGGGAGCCCTTTTTACTTGGCTGTCTCATGTTCATCCTCACCAGCTAGCGAAATACAAAATACACACAGTACAGAGCAAATTGTGAGATGAGTATCAGTGAATAAACTGCTGTGCAGACATTTCTTGTATTTGAAATGTTTATTTGTTATGAACCCAATTCAAGCTGGCTTAAGCTAGAAAACAAACACACACCCACACAAGAATATGTTAACTGTCATAACTGGAAAGGAGTACATTGGCTTCAGAAATGGCTTCGTTGAGGTACTCAAGGGGCCTCATCAGGATTTTGTTCCCCAAAGTCTTTATCCCACAGACATTTATGAGCATTTCCCAAGTGACATTCTTGGTAGCAGAGACACAGCATTGCACATAGAAAGTCTGTCTTCCTCAAGCCAAGATTCTAGCTGACGGTGAGAGAGGCCTGGAGTCCATCCTAGGTTCACGTGCTCAGCCCTACTATTTTCTGTGACAGATACATTTTTAGCTAGGTTCTCTCCGTGTGGTGGTACCCTACCTTTCCAAGCTCATATCCTTCCAGCAATACATGTAATTAAAAAGAGACCTTATTTCCACAGTTCTATTAACGTTCTGGGACATCCCTGGCTTAGAATTTAACTGATCCTTATTCTCAGCTTTGAACAGATTACAATGCAAAACGATGAAATTCACTAATTTCTTAGACCTGACACTGGGGCTGCTCTCTGAGCAGAGGAAGGCATTGGCCCCACCTAAACACATGGATGGAGAGTGGGCAAGAGAGACATTCCCAAAGGGAATTTGGGTGCCAGTAGCAGAAGGAACAACCTTTCCAGGGCAGGCAGAAGCAATAGTTAACTGCAGCATTGAAATTATTTCCTTAGGATATATTTTTAGAAGTGAAATATGAATGCATAGTGGAAATATATTTTAAGACTTCTGACAAAATTGCTAATTGTCTTCTATGATGTGTCTATTTGTTTTTACACTCACCCCATGCGTGTGTCTGTGTGGTTTAAATGGTGTAAGATGTTAAAAGTGCTTAGAGTATATTAAGTTGATTTCTGATCACCGAAGACTCTCTTTTTGTCTATAGGTGACAGACTAATAATATTAATCCATTAGTTCACGTTTCAATTACAGATAAAATGAGATCCTGGTGTTAGCTTTTAGGCAGATACACACAAACACACCACACACACACACACACACACACACACACACACACACACACACACAGAGAGATCAGCTTTGAAGAAGACTGAATTCTCTCCCTGCACAAATGAAGCCTCAATTGTTCCACCCTATGCTGCAATAGCACTAACTCCTCTCAGGTAACATGGCCATACTCTTCTGTTCTCCCTGGTAAGATCAATACCAAATATTTGTGTTTTTTGAAAAAGAAAAAAAAGCCTTCTCAGGATTAATAATAAGGCCAAATAGAAGGGAATTAAAATTAAAAAGAAATAGCAAAATCCAAGGTTAATGCTTCGATGTCAAAATGACCACCAGAAGAAATGACACAATGCATCTGTTATCAAAGTGGTAAACTCCTTCTGAATTTCCAAACCACATTTCCACCCAGGCTGCACTGCCTGTGCTTTGACATATCTCTGACTGTGATGACCATCATCTCTTGTAAGGGATTTTGCAGCCAACTCTCTCATTATAGTGTCATCTTGAGTATGGAGAAGAAGGGAAAACAAGCCGGTCCTCCTGACTGTAGTTCTGAATATTGACACAGAAGTCGATAGATCAGGAATTCCCCTGCTCCAGGAGGGGGATCTCTGAGGGCAAACTCCAAAGTTTGATGAATATGATGTTCAGCCCCTGCAGAACCTTGCTTGTTAGTGTTGCCTCTGCAGTGTCATTTACTGTCTGTCTTTTCCCTCGCCCTGATCTTGAAACTTCTGCACGGCCACTGAATTTGCATGTGTGCATCACCTGGTCTCCATGGCAACTGCAGAAAATCAGAGCAGAGACAAAGGATTCAGTGTCCACTTGTGACCAGTGCTTTCTACCTAAATCAGGGCATTTCAGCCTTCGATCCATTGACATTACAAGTCAGATGATTCTTTGTAGTAGGGTCTTTCTTTTGCACTGTAGGATTTTTAGCAACATACCTGGCCTCTGCTGGCTAGACGTCAGTACCATTCTCTAATTGGGATAACCTCAGTAGTCCCCATACATTGCCAAATGTCTTCTGTGGGAAGAAATCATTTCCAGCTGAGAAACACTTAACTAGGTCATTGGAACATAGAACTAAATTGGATGGGGTGTCATATAATGTATAATTTTCTTTACATTTTAAAAATGACCTTATTCTGAAATTGGTTCTGGTTGCCACAGAGAAATGAGCAAATATCTTCTTAGCAGGCACATCATGAAGACCTAGAAGGAGTTCCAAACCGCAACCTCAAATGTGTTATTAACTGAGACGGTACTTACACAATTTATAAAGTATTTTAATATTTTTCTTTTATGTGCTTCTCATAAATTATTTTTTTTAAAAAAACTTTGAAATGTACAAAGTGTCTCATGCCTCTAATCCCAGCAACCTTAGGAGGCTGAGGTGGGAGGATCGCTTGAGCCCAGGAGTTTGAGACCAGCCTGGGCAGCATACTGAGACTTCGTCTCTAAAAAAAAAAAACAAAATTAGCCAGGTGTGGTGGCATGAGCCTGTGGCTCCCAGCTAATTGGGAGGCTGAAGTGAGAGGATCACCTGAGCCTGGGAGGTAGAGGCTGCAGCCTGGGTCACACCACTGCACTGCAGCCTGGGTGACAGAGCAACACTCTATTTCAAAATAAATAATTTTTTTTTTAAAAAGTCAAAAATAAAAAACACTTCCTCATCTACAAATTCTTCTAGGGTGCTCATGCCTATGCTTCTGAGCTTTTTGTACAATTTGAAATTACACATAGATGGCCGAAAGGCTTAGGACAGGTCTTGTCTGTTCCTTGAATAAGCCAAGGAAGTGGCCTGTTTCTCTGCTATTTCTTCTGCCTCAAATGCTCTTTCTTCAGATACCTGTGGGGTCACTCTCTCCAATGAGAATACAATCATTCTGTCCTAGTAAACCTCCCTTCCTCAGAGATGGCTTCCCTGATACCTTAGAGGGCCACTGCCTACCTCTGTGCCATCTCTTTTTCTTTGCACTGCTTTTCTTTCCTTCTTAGTATCCAAAGTGACTACCTAAAATCGTATGTGTATTCAATTATTCATTTTATTATCTGTCTTTATTGTCTTCCCTGCATAGGAAAGTTCATTTGTCTTTTTTGTTCACTTCTGTATCTTCAGGAACTAGAACCTAGGCCTAGGCCACAGTGCTTTAGAGAAAGACTGCAGAGCACATACTTGGTGGCATGTGTGCCATTATCTGATTCTGTGCCCATGGCAGACTTTGCTAATCGTTCAACACACTTCTCCACTAGATTCACAAACAATATCAGAGTTCTTCTTACTGGTGCTGCCACAGTTTTGGAGCTAGCTGCTGCTCAATTTAAACACGATGTCACCCTCCTTACTCCAAGACCAACTATGCCTATCACTTAAATAAATTGGATTTATGCAAATAGGATTATTAAACAAATTCCCATTCACCTCTCTTCTCCAGATGACCAGGTAAGAAACTTTGCCAATAGATCCAAGGAAACATAGGCTGCCTGTTTGTGTTTGAATTCTAGCTCCAGTTCTTCCTAAATGTGCAACCTTCAGGAAATTACTTTACCTTTCTGTGATTCAGTTTCCTCAGTTGCAAAATGAGGATAATAATAATGCCGATTCCAAGGGGATTGGTGGTGAGTCACTGAGATAGTGAAGAACAAGTCTGTAGTAAAACACACTAAGAACGTGGCCTGGGAGATAGTAATTATATGTATATGAGTGTGCGTTTTGTGTGTTACTACGATTATCTTTTTTAAAATTAAGTTAAAGCTGAAAGCTATGGATGAGTGTTTCTTTTAAATTAACATCACTGTATTACCCATACAAGGCTGTTCTCTGCATTTAGGTGTATGCACTAGCCATTTCGTGGTATAAGTTGTAGAAAAGTAAACTTGACTTTTTTAGCATAACCCACAGTAAGAATTACATTTTGTGTTAATGACATATTATGCGACATACACATTCAAAACTCAAAGAGAAGTTTCATAAATTTGTACACACCCTTACTACCTATAATGTGCTCTGACATTTCTTACTCTGTTCTCTATTCGGTTCTGTTTTAGCCTATTCTGTTTTTTAATAGCTGGTTGCAATCCATTAAACTGATTTTGTGCCACTGACACAGAGTGAGCAGTAGTTTGAAAGCCAGGGCCCTCTGGAAGGCAGATCCTGCTCTGGGGAAACACTGCCTGTTTTGCATATGCATTGCTGAAAACAGGCACTGCTGGCTTAGGAGTAGGAGACTGGCCTTTCAAAGTTGTCCAAATGTGCTCCTATGTAAGAATAATGCTAATTGCATTGGCCAGTCTCAGAACTGAAATAAGCCAACGAACAAAATAAATTGCAGTGCATGAAATTTGCAATAAGCTCACTCTGAAAAAATTCCTGAAATAATCTCTGTTGTAATCATAAAATTGCAAAGGCCGTAAGACAATGTCTTGGCCCAGCAGCTGAGCTCTGCAGGTTCAGAGGTTTCAGGCCCCACGTTGGGACTGCTTCCACCAGAGGATTCAACAATGGTTTTACTGAATTGAAGGATGAAGACAGCCGTCGCTAAATGAACAGGCAAGAAAAGAGTGCCTCTGCTGGCTGGGGATGGAAATTACCAAATTACCAAAAGGAAATTGGGTTCGTGTTTAGTACACAGAGCAAGGGGGACTCACTGGAACCAAGTAATTTCTTGATCCTGATGTCTCCTGGTGCTTCCGTGCTCAGTGGTAAAGGCTGACAGATCAGATCAAGGATCCTGGGAGGGAGCTGGGGAGGTGTTGTTCAAAGGATACAAAATTTCAGTTAGGCAGGAGGAATAAGTGAATGAGGTCCATTGCACATGACAACAAAGGTTCATCATATATTGTATTCTTGAGAAATGCTGAGAGAGTAGTGTTTTCACCACCAAAATGAGGACTATGAGAGGTAATGAATATGTGAATTAGCTGGATTGAGCCATTCCACAATGTATATATACTTTAGAGCATCATAGTGTACACAGAAAATACAAACCATTTTATCTGTCAATTAAAAAATAAAAATCATTATATTAAGTTCTTAGTGAAAATCAAAGCAACAATCAAAAGTAGGACTATTGAAGATTCAGACTCTTTAGAAATGAAGGCTTGAGTTACTCTACCAGATAAGGAATCTTGACTAATTGACTTTTTGGCTGAGAGCAAGAGAAGTATGGAAATATGGAATGGATCCTGAGAATAATGGCACATGTATATATAAGCAGAAATGAGTGTTCTATGCTTTTGCGTAGTTTCTCTTTCCTTGTTATGTGTGTTTGTTTTTATAAATAATAATTTTTATTGTCTTTTCCTCCTTCCCTTTATTACTTTACATACAAATTATATGCTATTGTTATACAATTTAGCTTTCAGGTAACAGAATAGTCAGTGGGACCCTGACTAAATTTGAGGAGTATCTAATGCAACCAGGGATGATGCAATGACTTGAGGCCTGTTTTTCCTCATGTTAGGGAAGGGATGGGGCTGCATATCATGTATAAAGGATGCTTGTAAAACAGGGTCATGTACTAAGAAGGGTAAAAAGCAATCTGAAGAATATGGCAGTCACAGATGTGGGGAGCAGGCACTACCTCTGGGACTGAAGGAGCATGCCAAAGACAGAAGAGACTTGGGAAAGGGCCATCTCCAAGTTTGAGATCAGACTCTTTGGAAAGGATGTGGCTCTGAACCCAGGTAGAGGGGTTCAGTGAGGTGCAACAGGCTGGGCCTGGCAAGCAAGAAACTGCCCACGGGGGCCCAGCAAAACTTGTTGGATGGATGTACTATTGAAGCCCCATGCATTATGGCAAAGAAGCTGCTCACTGGAAGAGAGTTTCCTGGTGACTACTTCCTTATGGGAATAAGAAGGAGAGTATTGGGATCAGGAGGAGAAGCACAATCCTTTTGTAAATTGTTCCAGCTAACAGATGTGCAATGTTTACAAAGTTCAGTCCCAGTGTTACAGAGGAAATCAAAACGGATGGGTATAGAACTGAAAGTCAAGAACTCGATAACTGCTCCAGCCTCACCTGTGGTAAGCCAGCTTCCCACACACCTATCTACACATATTTTGACTTCTTTAAAACCATGACAAAATGACTCTATGCTTCCATCTACTGATCAATCAGAACATAATTGGAGGGAAGATGACTTGCTATTATCTGCCTCCTGAGATAATGCAATAAAAGAAGTACAAGCCCACCTCTAATCTACTCCTCCCCCTAATACTATTGAGCCTCAATATTTAAAAAATCCAGTTTACAGAAAACATGGGGATGTAAGAATATGTTAAAAATGCCATGATAACATAATCGGCTTCTGTTGAGGGCCCTCAGGACCACCCTCCATCTGGAGTTTTCCTAGAAAGTTTCATAGGGCTAGCATATAGTTGTGCTCATGACTCAGATTTGTAACAGGGAAGTGATAAGAATACACATTAGATCCCAGGGGTCAAAGACACTGGCAGCGTCTGCGGGAATCTCCATGTCGGCTTCCAGTGATCTCTCCCTCTTATGAGGGTCTCAGAATCCATTCTTCCCCCAACTATGAAAATGTAGCAACAGGTAGGCCATGTTTCTGCCCAAGGAAGCCCATTAGAGACTCAGCACCCAAGGTTTTTTGGGAGCTGGTCACATAAAGATCTTCTGCCAGGCACATACCAAAATGCCAGACTCCCGGAAGAAAAGCAGGTGTTCAGAATAAATCATATTGTTTGAATGGTCCAGGCATAGTGAGCTAGTCTTACCATGGAATGGCAGGCACATTTCCAAAATCCAAATTCCTAGACATCAACCAAGGGCCGACTTGCAAGAACACCTTTCTATGGAGAGTAGTCTCCGTCCTGCTATGCTAACTCATTTCTGCACACAGCCCAATGTAGAATCTGGGAAATTCTATTGGAAAATTATTTTTATAAGAAAACAAATAAATGGCATGGATAAAGAGGAAAAATACAAGAAACTGTAAACACTTAAAGGATTTATGGAACACACCAACCAAAGAAAATATCTGGATCTTGCTTTGTGTGGACCTTAATTTAAATGAACTCTAGGCAGACATTTTTAAGGTAGCAGGGAAGTGTGAAGATAGATTGGTATTGAATACTATGAAATGAATATTGCTGACTATGATTGCATTATGTACGATCATGTATCTTAGTTACTTAAAAGAGTCTCTATTAGCAATACATACCACCATATTTACACGTAAAATTACTGGAGGTCTGGGCATTTAAAAAATAATAATCTTGCTTTGTTGGTGATAATAATGAGAAGTATTAGTGGAGATAAAACAAATTAAACAAAATATTGATAATTGTGGAAGAAAAATTTTGTTTTTTTTTTTTTTGAGATGGAGTCTTGCTCTATCTCCCAGTCTGGAGTGCAGTGACCCGACCTCAACTCCCTACAACCTCCGCCTCCCGGGTTCAAGTGATTCTCCTGCCTCAGCCTTCTGAGTAGCTGGGAATACAGGCATGTGCCACCATGCCTGGCTAATTTTTGTAATTTTAGTAAAGACAGGGTTTCGCCATGTTGGCCGGGCTGGTCTGAAACTTCTGACCTCAGGTGATCTGCTCGCCTCAGCCTCCCAAAGTGCTGGGATTAGAGGTGTGAGCCACTGTGCCCAGCCTAATAGTGGAAAATCTTCAAGGAGTACAGGGAGATTAGTCATGTCATTCTTTCTATATTCATGCATGTTTGAAAAGTTCCATATTTAAAAAGGCTAATGTAAGTAAAGATATATTTTGTTTCTTTTTATGTGTAGCCCACATAACCCACAATTAACCAAAAATGTGAAAGCAAGAATAACAGGGTGACAAGAAAAAATTAGCTTTACATTAAGAAGTTACCTGTAGATTACAAGGTAGAGTAAATGTAGTCTATCTCCTGGCATTCGTAGGCATATTTTTGGCAGGAGCGAGAAGTCTGATCTTTACAAATGATGTTGTTTTACCACCCCTTCTTTTTGTACTAGCTTCCTGGTAAAGGTTAATTGATTTACCTTTTCAAGAATTTCTGTACACACACCTCTGTATCTTCTTTTTTTTTAAAAAAAGAACAATATACATAAAAGTGAAAATTAGTAGTGAATCTAAGATAATAATTCAGATTTTTGTGGTTCTGTGTGTTTTCATCTCAACTCACTTGACTTAGGCTTTTGATTGGAGTGTTGTTTGGAATAGGATCAAGAACATACGGGCAATTAGGTCGGGCGCGGTGGCTCACGCTTGTAATCCCAGCACTTTGGGAGGCCGAGGCGGGCAGATCACTTAAGATCAGGAGTTCGAGACCAGCCTGGCCAACATGGCGAAACTCTGTCTCCACTAAAAATGCAAAATTAACTGAGTGTGGTGGCACACGCCTGCAATCCCAGCTACTTGGGAGGCTGAGGCAGGAGAATTGCTTGAACCTGGGAGGCAGAAGTTGCAGTGAGCCAAGATCGTGCCACTGCACTCCAACCTGGGTGACAGAGTGAAATGTTGTCTCAAAAACCAAACAAACAAACCAAAAAAACAAAAACAAAAAAATGAAAACAAAAAGAACACATGGGCAACTGATCTGGGACAGCTCTCGCTCACTTACCTCCCTAATTAGTTTTCACCTGTTGCTTTACCAACTAATTAAAGTACAGCTCCCATTCAATAATATTTGGTTCCTTCTCATGTCCAGCGCAGACATCAGCACTGGGTGTTAAAGGTTATCAGGCAGTCAGAAGCTCAAAGACATCCCAGCTTATTGAAAGAGGAATCTTCAAATAAACAGCAACAACAATGTACTATTGGGTTCTTCTCATAAAGCTGACTGGAGAGAATGGAATAGGAGATAAAGAGACGGACAGCTAAGGTCTATGAGAAGGAAAGAAGCAAAGAGTATCAAGAATGTAGAGAAGGTAAAGGTTGTGTGCAATTTTTCTTTGAAACAAATTTGGTTATCTTAGCCCAGAATAGAATCCTATTGAAAGAAAAATAATATTGATCACAGCATCAAAGGTAAAGAGAAAAAGCTGGCTTTGGGAAACAGCAACTGAATAGGAGCTAAGATGTATTTGTTGCCACAGCAACAAATGGGTAAAGCAGCTCCAACTGTTTTCAGCCTTTCCGACTCAAGATTTACATTTCTGAGGAGAGCATGTGCATGGCCCAGATTTCTCCCTACCCCTCAGCCAAGAGAGCATTGGGCATTTTGATTGACAGCCCCAGGAAGTTAGTACATCAGACAGGGTTGGGGTGGAGGGGAGGATGGACGCTGAGCAGGTAAACGCAACACATGTGCCTGTAGTCAACACAGATTATTACGCAGGGATGAAGATGAAAAGTGGCAACCCAGGCAGCCAGAGCTGTGTACACCATGACAGAGATATGAGGGACTGATGGCCTATAAATGGAACAAGCTCCATGGAACAGGCTGGGAAGTGTACTCAATTTTGGATTGCTTTATGATTACCTCATCCTCAAACATTGCTCTGAGAGGTCTGGCCTGGATCACAGATACATATCTGAAGCCATTATTGAGGGTGTGTATTTTTCCTTGGCTTCAGAAAGGTCATGGGCAGAGAGCCACAGAGTTGACTCAGCCCACTGGAAGGACATAGACTGTGAGTGAGGAAGGAGTTCATCTTCAGAGGAAAGCTGAGGGCTCTTATCAGAAGAAGAAATGGAACCCAGAGAGGAAGAAACAAACAGGACATCATAATTCTCCCACTGGTTCTCAAAATATTCTCTTCCTAGGACATAGGAGGAGAAAACACTGCCCTCCTTAATTAAGAGATGAGGAAATTGAGGTGAGTACCAATGGACATCCCACATTCCCACAGCTACCACAAGGTGGAGGTCAGACTAAACCCTCAATCTCAGGACTTCTGGGCTGGTGTAGCCTCTATTGATCTCTCTGTGGAAGAGTATTCAGTCAGTCAGTGTGGAAGTGTAGTCAGTCCTCTGAGACGTTTCAGAGGCAACCCCAAACTCTACCTAATGCCACTCTACCCCCAAGCCTCCCCAAAAGAAATAGAAATTGAACATTCCTCTGGTTCCTAAAATGAGACCCCCAACTATCTGACAGAAACAGGAACTGCCGAAGTAACAAGGAGGAAAAAACCAACTGATCCAAGGAAGCACCTGTTCCATTAAGAACATCACTTCGGTTGGTTCATTCAGGCAATAGAGAAGGTCAGTCTCTGGAAATCCAGCTGCACTTTGAATGCTCCACCCACTTTGTCATGCGCCTAAATCTAGGCAGGGCTCCACATTGTTATTCTGGTCATGAATCCAAACACAGAAAAAATGGAAAACTCCAACCACCCAATCCTGCCTCTAACACGTGTGAGCCATTGGCCCTTGGGCTCATTAAATACATTATTTAGGCCTCGGTGACCTCATTTGCCCATGGGGATGACAATAGAAATGGTCTCAGCCGCTGTTGAGAAACCCATGCAATAATGTACATGAAACCCTGAACACAATGGCTGACATAGGCAAATGCTCAATAATGTTGGTTATTACTATTACTGCTATGTGTAATAGTAATGATCAGAAACCATCCCAAGATGCCAAACTAAGACACTGCTTAATTATGGCAAGTCTACATATGAAATATTTGGGGCATCATGAATGTGTTTATAAAGAATATGGAATAATAACACAGAAAAAGTTTATACTTAATACTGAGCAAAAGGAGCAGAATTCAAAACTATATGCCGACATGAATAGGACAGAATTAAAATGTACAGGGGGAAATTAAGGAAATGGACTAACGTTCACTGTCAATAGATTTAGTTGAGTCGTCTTCCTACCTTCTGCTTTTACTGTGTCTTTAAGTGTTTCTATGATAAAATTTACTTTCATGACAATAAAAGGTTTTAGTACTTTAGAAAAGATGTACGTTCTCTTAAATTTCAATTGCTAATTCATTATGCATTGGGAAAAATGCAACCCACTTTGGGAAGGCTTCCCTCCCTCATCTATAAAGAATGAGGAGGAAACTCATTCGTTGAAATGGCTCTTTGCAAGCTCTTTCTCTTAGCATTCCAAGCCAAGTGATAAGGCAGCTACTTAGGATTCAGGAGTAACAGCATGAGCTATTTCCCCAGAGAACCAACGACAAAATTTCTATATCAATTTCCAGCCCATGAATCTAAGATTCCATAGCTACGCCTACGAAAGGGTTTTTTTGGGGAAAGTACATCAAAATAATATCTGAAGTAAGCATTTACAGTGGAAAAGGGGGAAAATGTTATCCAGGGATTGGAAAAGCATAGGGTGGGGGAAAGCTAACCCCACTCTAATTCCCACTAGCATGTTCTCCCCCTGGTGTGGCTGCATCGTTGTGCCAATGAGTATAATAAATAGAAAAATAAGTAATAGATGCAAGGCTGTAGTGTCAGGGAAACAGACAGAAGGAGATCTCTCTCACCATAGATTTTCTTAAATGAGCCAGTTCCCACCAGTCCTGAAACTATCAAGTTCTCTGCAGTTTTAACTTGCAAGTAAGTATAGCTTGAAAACCCACATAACACATATGTCCCTTCCAGGGAATTACTAAGGAGTGCACATCATGAATACATAAAAACCAGTGCCAGTTGGACCTGTGTTCCACTGGACTTTAAGGAAACCCCAAATCTGAGCAAATACAAGTTTATGGGCTCCGAAGACTAGTCTTGCTCACAAGCCAGTCTCAGTTAAATAAAGGCTGTTTTTCTTGAGCTGAATGAAGGGTATTGGCAGCTAGGAAGCAGCTGCCATTTCTAGGAGCTCACTGAGTTTGGCTCATGATCTAAAGATTTAACCTGCCTCATTGACGAGATCCTCACAAAAGCCTGATGTGTGTAGGTGATTGCATGCATGTGTGCGCGGGGAGCATTATCATCCCTGTTTCACAGACAAAATACTGAATGTAGAGAGGTAAATTCAGTAACTGGATATAACAATAGAAGCCAGAATATAACTGAGGCTAACCCTCTCTAAACTTTATGCTGGTCAACCCTATAGGGATACTCTCATGCATTCTCCAAATTCCATTTATTCCACCAAGATTCCATTTTACATATGCTGACAAAACATAAGCAATGTTTTTTACATTCATTTGCTTTGAGATTCTCCCATGAAACAGTATCCCTGGGAACAGACTGTATTCTGTCAGAGCAAAGGCGGTGAACTGGTGGTTATCTGGCCCAATGCTGTTTGCAATCACATTGTGTTTGCCTTGCAGAATGTTTAAAAATTTAAAATTAATATCCAACATGTAAAAATAAAATGTTTTACAAAAAATAGCAATATCTGGCTTTCTGTGAAACGTTAGAAGATTTGTGAATACAGGAAATACACTCCCATTTGGCAAAGATAACCCAGCCCCTTTAGAGCCTCTCTTCCTACCTGCACCCCCGACATGAGCCTAGGGTGAAGCTTCCTAAGACCACGGTCCAGGTGGGAGGCTGCTTACTCTCTGAGTCCCCTGACTGCCGGGAAAACTGTCATCAAATTCCTCCATCCAAGGACATCTGAGAACCTTCACTGCAGCCCATTGTTTCTCATAGTAATATTCAACATTTACTCAACAGTAACTGTGTGCCAATACTATTTCATAGAATCTTCACAAAACCCCCATGAGATGGTCAATATTATGATCTATTTAAATGAGAAATAAAATGATGTTTCCTCCATGACACTGGAAAGGATCCACTTAAACGATACATTATTTTTTGCTCCAGAATTTTTTCTCAACTTTGATTCTACAAGAACTCAGCATTCCATTGTCTCTAATTTTGCACAAACTGAGCTATACTTTGTTATTGTTGTTAACTTCTTGAGCAGGTATCAGCACCCATGGCTTTAGGAAGAGGGAAAATGAGGTGGAAATCTAATCTACCTGAGTCTAAACAATAAACATCCGTGAATAGGGACACTGCATTTGACAAGATGGAAAAGGCAAATAAATGTACTCTGGTTATAAAAATGTCATTATTTGCTTTTACTTTAAAATGGCTCTTCAGGTTGTTCAATGTAAAACAAAGAGGCTTTCTCTTTAATGGTTTCTGTCAGAGATAATATGGTGTGAGGTAGAAATGATGAACTCATCCCAGGATATCAACCAAGCAAATGTCCATCAGGTAGGGAGGCAGGGGTCCTGGTAATACACTATGTGGAAGAATGGGGAAAATTTATGGAGGACATGATTGGAATCAGTGGATTTAAATTTTATCTCAATTCCCCCACATCTTATAATCCTAGGCATGTATATTCTTTATTTTATCCAAAAGATACCAACTTTATATCAACTAACAATTAATTTACAGGTGAAAAGTTCTATTTAACCTCCTAAAGATGAGTCCCATACAATGAGTGCCTCCTCTTTCCCAGCCCCTGTTCTAAGTACTTAGGATGTATTATGTTACGTGAGTCTCAAATACCCAGTGGACTGGGGACTCCTAGTATGACAGGTAAAGTAAAATCATACAGGTTTTCATTTTTATACCTGCTATCTGCTTTCTAAATGTTCTCTCATTTGTTTTGTTTTCAAGATGGAGTCTTGCTCTGTCACCCAGGCTGGAGTGCAATGGCGCGATCTCCACTCACTGCAACCTCTGCATACCAGGTTCAAGCGATTCTCCTGTCTCAGCCTCCTGAGTAGCTGGGATTACAGGTGCCCACCACCACAGCTGGCTAATTTTTGTATTTTTAGTAGAGACTGGGTTTTACCATATTGGCCAGACTGGTCTCGAACTCCTGACCTCAGGTGGTCCGCCTGCCTTGGCTTCCCAAAGTGCTGGGATTATAGGAGTGAGCCACTGCGCCTGGCCATTTGATTCTTATAACACCTTTGAAAGTAGGCATGACAAATATTATAATCACAATGTTACATAATATTATGCTGGTTTTAGAAAGAAGGGAACTGAGGCTCTGCAGGGTGCTTAGAAGTTTTGCTGCTGAAGTTTAGGTGCATTTGCTTCTATTCAATGTCTTTGTTACCATCTGAACAACCATACAGTTGGCTGTGATGCTGAAAATGTCCCGTCATGCACCTACACTGCCACAGACAATATAGTGCACCTTGACCTGAGCTCAGAATTGCAGGTATATTAAATGTTAGTCTTCACCATTTAAAGGCAACTGTATTTCCTATGGAAGAGACTACTCGTTTTCTCCCTATGCATTTCCCCCATAAGAATAGAATTTGTGTTTTTTTTGACTTCATAGGTAGCTGTCCAGAATAAAGCGTACATTACCCAGTACACATTGGGTCAAGGGAATGTCAGGTGACTAACTAAATTCTAGATGAAACTAGAAGTGTCACATGACAGCTTCCAAGGCATAGCAAGGACATGCTCCTCCTATGGACTACAACCTAGTTTTTTATTTGTCTTCTCCTATATACTTTAATGTAGAGGTGGTGTCTGTAGCTGTTACTGCCATCTTGCTAATGAGATGAAGAGGAATGGAGGTCAGAAGCAGAGCAACAATCTGGAAGAAGCCTGGGTTCCTGACGACCTTTAGGTCCAAACCACTATTCCAGCTTCAGACCTCTTTCTTAAGATGTTTTCATGAGAGAGAAACAAACTTCTCTCTCATATAAGCAGCTAATTTTAGCCTCTAATTCAAATGAACACTATTCTTAACTAATAAAATTTTCAGACAAAACATTGAGACCCACCAACTAAATATTGCATGTTTTAAATATGAGGATGAGCAAAACATATCTGTGCCATTAACACGACACCACAAACCTTAATGAGGTTCTCTGTCTTAATATACTTTTAAAAACCTGATTTAGCCAACAACCCACCCTTTTAATATAATGTTACTGTTCATTTTTGGGTTTTAGGAGGGCAACAGTTAACCCTACCTCATTCCTCTCTGAGTTTGGAACCAATTGAAATAAAAAGAGGCATATTTATATAAAAATATGACAAACATAGCAATTTCATTGCTCCTATTGCTGGTTTGGTAGACATGGTTGGGCCTTTAGTAAAATTATCCTCTACATTGGACTCTGTAAGTACAGTTTTTCTTTGGGCCCATTCGTATAGAGGACTAGGGCCACCTCTCACCTTGTCAAACACAGAGAATCCAGGAACCTTACAAGTAAGTCACACATGACCACAATGTTCACATATTAACCTTGCTAGTTAGAAAAAGGAGAATAAATACTGTAAGCATCCTCCATCTCCACAGTTCTTCAACCTTCCTCTGGGTTGAACAAGTAAAGTGGGGAAGGGGTTCAGTTTTATTTCAACAATCCCAGAAAGTGAGAGGCTTCTATGTCATGGTCTCCAGCTGGAACAAGTGGAAAGAAAGAAAAGAGATCTCCTGCTGCTCAAGATAAAGAAGGAATATTGCAGCTAAGGATGGGAGACATAGGGAAGTGATGGTTTCTAACCTGACACAAGGTGGAGAGAAGTAATAAACTAGAAGATGAGGGAAGTAATTAAAGTAAAACAAATATATGACACGAGGTTTCCTTAAACACACCCACAAGGAATATGGGACTTGATTGCAAGCTTCTTGTTCTTTCATGTTATTATTGAACTCATTATCATTATTGCTGTAATTGTAGTGGTGACCCACTTTATTCATTTATTATAAGACATTCCTGAAACCAAAGCAGAAATAGGCACTATTCTAATACAATATTTACCTGTCATTGTTCTACAGTATCTGTCTCTCTTTTGTTGTGGTGTCAAAGTCTGTTTAGGTTATGCGGTGCCCATATCCCCTGTTATCAGCACCCTCTCATGCTCAGTTCTTCTCATCTACATACACAAGAGTCCATTTCTCTGGGAAAAGGATTGTAGATAATAGACAAAAGGAATGTCTACTAGAGAAACAGATGAGCTTGGCTAATGAAGGAAATGAAAATTGGAGCCATAATGAGCTACTGTATCATAAATGAGCATAAATTATTTTGTCAGTGCTATTTACAATTTTACATGGTGCAGAGCTTTGCAATTACGTCTATTCAATTATGCCATTCAAGGGATATTTCAATAAGGATTCTTCATTGTGGCCAAACAACGCATTTGGAAGCTTCTGTTGTACGTGGGATTCAAATCTAGCCACGAAAGAGTCCATTGCTGTAGATTCAGAAGAAAACTCTTGGTTAAATGTCAAAATACTAGCAAATTCTTGAAGGAGAAATTTTCAATTGTTTAGGAATAAAGCATAATGAATATGACCTCTATCTATGATTGTGGAAATTCTGAGTTGAATTCCAAATATCTTGGTGGTTAGGTCAGTGTATTACCAACAATGACAACAACAAACAATACGAACAGAACAAAATTTGGGAACAAAACATGATCGGAAGATTTTGCAAAGGTTAAAAAAGCCCTACTGAGAGGTTTTTTCATAGAATACGTAAATATTTTTATGCGTGTTAAAAACATAAGAACTCTTAAAATATGACTGTAATACTGTAATCATTCATAAATAGAATTAAAAATATAAATATCCTCAAATATCTAGTCAATGTTCAAATTTCCTTGCATGTCTGAGCCTTTTTTAAACCTCTAATATATCATTTGTACATGTTTCATTTTTTTCGTTCCATAGATAAGCATGGCAGCCTTCCAATCCACTTTCTTTTCACCAAACTTAACAAATCCCATAATTACATTCATCCATGTTGTACTATTCACAGCTGCACATCCCATCATGAAAGAGCTTGTTTTTCTGTAGGAGTCAAGCTAAATAACCCAATTGTTAAGACAAAACCAGGCTGAGCTTGGCTTAAAAATTGAATTGTGTTACCAACCTAGTGGAAAGTTCCATTATTGGACTGGAAGAAACACTGTCACCTTTTCAAAGAATGAAAGTGAATATTAAGCTTCTAGTTATAGTAGTAGAGGTGAGAGCCACAGCCACTGAGGCAAGAAAGTGAATGTTAGCATTTACTTACCCTATAGAACTTCCAAGGCAATGTTGGGCTTGTTTTACATCTGACTCCTACCCCAGATGTGGATACATTAAGCCTTTGGTCTTAAATACAGCTGGCACATACTGACTCATGATTTCAGATGGTTTCAGGAAAGACCGTCTAGCAAAAGTTGTACTTGGGGGAATTCCTGGCAAAATAACAGATGTAGCAATGTCTAACTGCTTTTGTGATGTAAATTGATCTCCCTGTGGCATCAGTGAATCTTCGTGCATTCCTTACATTGATCAGATAAAACTTAACTAGAAATAAAAATAACACACACAAAAACATCTTCAAATGCTGTGTATATTCATTGATTATTTTTTAATTTAAATGCTTCAAACCTGACCTATAAACTTTTTGAAATGTGTTCAGGCAGCAAATACACATACCATCTACCCATGTCCATTTTGTTTCTGAAACTAACCAAGCTTATTCTTGCCTCAGGACTTTCCCTTGCTGGATCCTGTGCCTGCAGCTCCTGTTCTTGGCCTGTCTGCTTTGCACCTTCCCTGCTTAGAGGACAGCACCCCCATGTCTTCATCTGGGGAGCCTTCCCTGACTCGCTGTCTCAGGTGGCTCCGTCACTCCCATTCCAGTCTCCCTTCATCAAATTACCCATTTATTATCTTCATAGCATTTTATCATAACCTAAAAATTGTGTTTGTTTATTTGTTTTCTTGCATATTGTCTGAATCCTTCATTGCATGTGACCATGATGAGGGCAGGGAAGTGACTCACATTCACCATGGGATCCCCAGGTCTTAGACCAAAGCCCGGCACATGGTAGGTGCTTGTGAATGAATAAATGAAAGGGTGGATGGATGGGTGGATGGATGGATGGATAGGTAGGTAGGTAGGTGGATGGGGCGTGGATGGGTGGGTGGGTACGTGGATTGATGGGTGGATACATGCATGGATAGAAGGATGGATGGATAGGTGGGTAGGTGGATGGATGGATAGATGGGTGGGTACGTGGATGGATGGGTGGATAGAAGAATGGTTGAATGAATGGGTGGGTGGGTGGGTGGATGGATGGATGGATGGATTTGTGTAAGTATAGATGGATGGATGGATGGATGGATGGATGGATGGATGCATGGATGGATGGATGCATGGATGAATTAGTGAGTGAATGAAGCACCTACAGAGAAAGTTGAGGAGATTTTACTCATAGTGAATTTTATTTAGTACAACCAACATAATAAAGAATTTCTGACAAATTTGTTTTAAAAGAGTTAGAATTTTACTAGTGAATGACCCAGAATAGTTGGTGATGACTCTAGATCTTTGATTTTCCAATGAGATTACTCTAAAACTAACAATGACTTTAACTGGAAAGTAAGCCAGGGAAAGTTTAAAATATGCTTGGTGTGTATAAAGAGAACCTAAGGATTGAGTTATATAAAAACAATATGGAATGAAGCCCCCTTCTCACCTCCCCTGCTGTGTCAGTTGCATGTTTGTCCTCACTTTGCTTGTAGCATCCAGGATGCTAAGACTCTGGAAAATCATAGTCGAACCCCTGCAGCAATCCGGTTACATTTGCTTGCAGCAGAGAGAATTGATTTGAGTGTTCTAGCATCCTTAAGACTTGGGCTCTTTCACCAGGTCTCCTCCAAATCTGTTGTACTGCTTTGGACAATTACTCTCAGCCTTTAAAAACTCCCCTGCCATGAAGGTCACTGCAGGACAGCTTCCTATAGACTATCTGTTATTGTGTGCTGTTTCCACGGAAAATGGGTAAAACATAACTGATATTATTAGAAATATGATCCTGACCACAAAAAGGGCCAATTTCCTTTGGTGATGACTCTCTGATTCAATTCAGATGACTACATTTGCATCATCGTAAGCTTGGACATGTCACTGATTCCCCCAGCAAAGTCTGTTCTTTCACAAGCTATTTTAGAAGTAAAAAGCCTTTATGGACCTCTTTCCAAAACTTTGATTCAGGGAAATTGGCAATGACTGAGCAAAAAAACACCAAAGGTCATTGTTACGTCATTCCGGAGGACAGAAGTTGGGATGGAAACCTCTCTTGCCCGTCCCACGTGGATATCAATGCATTCTCTCTGCACCTTGCTCTTTCTGTTTCTAGCTCACAGAGTTGTATGTGGAAATGGAACCTCACAAGCCACTGCTCCTTGCTCTGTGACTGCAGGCACTTGGGAGTTGAACACAGGGTTAGGAGGAGGGATGGCTGGTGTTACATGTCCTGCCTGGTCTCAGAGCTTGGAAACCAGTGGACTAGAGGCTGGCTGGCCACGTGTCTATTGTGCTAGGGTGTCCATGTCTTTTTCTCCACCTCTCTTACCTCCCTGCATTTGGCTTCACAAGATCTGACTTGCCCTGCTCTCCAACATGGGCTGCTTTTCCCTGCCTGGAATGGAGTCTGGCTCAGAATGTGAGAGCTACCCTCAGATTTCTCGGGTGGGGCTAACCACAGGACAAGAAGCTGGGGAAACTCAAGGAAATCAAGCAGACTCTGTTATGTACTAAGAGCTCTTGTGTTCTCATTGGAATATTATAACTCAGATTATTAGTTAGCATAGCAAAGTCTCTACCAAAAACAGAGACAGAAGCTGTCTACAATCTTACCTTCCGCAATGGATCAGGCCCCACAGGTCATGCAGGTCTTCCCTGTTGGCTCAGTATTATACTGAGTGCAGAAACATACCCCAGAAACAGTGAGAACTACGTCTACCACAACACCCTATGGTATTGGTCAAAATACAGCTGACGGCAACATTAACAATAACAAAATTTACTAGAAAAACTAAAACAAAATCTACAGGTAACTTAATTTCAGTCATATAACTTTGGCAATGGAGAATATTTGGATATTTTAAACACCTTTGTGACATTCCTACAACTATAACAAATACACAAGGATATTCTTTGAGTCAACTCATCATTTTGGTAGAAATGAAAGGTTTACTTAGTCTCAACTGTGCCTTTATCTGTTTCTAGCTTCAACTACTGAAATTACTTCAAGGGATTAATTTTTGGTTTTTGATGCAAATACTTGGTTATTTTGGCTTGCTGCTCTCCCAGCTTTCCCTAAGTTTGCACATGGTGACCATGGCAGCCTGTAAGATGGTGATCACTGACCCCTGCCTCAGGGTGTCTACTCCCTGTGGAATCCCTTTTCCTTTAACATGAGCTGAATTGAAGAACTCTCTTCCAATGAACAGAATAGGCCAAATCTCAGAGGTATCTGCTCTGAGATTAGGTTATAAAAAGAAGACCAAAAAACCTGTGGCTTTCATTGGGGGTGTCGCTTCTTATTTTTTTTCTGGAGGAAAGCAGCTGTCATAAGATAGCTCTGTTGAGGGGTTGAAATGGCAAATGCCTCAAGACTGCAACTATCACATGAGCAAGTTTTAGGTGATTTTGAGAGGACTACAGCCCTGGCTGACATCTTAACGGCAACCTCAGAAGCTTCCTTGAGCCAGAACCACCCAACACCATTTATTAAGAGAAATAGGAAAGGAAGAGGATGGAAGAGAAAAAAAAGACAATGATTGAGAAGAAAATAAGAAAATGAAAAGGCCAAGATGAAAAGGAGGAGAAGGAAAACAAACAATAGCAATAATAATATTTAACAAAGATTTAGTAGCTATTTTTAGGGCTATGAATTTAAAACTGCGAGCATTAAACTTTATAAGGCATTCAAAGAACTCTAATAGAACAATATTGAAGTTGTTTTGTTGTGATCATGTATACTCATTGAACAAGGAAAAAAATAAATATCCTGAGGTTAAGCAAATAGGCACTGGTGGTCTGAGATACAATTTCCAGGCAAAACAAAACATCAATATAGCTTGCACTCTATCTCAGGCAACTTAACACATGTGCTCTGGAAAACTGCATTAGACAGGTGTTTCGAGACTGAAAAGTATATTGATGTCAAGCATACATATGATGTACATATGATGTGTTTAAGTAAATTGCTTTAGGAAATATGAGAATGAGTAAAAGCAACACTTCTAACTTTGTATATAATACAGTGATAGAATAGGTTTAACTAAATGAGTAAATGTAACTATGTGCCTAAAAATTTACACATTTAGGTTTTTCTTTTCTTTCTTTATTGATTGGGGAAATGTCCAGACACATAGAACCATTTATTGTGGGGCTACAGATCTCTGCTAGCAGAGACTTGGAGACTCAAGGGCTACCACTGATTAGGAAATGAGCTACACAATTGAGAAATACTTGTTGATGCTAAAGGTCACCTTGAAAGTTGATGAGATTATGTGAGTGCAATAGAATCTTGGACTGAACAAACTGCTACTCTCCATCAGCAAGGAGACACCGTGATGCAGTATCAGGAAGAAATCAGGAATTTAATGACTTTGCGTATTTACTTTGGTCCACAGTAGTTATGGGCATCCAGCGAGAAAGTTGATAAATCAGATAATTTCAAGACGAGAACAAATAATTTTGTGTAGCCCTGAAGGAACACCAGTGTGCCTTGGAATTTAAAATAGAATTGACAAATGGAATCTAATTAAACTAAAGAGCTTCTACACAGCAAAAGAAACTATCAACAGAGTAAACAGACAACCTACAAAATGGGAGGAAAATTTTTGCAATCCATGCATCTGACAAAGGTCTAATATCCAGCATCTATAAGGAACTTAAACAAATGTACAAGAAGAAAACAAACAACCCCGCTAAAAAGTGGCAAAGGACATAAAGAGATACTTCTCAAAAGACATACATGGGGCCAAAAATCATGAAAAAAAAAAAAAAAGCTCAACATCACTGGTCATTAGAGAAACACAAATGAGATACCATCTCACACCATTCAGAATGGTTACGATTAAAAAGTCAAAAAATAACAGATGCTGACAAGCTTGTGGGAGAAAA
This sequence comes from Homo sapiens, assembly GCF_000001405.40. NCBI lineage: Eukaryota > Metazoa > Chordata > Mammalia > Primates > Hominidae > Homo > Homo sapiens. The sequence goes on along the minus strand of NC_000012.12, from coordinate 127,876,835 downwards.
TAAATACTTTTACACTGTTGGTGGGAGTATACATTAGTTCAACCATTATGGAAGACAGTGTGGTGATTTCTCAAAGAGCTAAAGGCAGAACTACCATTAAACCCAGCAATCCCATTACTGAGTATATACCCAAAGGAATATCAATAATTCTATTATAAAGATACATGCACGTGTATGTTAATTGCAGCACTATTCACAATAGCAAAGACATGGAATCAACCTAAATGCCCATCAATGATAGACTGCATAAAGAAAATGTGGTACATATACACTGTGGAATACTATGTAGCCATAAAGAGGAATGAGATTATGTCCTTTGCAGGGACATAGAGAGAGCTGGAGGCCATTATCCTTAGCAAACTAACTCAGGAACAGAAAACCAAAAACCGCATGTCCTCTTTCACAAGTGGGAGCTAAATGATGAGAACACATGGGCACATAGAGGGGCACAGCACACACTGGGGCCTACCAGAGGGAGGAGGATGGAGGGAGAGGATCAGGAAAGATAACTAATGGATACGAGGCTTAATACCTGGGTGATGAAATAATCTGTATACCATACATTTACCTATGTAACAAACTTGCCCATCCTGCACATGTTCCCCTGAAGTTAAAAGAAAGCATTACAAGAAGTAAAAAATGCACACTATTACTATTTCAGATAGCTGAAATCTTTTTTTTTTTTTTTTGAGACAGAGTCTCGCTTTGTCACCCAGGCTGGAGTGCAGTGGCGCAATCTCAGCTCGCTGCAAGCTCTGCCTCCCGGTTCACGCCATTCTCCTGCCTCAGCCTCCCGAGTATCTGGGACTACAGGCGCCTGCCACCACGCCCGGCTAATGTTTTTGTATTTTTTTAGTGGAGACAGGGTTTCACCGTGTTAGCCAGGATGGTCTCGATCTCCTGACCTTGTGATCCGCCCACCTCGGCCTCCCAAAGTGCTGGGATGACAGGCGTGAGCCGCCGCGCCCGGCCCAGATAGCTGAAATCTTACAAGAAGATTGTTGGTATTTTCACTTATGGGCCTAAAAGTTTTTATATTCAAGTCTTTTTTCCTCCTAATCTCTTTGCAAAGATATTCACTCAGAAGTATTTCCTTTGGGTCTATAGATCTCTGATCTCAGAGACCTTGAGACTTAATTGCTAGAGCTAATTGGAAAATGAGTTCAGGAATCATTTCAGATAACTGATACGGTAGTAGTATGAAGACAGGCTTTGAATTTGGTGAACAGCAGGTTGCAGGAAACGGGTAAATTTGCTGGCTTGAACAAGAAAGCAAAGGATTGAGAGAGTAAGATCCTGCAAATAACTCAAGGACCTTTTTTGGACCTTAGAAAGAATGGTGAATCAGAAAGGACACCTTGTTGAGCATCAGTGACCATGAGTGACCTGAGCACTTGGAAAAGCTGAAGAACTTTGGAGTCTTTTTGTTTTATGTTTTTTTTTTTTTTTTTAACTTAGACCCACAGAGCCTCTGCAATTGGCCCATGGAACCTTGACTCGAGTAACTCGAAATCCAAAATCTCTATCCACTTGAATTTTATTTCTATTTTTTACAGGAAGTAAGGCACAATGGCAATGATATTTGGAAGGGATAGTCTCAGTAATGACCTTAGGCTTTATTCTTAAAAATAAGGCCGGGCGTGGTGGCTCATGCCTGATGTCGTGAGTTCAAGACCAGCCTGGCCAACATGGTAAAACCCTGTCTCTACAAAAATACAAAAATTAACTGGGTGTGGTGTTACATGCCTGTAATCCCAGCTACTCAGGAGGCTGAAGTGATGGGATCACTTGAACCTGGGAGGTGGAGGTTACAGTGAGCGCAGATTGCGCCAGTGCACTCCCACCTGAGTGACACAGCGAGACACTTTTTCAAAAAAAAAAAAAAAAAACCAAACAAAAAACAAAACAAAACAAAAAACAAACAAACAAAAACTTCTGGGAATTTATGTTTTCCCGTGAAGAAAATGGTCACTTTTCCCTGTAATCTCAGAGAAGAATAAACTTTTCTCCTCCCAATCTGTGTCCAAGTGAGTGAGTGTTGGATATGAAATGACATTTGAATATGACATAGTTCAGCCGATAAATCACCTAATCTGAGACTATAAAAAGAAAACAGGGCCGGGCTCAGTGGCTCACGCCTGTCATCCCAGCACTTTGGGAGGCCAAGGCGGGCGGATCATTTGAGGTCAGTATTTCGAGACCAGCCTGACCAACATGGTGAAACCCCATTTCTACTAAAAATACAAAAAAAAATTAGCTGGACGTGGTGGCACATGCCTGTAATTCCAGCTACTTGGGAGGCTGAGGCGTGAGAATCCTTTGAACCCGGGAGGTGGAGGTTGCAGTGAGCTGAGATTTTGCCATTGCACTCCAGCCTGGGTGACAGAGCAAGGCTCTGTCTCAAAAAATAAATAAAAATAAATAAATAAATAAAAATAGTCAAAAATAGTTGAAAAGTGAGAATATGAGGTCACTATCGGTAGGCATACAAATGAGAGGTTCTCCAGACAGTGATTGGAACACCCAGTGCTTCCAGCCCTGCTGTAGGTTCTTAGGTGGATTCCTGGGTGATCTGAATACTGTCAGTGAGCGTTTACAAAGAACTTAGAGAACTACCTGTTTTAAAAGATGCAAATGTGCCATGCTTTGGTGAAAGGAAGATGTTCATTCTAAATTTTATTCTTTCTATCTGGACAGAAAAATCATGGGCTTACACACTATAAAATTTCAGAGTTAGAGATTTGTGTGTCTACCTTCCTATTGATGCAGACATCTTTCGACCAAGGAAAGTCAGTTTTAGAAAAGATATTCATGTTTTATATACACCACGATAAAAAAGTGATGAGTTAACTTTGTCTAGTGATTTTCCATAACAGATATAGCTAGCAAGTATCCATAACTTGATCAAAGCGAGTATTTCTAAAATATTATTTCTGTAAAGAAGGAGAAGGCAGTGCTACCATTTGAAATATAAGACATTCTAAAAGAAATATTCACTGGGTCAAACTACTCAGAAAGAAGATATGTTGGTTCTGAGCTGATCTTTGTACTCTTCTCTGGTTCATCCTGAAGGATATTATGTTGCCCTTTAACTGACAAAGATTAAAAAGTAGCATCAAGCAAACTAAGAACAGTCATTTCAAAGTAAATTGAGAATCTCTCTTGCTTAGGGAAATCTTTACATTTTTTAAAATAGCATTTTTTAAAGATACAAGTAACACGTATATTATAATTTCAATCGTTTATTTTCTGAATCTATTCTTGAGCTCCCTTTGTATTTTTTACAGTCTTTAAAAAAAGGAAACCATTTTATTGATTTAGATGTACTCAGCATTTTTTTTGCTTGTTATAAGAGAACATATTTATGCTGCCTAAGTTGTTAAACTACTATTAAATACAGGAATGTACTTTAATTCAATCATTTAAAAGTTATCACTATTTTATCCTGATTATAGAACAAAAGGGTAAAACTGAAGTAAGAAAATAATTATGTATTTATCTATCAATATAGATCTGTATATAGGTATTGATATAAATATATAGGTACAGATATACCTACACCTATGCAAATTAGCAGAAATAGAAACTTCTGCCTCTCAATATATTATTGTTAAAGAAATATTGCTTCACACGGTAATATATTTTATGCAAAATTCATGTATTGCTAAGAATCAAGATTTCTTTTCACCTTTTAGTTTTTCTATCTTAGGTTTGGGGAGAGGGGCTGCTTGAGGTTAGTTAATTAGAAAAAAATAATAGCACAAACATTAATAGGATTCCTATATATTACAAACCTTTTATTTTAGCATTATTACTATGTCAAAAATCATTCCAAACTCAGTGGCTTAAAACAGCATTGATTTTCCTTGTGGATAATCCATGTGGGCTGGGCTAGGAGGGGCGTGCTCTTCTCCCTGCACTCAGCATTAGTCCCATAGGTAAGTATGGGATGGAGTCACCTGAAGGCTTGTTTACACATGCCTGGGGATGATGCTGGCCATCCACTGCAACCTTAGCTGGGTCTCTCCATGTGGCTACTTGACTTCCTCAGAGCATCATGGCTGGATTCAAAGCCTGAGAGTCCCACGATGATCAGGCAGAGTTGTAGAGTCGTTTCTATGCTACAGTTGATAGTCCCACATCCTAACTTGTGACATATCCTATCCATTAGGACAGTCACAAAAGCCTGCTTCGTTGCAAAGGGAGAGGGAAAAAAAAAAAAAGAACATACAAACAAACAAACACTCCAAATTTTAAGAAGAGCATATTGTGGCCATTTTTGGAAAAGACAGTCTGCCATAGTAATAAGATTCATGATTGTCAGAGTTAACATTCATCACATGCTTCACAAATGCTCCATTGTAATGCGATTTCTCCATCACAGTGGTCATATGAGGAAGACCTATTATTTATTTATAATAAAGATAGGGTTTCGGTATGTTGCCCAAGCTGGTCTCAAACTCCTGAGCTCAAGCGATCCTCTCATCTCAGTCTCCCAAATTTCTGGGATTTCAGGTGTGAACCACCTTGCCCAGCTAGAACCTATTATTATCTCCATTTCACAGCTGAAGAAAGTGAGACTTGCACAAACTAATGTCATGACTGTGTTATACAGGTAGCAAGTAGCAGAGTTGACATTGATACCAGAAATGTGCATAGGAAATTATCTTCAAAAACGAAGAGGACAAAATGCAATCTTTAGCGCAACCCATTTCCATGTTGAGATTGATTCCTATTTTGTTTTTCTAATTTATTTTTTATTTTTTCTTAAGTTGTTGGAATACAGGTGGTATTTGGTTACATGAGTAAGTTTTTTAGCGGTGATTTGTGCAATTTTGGTGCACCAATCACCCGCGAAGTATGCACTGCACCCTATTTGTAGTCTGTTATCCCTCATCCCCCTCCCGAGACCCCAAAGTCCATTGTATCATTCTTTTTTTTTTTTTTGCAAACTTTTTTTTTTTTTTTATACTTTAAGTTTTAGGGTACATGTGCACAATGTGCAGGTTAGTTACATATGTATACATGTGCCATGCTGGTGCGCTGCACCCACTAACTCATCATCTAGCATTAGGTATATCTCCCAATGCTATCCCTCCCCCCTCCCCCCACCCCACAACAGTCCCCAGAGTGTGATGTTCCCCTTCCTGTGTCCATGTGTTCTCATTGTTCAGTTCCCACCTATGAGTGAGAATATGCGGTGTTTGGTTTTTTGTTCTTGTGATAGTTTACTGAGAATGATGATTTCCAATTTCATCCATGTCCCTACAAAGGACATGAACTCATCATTTTTTATGGCTGCATAGTATTCCATGGTGTATATGTGCCACATTTTCTTAATCCAGTCTATCATTGTTGGACATTTGGGTTGGTTCCAAGTCTTTGCTATTGTGAATAGTGCCACAATAAACATACGTGTGCATGTGTCTTTATAGCAGCATGATTTATAGTCCTTTGGGTATATACCCAGTAATGGGATGGCTGGGTCAAATGGTATTTCTAGTTCTAGATCCCTGAGGAATCGCCACACTGACTTCCACAATGGTTGAACTAGTTTACAGTCCCACCAACAGTGTAAAAGTGTTCCTATTTCTCCACATCCTCTCCAGCACCTGTTGTTTCCTGACTTTTGAATGATTGCCATTCTAACTGGTGTGAGATGGTATCTCATTGTGGTTTTGATTTGCATTTCTCTGATGGCCCGTGATGGTGAGCATTTTTTCATATGTTTTTTGGCTGCATAAATGTCTTCTTTTGAGAAGTGTCTGTTCATGTCCTTCGCCCACTTTTTGATGGGGTTGTTTGTTTTTTTCTTGTAAATTTGTTTGAGTTCATTGTAGATTCTGGATATTAGCCCTTTGTCAGATGAGTAGGTTGCGAAAACTTTCTCCCATTCTGTAGGTTGCCTGTTCACTCTGATGGTAGTTTCTTTTGCTGTGCAGAAGCTCTTTAGTTTAATTAGATCCCATTTGTCAATTTTGGCTTTTGTTGCCATTGCTTTTGGTGTTTTAGACATGAAGTCCTTGCCCATGCCTATGTCCTGAACTGTAATGCCTAGGTTTTCTTCTAGGGTTTTTATGGTTTTAGGTCTAACGTTTAAGTCTTTAATCCATCTTGAATTGATTTTTGTATAAGGTGTAAGGAAGGGATCCAGTTTCAGCTTTCTACATATGGCTAGCTAGTTTTCCCAGCACCATTTGTTAAATAGGGAATCCTTTCCCCTTTGCTTGTTTTTCTCAGGTTTGTCAAAGATCAGATAGTTGTAGATATGCGGCATTATTTCTGAGGGCTCTGTTCTGTTCCATTGATCTATATCTCTGTTTTGGTACCAGTACCATGCTGTTTTGGTTACTGTAGCCTTGTAGTATAGTTTGAAGTCAGGTAGTGTGATGCCTCCAGCTTTGTTCTTTTGGCTTAGGATTGCCTTGGCGATGCAGGCTCTTTTATGGTTCCATATGAACTTTAAAGTAGTTTTTTCCACTTCTGTGAAGAAAGTCATTGGTAGCTTGACGGGGATGGCATTGAATCTGTAAATTACCTTGGGCAGTATGGCCATTTTCACGATATTGATTCTTCCTACCCATGAGCATGGAATGTTCTTCCATTTGTTTGTATCCTCTTTTATTTCCTTGAGCAGTGGTTTGCAGTTCTCCTTGAAGAGGTCCTTCACATCCCTTGTAAGTTGGATTCCTAGGTATTTTATTCACTTTGAAGCAATTGTGAATGGGCGTTCACTCATGATTTGGCTCTCTGTTTGTCTGTTGTTGGTGTATAAGAATGCTTGTGATTTTTGCACATTGATTTTGTATCCTGAGACTTTGCTGAAGTTGCTTATCAGCTTAAGGAGATTTTGGGCTGAGACAATGGGGTTTTCCAGATATACAGTCATGTTGTCTGCAAACAGGGACAATTTGACTTCCTCTTTTCCTAATTGAATACCCTTTATTTCCTTCTCCTGCCTAATTGCCCTGGCCAGAACTTCCAACACTATTTTGAATAGGAGTGGTGAGAGAGGGCATCTCTGTCTTGTGCCAGTTTTCAAAGGAAATGCTTCCAGTTTTTGCCCATTCAGTATGATATTGGCTGTGGGTTTGTCATAGATAGCTCTTATTATTTTGAGATACGTCCCATCAATACCTAATTTATTGAGAGATTTTAGTATGAAGGGTTGTTGAATTTTGTCAAAGGCCTTTTCTGCATCTATTGAGATAATCATGTGGTTTTTGTCTTTGGTTCTGTTTATATGCTGGATTACAGTTATTGATTTGCGTATATTGAACCAGCCTTGCATCCCAGGGATGAAGCCCACTTGATCATGGTGGATAAGCTTTTTGATGTGCTGCTGGATTCAGTTTGCCAGTATTTTATTGAGGATTTTTGCATCAATGTTCAACAAGGATATTGGTCTAAAATTCTCTTTTTTGGTTGTGTCTCTGCCTGGCTTTGGTATCAGGATGATGCTGGCCTCAAAAAATGAGTTAGGGAGGATTCCCTCTTTTTCTATTGATTGGAATAGTTTCAGAAGGAATGGTACCAGTTCCTCCTTGTACCTCTGGTAGAATTCGGCTGTGAATCCATCTGGTCCTGGACTCTTTTTGGTTGGTAAGCTATTGATTATTGCCACAATTTCAGCTCCTGTTATTGGTCTATTCAGAGATTCAACTTCTTCCTGGTTTAGTCTTGGGAGAGTATATGTGTCAAGGAATTTATCCATTTCTTCTACATTTTCTAGTTTATTTGCATAGAGGTATTTGTAGTATTCTCTGATGGTAGTTTGTATTTCTGTGGGATCGGTGGTGATATCCCCTTTATCATTTTTTATTGCGTCTATTTGGTTCTTCTCTCTTTTTTTCTTTATTAGTCTTGCTAGCGGTCTATCAATTTTGTTGATCCTTTCAAAAAACCAGCTCCTGGATTCATTAATTTTTTGAAGGGTTTTTTGTGTCTCTATTTCCTTCAGTTCTGCTCTAATTTTAGTTATTTCTTGCCTTCTGCTAGCTTTTGAATGTGTTTGCTCTTGCTTTTCTAGTTCTTTTAATTGTGATGTTAGGGTGTCAATTTTGGATCTTTCCTGCTTTCTCTTGTGGGCACTTAGTGCTATAAATTTCCCTCTACGCACTGCTTTGAATGCATCCCAGAGATTCTGGTATGTTGTGTCTTTGTTCTTGTTGGTTTCAAAGAACATCTTTATTTCTGCCTTCATTTCGTTATGTACCCAGTAGTCATTCAGGAGCAGGTTGTTCAGTTTCCATGTAGTTGAGCGGTTTTGAGTGAGATTCTTAATCCTGAGTTCTAGTTTGATTGCACTGTGGTCTGAGAGATAGTTTGTTATAATTTCTGTTGTTTTACATTTGCTAGGGAGAGCTTTACTTCCAAGTATGTGGTCAATTTTGGAATAGGTGTGGCGTAGTGCTGAAAAAAATGTATATTCTGTTGATTTGGGGTGGAGAGTTCTGTAGATGTCTATTAGGCCCGCTTGGTGCAGAGCTGAGTTTAATTCCTGGGTATCCTTGTTGACTTTCTGTCGTTGATCTGTCTAATGTTGACAGTGGGGTGTTAAAGTCTCCCATTATTAATGTGTGGGAGTCTAAGTCTCTTTGTAGGTCACTCAGGACTTGCTTTATGAATCTGGGTGCTCCTGTATTGGGTGCATATATATTTAGGATAGTTAGCTCTTCTTGTTGAATTGATCCCTTTACCATTATGTAATGGCCTTCTTTGTCTCTTTTGATCTTTGTTGGTTTCAAGTCTGTTTTATCAGAGACTAGGATTGCAACCCCTGCCTTTTTTTTGTTTTCCATTTGCTTGGTAGATCTTCCTCCATCCTTTTATTTTGAGCCTATGTGTGTCTCTGCACATGAGATGTGTTTCCTGAATGCAGCACACTGATGGGTCTTGACTGTTTATCCAATTTGCCAGTCTGTGTCTTTTAATTGGAGCATTTAGTCCATTTACATTTAAAGTCAATATTGTTATGTGTGAATTTGATCCTGTCATTATGATGTTAGCTGGTTATTTTGCTCGTTAGTTGATGCAGTTTCTTCCTAGTCTTGATGGTCTTTACATTTTGGCATGATTTTGCAGTGGCTGGTACTGGTTGTTCCTTTCCATGTTTAGTGCTTCCTTCAGGAGCTCTTTTAGGGCAGGCCTGGTGGTGACAAAATCTCTCAGCATTTGCTTGTCTGTAAAGTATTTTATTTCTCCTTCACTTATGAAGCTTAGTTTGGCTGGATATGAAATTCTGGGTTGAAAATTCTTTTCTTTAAGAATGTTGAATATTGGCCCCCACTCTCTTCTGGCTTGTAGAGTTTCTGCCAAGAGATCCGCTGTTAGTCTGATGGGCTTCCCTTTATGGGTAACCCGACCTTTCTCTCTGGCTGCCCTTAACATTTTTTCCTTCATTTCAACTTTGGTGAATCTGACAATTATGTGTCTTGGAGTTGCTCTTCTCGAGGAGTATCTTTGTGGCGTTCTCTGTATTTCCTGAATCTGAATGTTGGCCTTCCTTGCTAGATTGGGGAAGTTCTCCTAGATAATATCCTGCAGAGTGTTTTCCAACTTGGTTCCATTCTCCCCGTCACTTTCAGGTACACCAATCAGACGTAGATTTGGTCTTTTCACATAGTCCCATATTTCTTGGAGGCTTTGCTCGTTTCTTTTTATTCTTTTTTCTCTAAACTTCTCTTCTCGCTTCATTTCATTCACTTCATCTTCCATCGCTGATACCCTTTCTTCCAGTTGATTGCATCGGCTCCTGAGGCTTCTGCATTCTTCACGTAGTTCTCGAGCCTTGGTTTTCAGCTCCATCAGCTCCTTTAAGCACTTCTCTGTTGGTTATTCTAGTTATACATTCTTCTAAATTTTTTTCAAAGTTTTCAACTTCTTTGCCTTTGGTTTGAATTTCCTCCCGTAGCTCAGAGTAATTTGATCGTCTGAAGCCTTCTTCTCTCAGCTTATCAAAGTCATCCTCTGTCCAGCTTTGTTCCGTTGCTGGTGAGGAACTGTGTTCCTTTGGAGGAGGAGAGGCGCTCTGCTTTTTAGAGTTTCCAGTTTTTCTGCTCTGTTTTTTCCCCATCTTTGTGGTTTTATCTACTTTTGGTCTTTGATGATAGTGATGTACAGATGGGTTTTTGGTGTGGATGTCCTTTCTGTTTGTTAGTTTTCCTTCTAACAGACAGGACCCTCAGCTGCAGGTCTGTTGGAGTACCTGGCCGTGTGAGGTGTCAGTCTGCCCCTGCTGGGGGGTGCCTCCCAGTTAGGCTGCTCGGGGGTCAGGGGTCAGGGACCCACTTGAGGAGGCAGTCTGCCCATCTCAGATCTCCAGCTGCATGCTGGGAGAACCACTGCTCTCTTCAAAGCTGTCAGACAGGGACATTTAAGTCTGCAGAGGTTACTGCTGTCTTTTTGTTTGTCTGTGCCCTGCCCCCAGAGGTGGAGCCTACAGAGGCAGGCAGGCCTCCTTGAGCTGTGGTGGGCTCCACCCAGTTCGAGCTTCCCGGCTGCTTTGTTTACCTAAGCAAGCCTGGGCAATGGCGGGCGCCCCTCCCCCAGCCTGGCTGCCGTCTTGCAGTTTGATCTCAGACTGCTGTGCTAGCAATCAGTGAGACTCCGTGGGCCAGGACCCTCCAAGCCAGGTGCAGGATATAATCTCCTGGTGCGCCATTTTTTAAGCCCATCGGAAAAGCGCTGTATTAGGGTGGGAGTGACCCGATTTTCCAGGTGCCGTCTGTCACCGCTTTCTGTGACTAGGAAAGGGAACTCCCTGACCCCTTGTGCTTCCTGAGTGAGGCAATGCCTCGCCTGGCTTCAGCTCGCGCACGGTGTGTGCACCCACTGACCTGCGCCCACTGTCTGGCACTCCCTAGTGAGATCCTCCCGGTACCTCAGATGGAAATGCAGAAATCACCCGTCTTCTGCATCGCTCACGCTGGGAGCTGTAGACTGGAGCTGTTCCTATTCAGCCATCTTGGCTCCTCCCTCCCATTGTATCATTCTTATGCCTTTGCGTCCTTATAGCTTAGCTCCTACATATCAATGAGAACGTATGAAGTTTGGTTTTCTATTCCTGAGTTACCTTACTTAGAATAATAGTCTCCAGTCTCATCCAGGTCACTGCAAATGCCGTTAATTAATTATTTTTTATGACTGAGTAGTATTCTGTTGTATATTAATACCACAGTTTCTTTATCCATTCGTTGATTGATGGGCATTTGGGTTGGTTCCACGATTTTGCAATTGCGAATTGTGTTGCCACAAACATGCGTGTGCAAGCATCTTTTTCGTATAATGACTTCTTTTCCTCTGGATAGATACCCAGTAGTGGGATTGCTGGTCAAATGGTAGTTCTACTTTTAGTTCTTTAAGGAATCTCCACACTGTTTTCCATAGCGGCTGTACTAGTTTACATTCCCACAAACAGTGTAGAAGTGTTCCCTGATCACCGCATCCATGCCAACATCTACTGTTTTTTGACTTTTTTGATTACGGCCATTCTTGCAGTAGTAAGGTGGTATCACATTGTGGTTTTGATTTGCATTTCCCTGATCATAAATGATGTTGAGCATTTTTTCATATGTTTGTTGGCCATTTGTATATCTTCTTTTGAGAATTGCCTATTCATGTCCTTTGCCCACTTTTTGATGGGATTGTTTGTTTTTTTTCTTACTGATTTGTTTGATTTCCTTGTAGATTCTGGATATTAGTCCTTTGTCAGGTGTATAGATTGTGAAGATTTTCTCCCACTCTGTGGGTTGTCTGGTTACTCTGTTGACTGTTCCTTTTGCCGTGCAAAAGCTCTTTAGTTTACTTAAGTCCCAGCTATTTAACTTTTTTATATTGCATTTGCTTTTGGGTTCTTGGCCATGAAATCCATACCTAAGCCAATGCCTAGAAGGATTTTTCCAATGTTTTCTTCTAGAATTTTTATAATTTCAGGTCTTAGATTTAAGTCCTTAATCTATCTTGAGTCGATTTTTGTATAAGGTGAGAGATGAGAGTCCAGTTTCATTCTCCTACATGTGCCTAGCCAATTATCCCAGCACCATTTGTTGAAAAGGGTGTCCTTTCCCCATTTTGTTTTTGTTTGCCTTTACGAAGATCAGTTGGTTGTAAATATTTGGGTTTATTTCTGGGTTCTCTATTCTGTTCTGTTGGTCTACGTGTCTATTTTTATACCAGTACCATGCTGTTTTGGTGACTATGGCCTTATAGGATAGTTTGAAATCAAGTAATTTGATGCCTCCAGATTTGTTCTTTTTGTATCAGATTTGTTATTTTTGCTTAGTCTTGCTTTGGCTATGTGGGCTCTTCTTTGGTTCTATATGAATTTTAGAATTTTTTTTCTAATTCTTTGAAGAATGATGGTAGTATTTTGGTGGGGATTGCATTGAATTGGTAGATTGCTTTTGGCAGTATGATCATTTTCACAATATTGATTCTACCTATTCATGAGCATGGGATGTGTTTCCATTTGTTTATGTTGTCTGTGATTTCTTTCAGCAGTGTTTTGTAGTTTTCCTTGTAGAGGTCTTTCAACTCCTTTGTTAGGTATATTCCTAAGTATTTTATTTTTTATTTTTTATTTTTTTCTGCAGCTATTGTAAAAGGGGTTGAGTTCTTGATTTGATTCTCCTCTTGGTCATGATTGGTACAGTATAAAAGAGGTACTTATTTGTGTACATTAATCTTGTATCCAGAAACTTTGCTGAATTCTTTTATTAGTTCTAGGGGCTTTCTGGAGGAGTCTTTAGGGTTTTTGAGGTAAACAGTGACAGTTTGAATTCCTCTTTACCAATTTGGATGCCCTTTATTTCTTTCCCTTGTCTGATTGCTCTGTCTAGGACTTCCAGTACTATGTTGAAGAGGAGTGGTAAGAGTGGACATCTTGTCTTGTTCCAGTTCTCAGAGGGAACACTTTCAGCTTTTCCCCATTCAGTATTATGTTGGCTGTGCGTTTGTCATAGATGGCTTTTATTACATTGAGGTGTGTCCTCTGTATGCCGATTTTGCTGAAAGCGTTAATCATAAAGGGATGCTGACTTTTGCTTTTTTGCATCTATTGAGATGATCATGTGATTTTTGTTTTTAATTCTGTTTATGTGGTGTATAAGCTTTATCGACTTGTGTATGTTAAATCATCCCTGAATCCCCAGTATGGAACCCATTTGATCATGGTAGATTATCTTTTTGATGTTGTTGGATTTGGTTAGCTAGTATTGTGTTAAGGATTTTAGCATCTACGTTCATCAGGGATATCAGTCTGTAGTTTTCTTTTTTGATTATGTCCTTTCCTGGTTTTGGTATTAGGGTGATGCTGGCTTCATAGAATGGATTAGGGAGGGTTCCCTCTTTCTCTAACTTGTGGAATATTGTCAAAAAGATTGGTACCAATTCTGCTTTGAATGTCTGGTAGAATTCTGGTGTGAATCGGTCTGGTCCTGGGCTTTTTTTTTTTGTTGGTAATTTTTTAGTTCCTATATTGTTTTTAAGAAGTCCAGTGAATTCTTGCCCTGAAATGGCCTAGGAATTTGTGTTCCTAATTTCCTTAGACTTTTTTTTAATGCAACCAATAAACCTACAGGATTGAGAAAAACAACACATTCGTTGGCTCTGCAACCAGATCAAGACTGAATATTTGATATGTACAAAAAAGTTATTTTTCTCTCTTCAGATAATAGAATAGGCCAGTTTAGCAGGTAAGGAAGTCCAGATGCCTTTAATAGGGTCGCATTTTTTGATCCCACATACCTGTGCACCCTGAATTTCAAGGGTGTGGAAACATCAGCTCGTCTCACAGAGTTGTGGAATGGGATGCTGCAGGACAAGAAGGGAATCATCTTCTGATTCCCTGGCCATGTAGGTGAGATGAATCTTGTATTAAGTGTGCATTTTTAAAATTTTTGTTTGGGATGGGCACGTTCACTCACACCTGTAATCGCAGCACTTTGGGAGCTCAAGGGAGGTAGATCCCTTGAGTACAGGAGTTTGAGACCAGCCTGGGCAATGCGGCGAAACCCTGTCTCTATAAAAAGTACAAAAGTTAGCCAAGTGCAGTGGCATGTACCTATAGTCCAAGCTACTCAGGAGGCTGAGGCAGGAGGATTGCTTGAGCCCAGGAGGCAGAGGTTGCAGTGAGCTGTCATCGCGCCACTGCACCCCAGCCTGGGTGACAGAGCCAGACTCTGTTTCAAAAAAATCAAAAACAAAAAATTAAAAACTTAAAAAAGGTACAATGTAATTTCTGTTTGCTGAAAATTAGGATTTCATGACAAAGAATCCAAAAGCAAATGCTTTGACATCTGGGATCTTGCTGACAAGGGAGTGACTGCCCCACCTGGGGTTAGGTAATTCCTAGAGATAGCAAAAGACTGCACTCCTTTCATATATAAAATACCCACCTGGAGCCTAGACCCCAACAACCTTCTTGGTGAGTATCTTATACTCAGGGATACTATATACCTGCCCTAATTACCCCAGGGCCAGGTACCAGAAAACTGGAGAATACACCTACACCAAAGGGCTGGCTGAAATTATTCCAACTAATCGATCCTATTCCTATTTACCCTACCTCCCTTGTTAGTTGCCATAGTAACCATAGTGAAAGCTCTTACCCGCACCATCCCCTCACTCCCTCTGCGTTTTAACTTACCCGGCTTCCAATTGCCCCTGTGCTGTGTGCCCTACCTCTCGGGAACTGTAACAATCCATCTGTTTAATGGTAGCTGATCTGTTGGTCTCACTCTCCCTGAATCACAATAAAAGTTGCATTTTAAAACACTCTTTGAATAGAAACCTCAAATTAGGTCAGATGGTTATATAATTGTCTGCTTATTCTCCATAATGGGGTGGGGGGGAAGCATTGAGCTCCGGGCATAAAACCCAACACCTTAATGAATGATCATGATGTTCCATGTTTTTTCTTTGCCTTCGACTGTGTAGGTCAGAACTGCAGGTGTGATAAATTAATTTATTTTTCACCAGCCCAGCTGCCAGTGTTGCTGACCAGCAAGCCCTCAGCCTACAAGGTCTCCATCCAGGTGCCTTTTGATGAGGTTCCAGCTTTCAGGAAAAAAAATGACCTTGAAGGCCAGGATGACAGAAACAAATTCCAAAGCTAATGGATGACCCTGGAGTCCTCCACTGGCCAGAGAAAGGGACTCTCAGAGCCTTAACTTAATGACTCCAGCTTGCATTCACTAAAGCCTCAAGCAGCTACAACAGATGTCTCAAGATTTCCAAAAAGAGCTGTTGGTAAATGTGATCTATCCACTGACGTAATTATGCTCATTCTAGCAAAGAAAAACATATATTTGTTTCAAAGAACGTCCATCAGGGAGCGTGCAGCATAATAAACTGTGAAAAATCTCTATTTCTTTTGTGGATAAAATAAACTAAAATATTGAGTGTTAGTTGCAAGAGGAGAATCAAGACATATTTCTCTGTGTGATCTATTGGGGATAAATTGGTTTCTGGAAGATACAATAAATCCAGACTGGCCTCTGAATTCCAGGACGAACATGAACACATTTCTTAGAAATCTCATCTCCACAATTTCATCAGAAAATGACTTTTGCTTCACCTGCCAGCCAGAAAATTATAGGTTTCAAAACACTCTTATTTCTGCAATAATTTACAACAACTATGTTAAGTTACCCTAACTTGTACTTACTTAGTCAAATGATAGTTAAGTTAAAATTGTATTTATCCCAAGCAAAACTGAAATAGAATTTCAATGGAAATATAATTAATATGGAGTAAAGACTTGTCCAGTTATTTTATAGAATCATTTCTTAGAAGTAGAATTACTGAGTTGAAGATTTGCACAGTCTTTAAGGCTTTTAACCTGTTTTGACCATTTTTCTGATGGAGGCCGTACCCATTTCCCATCCAGGTGTGTACATGGGCCTGTTTCTCTATACCCTTAGAGAGATACTGGGGCAGATGCCTCTCTCTATGCATAGCTGCCTCCTTGATTTCAGATTAGCGATAGTTATAATCCCAGAGGCTCCAAACTCCATCAGTGACCAACTCAAGTTTCCTCCGTGAGGAGGAGATTCCAGCACATGCGCTGGTTCAAAGTCAGCCCTCAGCTGCAGGCAGGGAGGCCAGAGTTCCTCCCAGAGTGGGGAAGACTTGATCCAACCCGTCCTCCAGGAGCGCTTGAGAACAGGGAAAAAAAATTAATCCCAGTTTCTTTCATTCCAGTAAAGTTCTTGCTTTTTACTCTCCCCTGACAGTTCCATTTAATGAAAAGGAAAATCGTTATGCCAAGAGGTTAATTTATGTATCACAGCAAGAAAACTGCTTTTTCAAGGGAGAACATTAACAATAAATAAAACCTAGACTTTTTTTTGATATCACAGATGTGCCAGGAAGGCAAAAAAGAAATAAAATATGCAAAATTTAAAGACAGGTAATATTGAAGAAGTTCAAATCATTTGACCCTCTAAAATATTCTAATTAAAGTGCCATGTACATGTAGAAGCTTGCCTGTATCCTCACCGCCCACCTGGTGAGTGTTCACAATTGAACACACCTGTGTCACTCAAACTGTACTGGAGAGACAGAACACACTCAGCCCGCAGAGGCCTTCCTCATCTCCCCTTCCTCTAACCACGTCTACCTGACTGCCCATAGGCAGCAACTCCCAACAAAAAGATACATTTTGCTTGTTTGTGCTTTATGTAAATGGATTTATACAGTATACATAGTAGGTATAATTATTGCAGAAATAAGAGTGTTTTGAGACATAATTTTCTGGCTGGCAGGTTCTGGCTTTGTTCATTCAGCATTGTATCTATTCATGTCATTCATATTTTTACATGCAATTTTATTGTATCATTATTTTTGAGATGGAGTTTCACTCTGTCACCCAGACTGGAGTGCAATGGCGAGATCTCGGCTTACTGCAACCTCTGCCTCCTGGGTTCAAGTGATTATCCTGCCTTGGCCTCCCAAGCAGCCAGGAATACAGACACCCACCACCATGTATGGCTGATTTTTGTATTTTTAGCAGAGACAGGGTTTCACTATATTGGCCAGGCTGGTATCAAACTCCTGACCTCAAGTGATTCACCTGCCTCAGCCTCCCAAAGCACTGGGATTACGGGCATGAGCCACCGTGACTGGCCTTTACGTGCAATTTTAGATTACCCATACTCATTGTTGAATAGTCTATTTAATTATATAAGCTATATGTATATAATGTTATATATAATTTTATGTATATATACACATATACCACAAACTACCATTTGGAAATTTGGGTAGTTTCTGGCTTCTGGCTGTTACAAATACTGGTTTCTCAAACATTCTAGTACATGAATTTTGGCAAAATTATGCACAAAAAATTGTGTTGATAATAGATTTAGCAGTGGGGCTGATGGGTAACAGAGTATGTACATGTTTAGCTTTGGTAGGTGCTAACTTTAATAGAGAGTACTAAACAATTTTCAAAGGGGTGGTATTAATTTCATTTTTAATTTTATTTTTAAAATAATATTTAAAACTTTATTTTACCAATTATTTGCTTGAATAAACTTATTGCCTGTTAGATTTTATTATCTTACCTTGTTCCAGGTATGTGAATTTTCTGAAATCCATATATACGCACTTAATCCCACTGGGCACTAAACTCTGTTTGTAGAGTAAACGTAACATCTTTTATGATATACTTCTCTGGAGCTAGATCCTGGCTGTGACTCTCACCAGCTTTGTGATGTTGGGCAAGATATTTAATCTCTTTGAGGAGTGTTCCCATCACTAAAGTTGAGATAATGATGCTTTTCTCATAGGTTGTTGCAATGACGAGGTGAGTTGTTGTGTGTGACATTGTTGGAAGAGTGCACGGTGTCTTGCCTTGGCTTTATGTGCTTGCTTCTGTTAGTTCTTAAAGAAGGAGTCTGAAAGGAGTTCTTCTAAATAGCAAAGGTGATGCAATTTTCTATGCGTTTTTATGGTAGAAAAATGTGAAAATAACGTATTTTTTAAAACTTTGACAATGCCCTTTGAAAATACTATTTATGAGTGAGAACATGCGGTGTTTGGTTTTCTGTCCTTGTGATAATTTGCTCAGAATGATGGTTTCCAGCTTCATCCATGTCCCTGCAAAGGACACGAACTCATCCTTTTTATGGCTGCATAGTATTCCATGGTATATGAGAAAACACAGTGTTATGGAAAGAACCGGAGTCAGGAGTGAAGGAGGTCATGGCCAGCTCACCTCTGCCACTGTTCGGATGACCTCTCCTGTAGTCTCCTTGGTTTCATGTGTGATACGAAAATAAGAAGACCTCAGGATGTAAGGAGGTGGGGATGATGCCTACTTGGGTTCTCTTTGGAGGGGAGGACGCAACAGTCCTCGTTCTTACCATTTTGCCCCAAGTTGCAGATATTGTCAGTGACCTAACCAAAAGTCTTTCCCCCTTCTTCTTGTCTCTGGTCAGGTGTTAGGATTAATGCCCTCATCTCCAAGAAGGTAGCCCCAGTCTGTAGGAGATGAATTTTGATTGGATGAAGCCATTCGCTTCAGCCACTTTTCCTTTGCCAGTGATTGGTGGTATAGCAGTGGGCATGTGACCTCCAGTGAGGCATAAGAGGAAGTCAGTTGGCGGGTTCCAGGAAAGGCCTGTTCTTTCATAGAAGAAAGGACTACCTGAGGAGTGGTCACTATTTCTGTCCTTCTGTCTTTTGGGTTTTGGAAGCTGTCATGTGAAGGCCTTTGGTCAATGAATACTGAATTATACTGAGGCTGTCTTATGCATTCTGGGATTCCTGCGTGTTTTCCCCCTTCATCTCCTCTAAATCCGAGGAACTTGTGATGTTCTGGGCATAAGGGATGTGGGATAGAGGGGAAGCTCCTTCCTTTCCATTCTTGATCTGTCTCGGAGGACGTTTGCTCTATTTTTTTCTTTCCCATTTCCCATGCAGATGTCTTCTGTGTCTTCTCTTTCATCCACTGGAGGGTTGCCATTGCATCTCTTGGCCTCTATTTCTACCCTACTATCTTTCTTAGTAACATGGAAATTATTCTGCTATTCTCACAAGATGCTGGTTTCCAGAAAACCCAACGGACTAGGCTGGGACAAAAGATGCTCTATCACGCTGTCTCAGGTTCATCTGCAAAGACACACATAGGACCCAGCCACCTCTATCCCTGGATTACATCACCAAAGTCCATTTCAGTTCCACTTGGGATCTACCCAGGAAAGGAAATACCCACATTGTCTGCACTTGGATTTCCTGAACTTATCTCTCCTTCCTTTGGAGGTATGTCAAAGAAGTCTGACCAAAATAGATTTTTAGGGTTTAAAACCGGGATGGGCTGTGGTAAGCCATGATCGCACCACTGCACCCCAGCTTGGGCAATAGAGCAAGACCCCATCTCAAAACAAAATGAAACAAAGCAAAGCAAAGCAAAACAAACAAACTAGAGAAGAAAGGTTCTTGATTGTATGGAGCTTTGCAGCAGCTGCTGGAGAGAAGAAAAAGTAAAAGGAAAAACTGTGTAGGGAGCAGTTATTCTGATAAACATTCCATATCTGGAATCTGCTAGTCTCCTTGTGAATTATTTATATCTTGGTCTGATTTTGCAGCTCATTTGAAATGTTTCTTAATTTTCCCAATGATAAGAACATAAAACATCTCCCTGGGGAAACTCTAAGAGTTGGCTTGGAAGTCAAGGGTGTCTGTGTAGGGGTCCACAATAGTGTTTGGATGCATAGTCTTAAATATTTATGAAAGTATTAATAAGTTAATCTTTCTTTGCTGCTGTTATCAGATGGTAAGGCCAGACCTCTAGCACAGACTTTCCTTTGGCCTTAATCACCCGAAAGAAAAATTGTATTTTCTGTTTCCTCTGTGGAATAAGAAGCAAAATTCTAAAAAGGAAAAATAATTGCCCTCTTGACTCCAGACTTTCTGCCCAAGGAACCTTCTCCTGATTAAGTTTTTAAAGAATCCTTACTGCAGCCATTCTGGGTGTCTTCCATTTAATTTCCTCCCTCCTTGTGTTTTCCCAGGAGTTCTAATTTGCGAGCTGTCTGCTTCTGAGCAATTGATTCCCCTTGGAAGCCCCATGACATGCATCACTCCCTGTCAGAGTTTCCAGATAAAATACAGGACAGGCAGTGAGATCTGAATTTCAGACCAACCATGAATACATTTTTAGTACAAGTATATCCCAAATATTTCATGGGGACGTACTTACACTAAGGAAAAAAAAAATCATTGTATCTGTCAGTAGTAAGCCCTGAATTTGGGAAAAGCAGAGTATAGAGTTGATGTGGCCTTGAGGAAGCACATTCGCTGGAGAAAGAGAAGGGGAGCAAGGGATTAGGTGGGCATTTTGGATTGGACAGATTGAGTGGTTTCATCCATCTCTGCTCACTGCCTAATTAATACATGAGGGAAACAGAGAAAAGAAGGAGGCTTGCTCAGTTTGCTGTGTCCATCTTTCACACTTTTCCCAGCTTCCTCTACCTAATACCATTCATTTGCTAAAATAGATGACAGCCAGAGGCAATATTTAAAGAGTATCTGGATAGCTGCCTCTGTGAAAAGAGCGATCGCTCTCTCATTTCTGCTCTGTAGCTGAGCCTTGTTTGTGGGCTCAAAGCAGGTGATGTCTCAAATCCATATATTTTTCATTTACTAAAATGTTACTAAAGTGTGCTTTTCTTCTGCCCCTTAAGGCTTACTTCTCTCCATTCTCTTATGGTGCTGGATCTTTTCATAAGCGCACACGTGATTTTTGTGCCCCCGACTGACTCACCTGTGAATGAGAAAATAACTAGCCAGGGCTGGTATGTTGCTACCAACAGGTCTAAAGAATCTACTTGGGTGAGCTGGTCAATGTGTATTCACCCAGACCTGGTGGTCTGGGGGTGGAGAAGGGTGTAGGTGGACAGTGGTTCCTCTGCATGGCGGCTCTGCTGCAGTAAGCTCAGCTCTCTGCATCCGGCTCTGATGTGGTCTCTTCCCCATGGTGGTAGACCACGTGATCAGGCCAGGACCCTTCTGCTATGTCAGGGGGAGCATTGGCCACACAGTGTCTGTGTCTGCATGGTCTCCTGGCTGCACCTGCCTGGGAGTGTCCATCAGTTCCTGCTTCATCAGCTGTTGATTTGCTAAAGAAGTGGACTCTCCAGAAAGACGTGCCCACTCCCTTGAGTGTCCGCTCCTTTCTCATGCTCTGATATATATGAGATGTCCCCTCCAAATCTCATGTTGAATTGCAGTCCCCAGTGTTGGAGGTGGGCCTGGTAGGAGGTAATTGGATTATGGGGGCGGATCCTTCATGGCTTGGTGCTGTCTTCACAATAGTGAGTTCGTTCTTGCACGATCTGATGATTTAAAAGTGTGCAGCACCTCCTCACACTCTTGCTGCCATTCTTGTCATGAGAGACACCTGCTTTCCCTTCTTCTTCCGCCATGAGTAAAAGCTCCCCAAGGCCTCCCCAGAAGCTGAGCAGATGCCAGCACCATGCTTTCCTGAACAGCCTGCAGAACTGTGAGCCAATTAAATATCTTTTCTGTATACATTACTCAGCCTCAGGTATTTTTTATAGTAGTGCAAGAACAGCCTAACCATGCCCTTCCCCTCCAAAGTGGGGCATGACCATGAGCTCTGCCCTGATAGCTGCTCTGGCTGATACCCTTCTAAATGCACACACCTGAAACGTTTATTCAAACTGGCTGAAAAAAAAAGAAATCATTTTTTGTAATGTATTTTTCTTGTACCTATAGAAGAATAAAATTTTGCCTCTGATAACTGCTGTCCTACTCCCTGGGAAACACATTTGCTCAGACCAACTTACATAACAGTCTTATTGCTGAACCCATTCCTGCTGGGGGAGAGAGGTGGAATTGCACTTATCAGCTATACCTGTGCGGTGTACCTCCTTTTTTGCAGTGTTTTCTCCCCCTCTCCTTTCTGCTTTCCTCCCTTCTCTCTATCAAAGCTCCTAAAATCATCTTTAGATAAAATCAGACTTCCTCCAATTCAGCACCAGGAAGATTCTATCCAATGATTTCCCTGCCTGGATCTTATTTCAGCTCCTCCTGAGCTCCAGTTATGATCATGTCCGCTAAATGATACCCTTCCCTCTTCTTCTGCACTGGAGCCGAACCTGTGTTTGTTCCAGGTGCCACTGTGTTTGAAATAGTGCCAGCGTATTATTAATAACAACCCTTAAAATTGTTTCTGTGTGAAATATCCTCTCTTATCAATGACACAACAGGCTGCCTGTGGAAATGCTTAGATTTTTCACGTATTTTTGGTGAATTTTCCCTTGTTGCTATAACAGACACTCTCACATCCATCGCAGTGTTATTTCAGTTGTTTGAGGCACCTCCATACTGTTCTCCATAATGACTGTACCAATTTACAGTCCCATCAACCGCAGACAGGGTCCCTTTCCTCTACCTCCTCGCCAGCACCTCTCTCTTGTCTTTTGGATAATAACTATCCTAACATGTGAGAAGTGGAATCTCATTGTGTGCCAAGAATATGCAAAGGAGAAAGGAAAGTCTCTTCAATAAATGGTTTGCAGTAAATCGGTTATTCACATGCAAGTCAATGAAATCGGATCCTCATCTTACACCATATAAAAATTAACTAGAAATGAATTAAAGATGTACATGTAGAATCTAAAATGATAAAATGCCTAGGAGAACACGTAGGAAGAAAAGCTCTTTACACTGGCCTTGGCAATGATTTTTTTCTCCCTTTGGACACCAAACAAAGGCAGCATAACATGAAAAGCATAGACCATAAAAACAAAAATAAACAAGTGAGACCACATCAAAGTAAGAAGCTGCTGCACAGCAAAGGAAACAACCAGCACAATTCATAAAATCAGTGGTCCAGTCCTTCAACCTCTCTTTTCATTTTCTCATGGATAATAGTGGCTCTAGATATCCCAGTCCTGGAGGTCTCAAATGTGGTGATGGGTGTGAGAGTTTTGCAAAGGGAAGTCCAGGTATTTGGTGTGGTGGAGAAGATGATGTGA
This sequence comes from Homo sapiens, assembly GCF_000001405.40. NCBI lineage: Eukaryota > Metazoa > Chordata > Mammalia > Primates > Hominidae > Homo > Homo sapiens. The sequence continues at coordinate 127,853,826 of NC_000012.12, read as the reverse complement.
AAACGCTAATGATCATCTGGTGCCCTTGGATGCTTCTGTGCTTGGTTGGTTGCTCTCCATGTGCCCGCACTGCAATCGTTCCCTCTATGAGTGCACACAACATGAATGACATCTCCTTTTCAACAGAAAGTGTAGTCTTAGGACTTCTGGTCTGAGAAGTTGTTTCTAAGACCTGGCATTGGGATTCTTCAGATTTCACACCCTTTTTCAACTACGTTGTTGTAGTCAAGATAATTTGGGTTATGTTCTGGTAACTCTCTATCTCCAAAATCCTAGAGGCATAGAGCCTCACCACAAAGGCTGATTTCTCCTTTATGCTGTGTGCCCATTGGGTGTAGGCCCTGAGTTCTCTGTGCCACGTTGGCCCCACCCCAGGACCCTGGCTATGGCAGCAGCTCTGTTGGAAAACACAGGTGTTCACAGCAGAATGAAAGAGGAAAGATAGCAAAGAATGCATGGGACACTTTTGTGCTCATTTCCTTGGCCGATGCAAGTCATGCAACTATCCTTAATTTCAAGAGGGTTTGGAGGGGTGTTCCTACCATGTGCCTGGGGAAGAGAGCCAGACAGAATGTGTCCCAAAGACAATCACACTCAAAACAATTGCCCCTCACAAAGGGTGCTGCTTGGAGCTGACTTTCTCCACCCCTCTCTTCACCTGAGCTGAACAGCAAGTTTGTCGTGGATAAATGATATCTCAGGAGGGTCCAGCTGCCTTGGCGAAGTGAGAAGTAAGGGAGATGGCATCCTGGGTTTGTTTTCAGTGTCCTAGATCTCTCCCCTCTGTGCAGCTGCAATGGGCACACATAGTCGCACTGACCTTGTATCTAATGAGGGCACCCAAAATAGTATCCCAAGCAGGGCTCCTCAAAAGCTGCAGCTGCAAAGGCCAGAAGAAAAGGTTGCCATGGAGCTGGGGTTAGAGAAAGGAGTCAAGGCCCTCGTGCTGAGGAATGTAGATTGGGGACCTTCATTGTGTGATTTTGAAATAGTAACTTGAAAGAGCTTGCCCCATCTGTGAGTTTTTGCAAGCAAACATGTGAGATGTATTTGACAAAGGAAGAAAACAATGGAAGTTTCTGCTAAATTACATAATCTCCCTTGAAATCACTGTAATTGTGGCTTCAAGATCCCCGAATGACCTTCTTTGGTCGTCACCTGCCTCTGATTAATCTGCAGTAAACAATGGCTGTCGTTGATAAATCAGGCCAGATATGCTGCCCTAAAATTAAATAGAAAACAAAAGAACTTGGAGATGTGATCATTGTGCCAGTGGGGATGAAAGGATACGCCTTACTGCCCACAACAGGGGGATGGTTCTTGAAGCTGCCTGTGGCCTTAAGGAAGTCTAATATGGTTAGGGTTTGTGTCCTCACCCAAATCTCATCTTGAATTGTAATCCCATGTGTTGAGGGAGGAACCTGGTGGAAAGTGATTGGATCGTGGGGGCAGCTTTAAAACCCCATGCTGTTCTAATAATAGTGAGTGAGTTCTCACAAGATTTGATGGTTTTATAAGTTTGGCAAGTTCCTCCTTGGCTCACTCTTCTCTCTCCTGCCACCATGTGAAGAAGGTCCTTGCTTCCCCTTCACCTTCCACCATGATTGTAAGTTTCATGAGGCCTCCCCAGCCATGCTGAACTGTGAATACATTAAACCTCTTTTCTTTATAAATTACCCAGTGTCAGGTATTTCTTCATAGCAATGTGAGAAGGGACTAATACCTAGTCCTTCTTTTCTTCTGTGTGGTTCTGAAACTAAATATAATTTAATGCACTCTTACTAAATCCACATTAAAATGATGCTTGGCCCAATGGGTCGACATCATGCTATAAATCCTCTAGGGAAAAGTGTTTGACTGGAATACACAGAGTTTTCCTCACTGGCAACAATGTGCTTTAAACCCTTTAGGCATTCCTTTCCTGCTTTCCAAAAATGTCCATTCACTTTGTGTCACATCTGTCTTTTTTGGTAAACCAGCTGTTTGTCCATTACCTCATTTGCATCAATAAACTCCTTGGACTGGTCACTTACATCTTTAATTTCATGTCATTTTAAAACACTCTGTAGCACATTGGATGTCACTATAAGTTGAATTTCTTCTGTCAGAGAAAATGATGTAAAGTCATAGAGGTAATTTCAACGTATAAAATCAAAGTTGGAGTCTAGGAGTCAGAGTTTTTATTTACAAAAAAAGGAGAAAGTCCTGTTTAGCTTGGTTGCCCTTTTTTAGTGACACTCTCTTGAGTTCTGAAGCAGTCTTTCTGAGAAAAAGGAATTTTTTTCTTTCCTGTGAGAACTACTGTCACAACTTGTACACATAACATAGAAAAAGTCAAGTGCATCGGTCCCTTCTTTTATAAGCTTCTTATATCCTCTTCAAAGATCATCAAACAGTTTTAGAAAAACCCACATAGGTTCTTGTTTCAAAGTTATACTTTTCTGTATCCTCATTCTCAATGTATTTACAGACTAGAGAAGGACGTTCTCCTTGCCCCGCCCTTTGGACACATATTATGGCAGGCTGACATCTTAGTATCATTTTGTGGATTTTCTGGGGTACATGTGTAAGAAGGCTATCTTCTTTCATTTTTATAAAGTTAAAAAAAAAAAAAGAAAAGCAAAAACATAGAAAGTACTTCTGCAAATGTTGAGGAACCTGAAAATTGACTAAACATTTTTTAGGATTAAAGCCTCTATGTCATAGGTAAGTAAATAATATTTCTCTCTTTCTTTTTTTCCTTTTTTTTTTTTTTTTTTTTTTGAGATGGAGTCTTGCTCTGTTGCCCAGGCTGGAGTGCAGTGGCACGATCTCGGCTCACTGCAAGCTCTGCCTCCTGGTTTCACGCCATTCTCCTGACTCAGAGTCCCGAGTAGCTGGGACTACAGGCGCCTGCCACCATGCCCGGCTAATTTTTTGTATTTTTTTTTTTTAATAGAGATGGGGTTTCACCATCTTAGCCAGGATGATCTCGATTTCCTGACTTAGTGATCTGCCTGCCTTGGCCTCCCAAAGCGCTGGGATTACAAGTGTGAGCCACCACGCCCGGCCAGTAAATATTTCTTTTTAGCAGTATTGTGTACAAAATGTTCAAGACTTTAGCAGATAATAACTATTATTTTATTTGCTAAGAATTTACAGACTGAGTGAAATTTGTCAACATTTATATTTGCACACTGGCTGAATCTGCAGATAAATGAGTAAAATCTAGTTGGTATTTTGACAAGATGCAAAAATAAATCTGTTCTCTGATGATTTCTATGGCTTTATTAAAATCCTCACATTGCCCAAACTCAAACTATACTACAGGGTACACAGTAACCAAAACAGCATGGTACTGGTGTAGAAACAGAAACATAGACCAATGGGACAGAAGAGAGGGCCCAGAAATAATGCTGCACACCTACAACCATCTGCTCTTCAAAGAAGCTGATAGAAACAAGCAATGGAGAAAGGACTTCCTATTCAGTAAGTGGTGCTGGGATAACTGGCCAGCCGTGTGCAGAAGATTGAAACTGGATCCCTTCCCTAAACCACACACAAAAATCAACTCAAGATGAATTAAAGACTTAAATGTAAAACCTAAAACTATAAAAACCCAGGAAGATAACCTAGGAAGTACCAGTCTGGACAGATGAATTAGCGAAGATTTTATGACAAAGATGCCGAAAGCAACTGTGACAAAAGCAAAAATGGACAAATGGAATCTAATCAAACTAAAGAGCTTCTGCACAGCTAAAGAAACTATCAACAGAGTAAACAGCCTACAGAATGGGAGAATATTTTGGCAAACTATGCATTCGACAAAGGTCTAATATCCAGCATCCATAAGGAACTTAAACAAATTTACAAGAAATAACAATCCCAATAAAAAGTGGGCAAAGGACGTGAACAGACACTTTTCAAAAGAAGAAATACATGCAGTTAACAAACATATGAAAAAATGATCAATATCACTAATTACTAAAGAAATGCAGAATAAAACCACAGTTAGATATTATCTCACAGCAGTCAGAATAGCTATCATTAGTAAGTCAAAAAATAACAGACTCTGGCGAAGTTGCAGAGAAAAGTGAACACTTATATATCGTTGGTTGCAGTGTAAATCAGTTCAACCATTGTGGAAAGCAGTGTGGCAATTCCTCAAAGAGCTCAAAACAGAACTACCATTGGACACAGCAATCCTATTACTGAGTATATACCCAAGGAATAGAAATCATACCACCGTAAAGATACACACACACATGTTTTTATTGCAGCACTGTTTACAATAGCAAGACATGGAATCACCCTAAATGTCCATCAATGATAGACTGGATAAAGAAAGTGTGTAATGTATACCATGAAATACTATGCAGCCATACAAAAAGAACGAGTCTTGTCCTTTGCAGGAACATGGATGGACCCAGAGGCCATTATCCTTAGCAAATTAACAGAGGAAGAGAAAACCAAATACCATATGTTCTCATTTATAAGTGGGAGCTAAATAATGAGAACCAATGACACGAAGAAGGGAAGAAGAGAAATGGCCTACTTGAGGGAGAAGGTTGAGAGGAGGGAGAGGATCAGGAAAAATAAGTATCAGGTACTAGGCTTCGTACCTGGGTGACAAAATGGTCTGTATACCAATCCCCTGTGACGTAAGTTTGCCTGTATTAACAAACCTGCACATGTACCCCTGCACCTAAAATAAAAGTTAAAAAAAAATCTTCAACAAAACCAAGAAAACAATTTGAAACTCTATTTTTTAAAGCAAACTGCAGGGCCAGGCAAGGTGGCTCATGCCTGTAATCCCAGCACTTTGGGATGTTGAGGTGCCTGGATCATTTGAGGCCAGGAGTTCAAGACCAGCCTGGCCAATGTGGCAAAACCCCATCTCTACTAAAAATACAAAAATTCACTGGAAGGTAGTGGTGCACACCTGTAGTCCCAGCTATTCGGGAGGCTGAGGCAGGAGAATTGCTTGAACCCGGGAGGCAGAGGTTGCAGTGAGCCAAGATCGCGCCACGGCACTCCAGCCTGGGTGACAGAGTAAGACCCTGTCTCAAAATAAAAAAATAAAGCAAACTGCATCAGAGCTGGGGGGAAATTCTTCTGTTCTGATTTTAACACATCATTTGATATACTGCAGAAAGCATGATAAAATCAGTTCTACAGATAAAGGGCCAACATATCTGGTATCAAAATTTTGTTGTTTGCCTAAAGGACATGTTAGTTGCAATCTCTGAAATAGAAAATGTAGCTTTTCTCAGTCCTAGTACAATTAAGGGGATGGAATGTTGATATATGTATGCTTGTGTGGTTTGCTAAGCGAATTCAGTGGCCACTATTTTCACTTGAGCGTTGGTGGCTCCTGAAAGACAAAAATACTTTTGATTGATGTGGAAGTACTTGCCTGGCTCATCTTGGACTTAGGAGATTGAATTTCCATATGCATTCTGATATCCTCTACCATGCCCAATCCAAAATTCTTTTGTGCTTATTGTGCAGTATGCTTTTTGTTAATAATTTATCTGCTAATCCACCTTTTTTTTTGGTGATGTCTGGTCATATGGTATTGGTATTGCAATTGATATCATTCTTATCATCTAAACTCTTGAAAACATAGTCATAATTTTCACATTGTTAAAAAATGAATATCAAACTATAGTTACTTTGACACAAAGAACAACAGTTATTCTACAGGCAAAGCCAAAGATGGGCTGGTAACATCACGATGACAACACACTTCCAGTTGCACGCTTCAGTCTCATCGCTCAGAGTGAGTAAAGATGCTGCTTTTGGTCCTAATTTTTCAGTGCAGACTTGGGGTTTTGTACTTTTCTCCTAACCTTACATTCTTATTGCCAAAAATCAGGACATTTTGTCCTGTGGGAGAGATTTTCTGGGACTTTTACTGCTAATAATGGGACAATACTGCACAGATAGGGCTGGTTCGTCACCCCATGAACTGCAGGATGGAAGAGAGCTGTCTTGCTCACATCAGGCCTAACTGAGAAATAAACCTTAATTGTGTCAAGCTACTGATTATTCAGGGTTTGTCTGCTGAGAAAGAGGATATCATCACCTTTACTATTGCCAAACACCTCTTTGTTTCTACTACCTTTCTCCAAGTCCAAGCAACCCATGGAGATATGGCCATTATCCAGACATCAAAATCCAAGGATAGCACCTGTGAGCTTAAGCCAAAGGATGTTATCGAGTAGGAGAAATTTAAGTTCCCAAACTCTAGAATAGGTGGTGTACCTTCTAAATGCCATTTCTCCCAGTCCCAAGGAGAAATGATGCTACCTGGGCTAGATGGGATGAATTATAGTCACATAGGATAAGCAGGTTTAATAAATCATAAGGAACTTTACCAATGGTGGTTGTACTGTGAATTAAACTAGAGCCAGCAGCCTGACATTTCATACACCTTAAATTAAGAATAATGGGTTCTTCTTTAGCCAGCTACACAATAGATAATATAAAATATCAGACCCCAAATGGATTTTATAAGTGATTGAATTTTAATTCCTGTAATTTACTTCAAACATTTCTTGGGTGGCTTCTGTGTTTGAGAGACTGAGATAAACCATGGTGACTTAGAAGTAAATGATGCACTCTCCTTTTTCTCTCTCTGTCTCTATTTTTCTCTCTTTCTAATATGAATATGTATGAGAAATAATATATATATTTCCTTATACATATATTACATATGCATATGCATATATAAACGTGTGCACATTTAAGGTAAAATTCACATTATATAAAATTGACTGTTAACCATTTTCAAGGGAACAATTAAGTGGCATTTAGGATACTCACAATGTTAGGCAACCATCTCCTCTATAGAACTCTAAGACATTTTCATTATTCCAAAATAAAGCCCTGTTCCTCTCAAGCAATCATTCCACATTCTCCTCTCCTCCCAGCCCCTCGCAACCACGAATCTACTTTCTGTTCCTATGAATTTATCTGTTCTGGACATTTCAAATAATGCAGTCACACACTATGTGTCCTTTTGTGTCTGATTTCCATCATTTGCATAATCCGTGTCAGGTTCATCCATATTCCACCATGTATTCAAGAAAAAACTTGTACATGAATGTTCATTGTAGCACTATTAGTGCTATAGCCAAAACAGGCCAAACGTCCATCAGCTGATCAATAACTAAACAGAATGTAGTGTAATCATATAATGAAATATTATTCAAGTAACTTTTTTTAAGTGAAAGACCAATGCATAAAATGATGATGTAGATAAATTTGAATATTGCTATCATTAAACATGGGGTTCTGTGGTAGGCTGGAGGAGGAATACTAAATACAGCCACGGGATTCTGAGATAATTTATATCCTTACAGTGATTTCAGTGGGAGGGACACATAACTGTGCCAAGACAGAAGGCAAGTTTTAATCTTATTTTTTCCCACAGTGTTTTATTTTAATGTTTTTAATCTTCTTTTACTGTTGAAACATTATATGTTCCCATTTCTCAAGTATCAAATGTACTTCTAATCAAAGAATGGAACAATGATCAAATAGTATACTTCTGCTTTAGAATGTAGTTTCATAGATTTCAAATTTGGAAGTCTTGTGGTGCACAAAAAATGTTAAGATGATTAGGTTAATATGGATAATATTAAATCTGTGTTAAAATGATGCAGAATCTAAACCTTTGTTAACATCATTAATATATAAAGAGCTTTATATATATTTATATAGCAAATCAAAACCAACATATATACACATGGAACATAGACAAACATTTCATCCAAGAAGAAACATACATAAACAATAAACAGATGTGAAAATAAATCCTACCATTACCAAAGACAACAAAATTATAAAGATAGATATTATCTACATGCTAGGTTTTTAAAATGAAAAACAAGTTTGTGTTAGGAAAATTGTCAGGGGACATACTTTCATAAGCTGTTGGTAATCTTGTCAATTAGTACAATTTTACAAAGCACTTTTGCAATATGTATGAACAATTTTAAAATTTATTATCTTTGCAAATAGTTGTCGTTACTTTGTTAGTATCAATGCCAAGAAGTGGTAATGAAGATCAAAGTTAATAAATTTTTAAATTGTTGATGTGTATTTTTTTCACTTCTGCACTGTTTATAACAATGAAAACTTGCTTACCATCTAACAATCTATGCAAAATAAATTAATCAGAATTTTCAAAATGGTAGTCCTCGAAGGATATCTAGCACGCAGACTTGTTTTCTATGGCCAAATCAGTGATTTAACACGAACAGATAGCCTAAATTAATTCAGCTTTTTTTCTCACATGAAGTTACAGAATTTTGGTGCCTCTTGGAAGATTAGAATATCTAGTATCACTGCATTTGGACATGAAAAAAAAAAAAAAAAAAAAAAAACCTATGGCCCGGCTCAGTGACTCACGCCTGTAATCCTAGCATTTTGGGAGGCTGAGGCAGGAGGGAGGATCACTTGAGCCTAGAAGTTTGAGACTTGCCTGGGCAACATAACAAAACCCCGTATCAATAAAAAATACAAAAATTAGCCCAGTGTGGTGGTGTTCACCTATAGTCCCAGATACTTGGGAGGCTGAGGTGGGAGGATCACTTGAGCCTGGGAGGTGGAGGCTGCAGTGAGCCCTGACCACAGCACTGCACTCCAGCCTGGGTGATCGAGTGAGGGCCTGTCTCAAAATAAATAAGTAATTAAAGCTTTAAAAAATTCTACTTCTAAGTGGCAACTGCCCACCCTCCCCTCAGTATCACTCCCTTGGTTCTCCATAGCACCCACTGTTTCTTATTGTACTTGATCCAGGTTCTTCAGCCTTGCACTCTATCTGCTTAAGCTCTGAAGGTGTTTGAATTCATGACTTTTGGATCAAATAAAGATTCCAATAATTCAATTCTAGTCACCTACTATAAATGATCAATCATAAAATATTTAGCAACATTAAAAGATGTGCATAATGCAGTAATAGGTGGCAAAGAGTTCCAAGCTGTTATATATAATTAATCCTATTTTGCCCTCAAATTATATTTATTTAAAAAAATGACTGAAGGCTGGGCACAGTAACTCACGCCTATAATCCCAGCACTTTAGGAAGCCAAGGTTCAGCAGATCACCTGAAGCTGGGAGTTCGAGACCAGCCTGGTCAACATGGTGAAACCCCATCTCTACTAAAAATTTAAACATTAGCCAGGCCCAGTGGTGCACCTGTAATTCCAGCTACTCAGGAGACTGAGGCAGGAGAATTGCTAGAACCTGGGAGGTGGAGGTTGCAGTGAGCTGAGATCTCGCCACTGCACTCCAGTCTGGGTGACAGACTGAGACTATGTCTCAAAAAAAAAAAAAAAAAGTAAAATTAAAAAATAAAAAAATCACTGAAAATATTTACATCCAAATTTTTACAGTGCTTACCTCTGAGTCTCAAAGGAGTTGGTGATTTTAATGATTTTGGGGGGGAGTTTAATTTGTGTTTTCCAAATTTTCTAGAATAAAAATATATAAATTTCATAGCAACACAAATAAAACTGTCAAAAACTGTGAACCACTGAATTCAAGTTACATGCAATAAAAAATGAATGATCTTTTGAAATAAGGTCACCGTGCAGCGTCTAAAGAAGACTCTTTTGCAAAGAAATTTACAGACATGTTTTCTGATCTATTGCTGATTGGAGAAGGCACAGCACCGGCCAATAGCAACTTCTGTGACGATGGAAATGTTTCACATCTGTGCTGTCCAGTGAATGAGCCACTAGCCACAGCTGGCTACTGAGCACTGTGTGACTGAGAACATGAGTTTCAGTTTTATTTAATTTAAATTCATTTGATATGGTTGAATCTGTATTCCCACCCAAATCTCACGTTCAACTGTAATCCACAATGTTGGAGGTGGGGCCCGATGGGTGGTGGCTGGGTCATGGGGATGGATCCTTCAGGGATGGTTTAGCACCATCCATTCGGTGCTGTGCTTGTCATGATGAGTGAGTTCTCGAGAGCTCTGGTTGTTTAAACGTGGATAGCACTGGCCTAGAAGGTCATCAGTCTCTAAGGTTATGTTCTCAGCCACCCTTCATGCTTTGTGAATCGAAGGAAGCCACAGCAAATGGTATCCTATCAAACACAGCCAGGTTTCACGTATAATTTTAATAGGAAACGTGTTGAAGGACAGACCATGTTTTAGGACTTCTTTTAAATGGGAAGGCTATATAATAAAATTGATTGAAAGCTAGCATTAACATTTCACAAAACAAACTCCCAAGTAGCTGAGACTACAGGCGTGCACCACCACGCCCAGCTAATTTTTGTAATTTTAGTAGAGACGGGGTTTCACCATGTTGGCCAGGATGGTCTCGATCTCTTGACCTAGTGATCCGCCGGTCCTCGGCCTCCCAAAGTACTGGGATTACAGGCGTGAGCCACCATACCCAGCCACTTCTCACTTGTTTTCATACTCTGATGAGTCTCTGGACTGGAAAAGGGGGTATTTTGTAAAACCCTCTCTATCTATTGCTCTAAAAATTCATGAATGTACTTCAGACAGTGAGGGAAAAATAAAATGGAGAAAACATATTTATCTATGGGGGAGATTCTTTCATATCCTTGGAGTTTCTCTTTTCATCATAAAAACAGGCTTAAGCCTAATTGTCAAGACGAGGTCCTGGTGCCATTGTTCACTCCTGCAGTCCTAGTTCCTCAAGAGGCTGACGCGAGAGGATTGTTTGAGTCCAGAAGTTCAAGACTGCAGTGAGTTATGATCCTGCCACTGCACTCCAGCCTGGGTGACAGAGTGAGATCCTGCAAAAAAAAAAAAAAAAAAAAAAAGAAAAAAAGAAAGAAAAAGAAAAAGAAAAGAAAGAAAATAAAAGAAAAGAAAAAGATGGATCAAGGACAATAGTGATGCCAGTAGCACATGGCTCCTCCTGGGTGCTGAAGTGGTCACTGCTACCCGCAGGGACCTTCCTCTCCTTCTGTGTCCCAGGCTGAGCTTCTCTGGGCATGTACCCTGTTTGTCGGAGATGCCACAGCCACTGTTTGTGCTAATTTGTGTTACCTGCAAATAGACCTCTGCTTATTGTGTCCTTGCTACCTGCCAACAACGAAAATAAAGGTGGCATTATAGTCCTGTTGTTAGCTTTTTGAGTCTTGGACGCAGAGCGGACTAAGTGCAATCCTTTTTGTGAGAGGAAGGATGGGGAAGATTTAGGTACAGTCCTGAGACCTGTGTTTCTTTTAGATCCCTGTCCCAATCACAGACATATTCACCTCCCTCCCTGGTGATGATCCAGACGGTGTCCGGCTTCCTTAGGAGGAGCTCAGGCCCCTTGACGATGCTCTAGTGAGTTCATTGTGGATTTGGAGATCTCATTAGAGGTAAGAGTTTGAAAAGTCTGAAATTGTCCTTGATTCTTTTTTTTTTATATTAGATGCTCTAGTTTATTAGGAACCAAAGACCAGTCAAACAATATTAAAACCATCATTGAAATATTATTTTTTTTGTCCAATTGTTAAATATTTTAAAAGATAGTAACATTCAGAGTTGGAGATTTCAGGAAATGGATACTTTCTCTTTTTTTTTTTTAATTATTATTATACTTTAAGTTTTAGGGTACATGTGCACAATGTGCCAGTTAGTTACATATGTATACATGTGCCATGCTGGTGTGCTGCACCCATTAACTCGTCATTTAGCATGAGGTATATCTCCTAATGCTATCAGTACCCCCTCCCCCCACCCCACAACAGTCCCTAGAGTGTGATGTTCCCCGTCCTGTGTCCATGTGTTCTCATTGTTCAATTCCCATCTATGAGTGAGAACATGCGGTGTTTGGTTTTTTGTCCTTGCGATAGTTTACTGAGAATGATGATTTCCAGTTTCATCCATGTCCCTACAAAGGACATGAACTCATCATTTTTTATGGCTGCATAGTATTCCATGGTGTATATGTGCCACATTTTCTTAATCCAGTCTATCATTGTTGGACATTTGGGTTGGTTCCAAGTCTTTGCTATTGTGAATAGTGCCACAATAAACATACGTGTGCATGTGTCTTTATAGCAGCATGTTATGGCCCTTGGGTATATACCCAGTAATGGGATGGCTGGGTCAAATGGTATTTCTAGTTTTAGATCCCTGAGGAATCGCCACACTGACTTCCACAATGGTTGAACTAGTTTACAGTCCCACCAACAGTGTAAAAGTGTTCCTATTTCTCCACATCCTCTCCAGCACCTGTTTTTTCCTGACTTGTTAACGATCGCCATTCTAACTGGTGTGAGATGGTATCTCATTGTGGTTTTGATTTGCATTTCTCTGATGGCCGGTGATGTGAGCATTTTTTCATGTGTCTTTTGGCTGCATAAATGTCTTCTTTTGAGAAGTGTCTGTTCATATCCTTTGCCCACTTTTTGATGGGGTTGTTTGTTTTTTTCTTGTAAATTTGTTTGAGTTCATTGTAGATTCTGGATATTAGCCCTTTGTCAGATGAGTAGGTTGCGAAAATTTTCTCCCATTTTGTAGGTTGCCTATTCACTCTGATGGTGGTTTCTTTTGCTGTGCAGAAGCTCTTTAGTTTAATTAGATCCCATTTGTCAATTTTGGCTTTTGTTGCCATTGCTTTTGGTGTTTTAGACATGAAGTCCTTGCCCATGCCTACGTCCTGAATGGTAATGCCTAGGTTTTCTTCTAGGGTTTTTATGGTTTTAGGTCTAACGTTTAAGTCTTTAATCCATCTTGAATTAATTTTTGTATAAGGTGTAAGGAAGGGATCCAGTTTCAGCTTTCTACATATGGCTAGCCAGTTTTCCCAGCACCAGTCTTTGATTCTTAAACAATGCTTACTAAGCCATACCCCCCAATCTGAAATTCTTGAGTGAGCCTTTTATCTTCCAAGTACAGCGCTTGTCCTTGAAGTTTTGTCATGTTTCTAACAATAAGACAGAAGAGCAAGCAACTTTCTTTTATGTTTAGTAAGTGATTGTGTTGCCAAACTTCCTCCAAGAATTATATTTTATTTAAACATTTTAGTTATGTGTTATAACATATGGCTATTTATATGTTAATTACATATTGCTATATGTCATTTTTTCCAGCAGCATTGAAAAAGTCATAAGTTTGCTTTTTCCATTTATTCTATAAGACTTCAGATGAAAAAGGGAAATAGTCTGTAAATCAAGGAATAATTAATTTTAATAGTATTCATTTCCAACCATCATCTCCTCTCTGTTCAACAATCTTTTTTACTAACTAATGAGTTCTAATAAAAATATTCCACTGTTGGGAAATATGCCTGTGTTGTATGTCTGTTTAATAGTAAAGGAGAACCTCGTGGTTAATCTCCTAAAATCTGAGTTTATCGTGTTCAGTGAGAAATGAGGATCACTTCAAAGCTCCATTTAAAAACCCAAGCCCAGGCTGAGCGTGGTGGCTCACACCTGTAATCCCAGCACTTTGGGAGGCTGAGGCGGGCGGATCACTTAAGGTCAGGAGTTGGAGATTAGCCCGGCCAACATAGTGAAACACCGTCCCTACTAAAAATACAAAAATTATCCAGGCATGGTGGTACTCACCTGTAATCCCAGCTACTCAGGAGGCTGAGGCAGGAGAATCACTTGAACCCAGGAGATGGAGGTTGCACTGAGCCAAGATGGTGCCACTGCACTCCAGCCTGGGCGACAGAGTAAGACTCTGTCTGAAAAGAAAACCAAAACCAAACAAACAAAAATAAAAATAAAATAAAAGTCCCCAAGCCCAGTGGAAAACAGGGTGCGATCTTTTTTTTTTTTTTATTTTAACTTTTATTTTACATTCAGCGGTACATGTGCAGGTTTGTTATATAGGTAAACCCATGTCATGGGGGTTTGTGGGTTTGTTATAAAGATTATTTTGTCACCAAATTATTCAGCCTAGTACCCAATAGTTCTTTTTCTGCTTCTCTCCCTCCTCCCAGCCTCCACCCTCAAGTAGGTCCCACTGTCTGTTGTTCCCCTCTATGTGTCTATGTGTTCTCATAATTTAGGTCCCACACATAAGTTAGAACATGCAGTATTTGGTGTCTGTTCCTGCATTCGTTTGTCAAAGATAGTGGCCTCCAGGTCAATCCATGTTGCTGTCAAGGACATGAGCTCATTCTTTTTATGGCTGCATAGTATTCCATGGTGTATATTACCACATTTTTTTCATCCAGTCTACCATTGATGGCCATTCAGGTTGATTCCATGTCCTTGCTATTGTGAGTAGTGCTGCAGTGAACATTTGTGCACATGTCTCTTTATGGGGGAATGATTTATATTCCTCTGGTTGTATACCAAGTAATGGGATTGCTGGGTCGAATGGTAGTTCTGTTTTTAGCTCTTTGAGGAATTGCCACACTGCTTTCTACAATGGTTAAACTAATTTACACTCGCACCAATGGTCTGTAAGTGTTCCCTTTTCTCTGCAATCTTGCTAGCATCTATTTAGGATTTCCTTAAGCAAAACTTCAATGGCCCCAAAGGTCTCAAGACATGTGCATATCTAGGAAGCTGAGTTTAGGGTAGGCTTTTACTGCTTAAAACCTCCAATCCTCTAAGTGGGGCCAGACATTAATCTGTATTAATCCATTCTATTAATATCTATTATTCACATCTACTGGCTGCCTTGTGTGAACCAGGCCTTATATGGGGCTCTGGGGGCACACAGTGAGTTAGCCCAGACCCTCAGGGAAAATGTGGCCCAGAGAAGGGAGCAGAGATATGAAGAGTAAAGAGTGGCATGTCCTTCGCCCCTGTGGGGTGGTGCAGGGAGGTTGAAATAGCGGGAAAATGTGGATAATAAGGGTACGTCCTTCAAAGGCTCATTGACTCTCACAGTGAGCCTTTGAAACATGCGTTATTACCTCCATTTTACCGGTTAAAAATATAGTGAGACATAGAAGGGCTATGAAACTTTACAACATCACAGAGCTACCAAGTGACAAGCTGAAACGTCATGCCTATGTGGTACGGGGGCTGCGTCTGAACTCTTAGCACCACCGACATCCCGGTGGGCTGGCGGTTCTGACACTACCATGTGGTCCAGCACGGCATGGGGAATAGCAGGCTGGGCTTCTGCAGCAGGCGGTGGTCACCCATGAGATTCGGGTCTCATCCAAAGGAGGCACCACTAGAATTCTTTCATTTTCTCAAGTGTGCTGAGCACCTGTTCATAACTCGCCACCTGGAGCGACCTGCACCACCTTCTCCCAGGCAATTTCAGAGCAGACTTCTCCTCTCCCAGTGTCTTAAGACCCTTTGTTCCTACAGTGGGGATGTATGGCAGGTGCCTGGAACTGACTCCAATTCTACTCTATGTGTTCCAGTCCAAGAGCCAGCAAGTTTAATTATTTGGACAATTTTGTGCACCATCTCACTTAATGAGCATAAGCCCTGATGGGCATGAGATGGGAGCTGTATCTCTGATGCTCCTTCAACTTCCTCAGTCCTCAAATAACCTGGCCCTGTGAATATTTTGTCCAACTGTGTGTAATCCCAACAATGCTATACATAGCCCTTTGTATACCCCCAAAATACAACCAACTCATTGTCTGTTGCTCACAGGGAATCATTAAACTCTTTCAATCCTGGAGTGTAGCAAAGCAGCTACGTTGCACTCCTCAAAGGTGTCTGCAGCTGTCCTAAGGGAGTTTCAAGAGTAGTTTTGGCCAAATGCATTCTCACACTGGTGTTTGAATCTTATTCCCACCTAAGAGACTTCTCCATGCACCACACACATGTGAAACACCACGTGGTGTAAAGTGGAGCAACAGTCAGGGTTCCACCAGAAACAGAACCAACATATCATCTAGAAATTAAATATCTAGAAATTATATGTATATATGTGTATATATAATACCCATCTATCTGTCTAGAGAAGGAGAGGAGATTGAGAGAGCAAGAGAGAAGGAGGGGAGATAGGTTTGTTTCAAGAATTGGCTTGCATATTTGTGGGCTGGCAAGTTTGAAATCTGTAGTGCGAGTAAGCAGGCTGGAAGCTCTTGGGAAACCCAGCTGATGCTACTGTGCACAGGTGGGATTTTTTCTTCCTCAGGGAAATCTTAGTTTCTCTTTTAAAGACTTTCAGCTGATTGGATCAGGCCCACTAAGATTATCCAGAATAATCTACTTTCTTTAAAGTCAAATAAGTACAGTGACCACCCCTGCCTTCTCTTCAGGGAGTACATTCCAAGGTCCCCAGTAGATGCGTGAAACTGCAGGTAGCACCAAACTTCACAGATACTATGTTTTTTGATCTTAAACCCTGGAAGGTCACTAAATGACTTATGATTGGGTGATGTATGCAGTGCAGATATGCTGGACAAAGGGATGATTAGTGTCCCAGATGGGATGGGACCTGGCATCACAAGAATTGATTATGTTACTCAGAACGGTGTACAACTTAAATTTTATGAATTGTTTATTTCTGGAATTTCTTACTAAATATTTTCAGACCATGGTTTCAGTGAGTAACTGAAACCATGAAAAGCGAGCCACAGATAAGGGAGGGCCACTCTTAGGTGTGAGCCACATCGATGAGATAAATTCATAGCAACCCCTGGGTCAGTGTTGATTGACTTGCTGGGTACACTGGCCCACTCAAGCTGGTGCAAAACACTGACCACCACAAATGGAAAAGTCGTATTGATACAGGAGCTAGAAAGAAATTATTTAGGCAGATAGTGAGGGTAAAGGAGTCCTCAGCAAGGCTTCCCTTTTAAGAAAAAGCAGTCCCCAAATCATTTCTTTTCTAACAAAGAGCAGCCTGAAAAATAGAGCTGCAGTGTTCTCACTCATAAGTGGGAGCTGAACAATGAGAACACATGGACACAGGGAGGGGAACACCACACACTGGAGCCTGTCAGGAGGTGGGGGGAAAGGGGAGGGAGAGCATTACGACAAAAACCTTATGCACACGGGGCTTAAAACCTAAAGGAGGGGTTGACAGGTGCAGCAAACCACCATGGCGCATGTTATATCTATGTAACAAACCTGCATGTTCCTCACATGTATCCCAGAATTTAAAGTAAAATAAAAAAGATCAAGCTGCAGACATAGATAAGCAAGCTGGAAGCTTGCATGGGGGAATGCTGGCAGCTGTGCCAATAGAAAGGGGCTACTTGGGGGCCAAGTATGTTCGATATAGAGGCTCCATCTTCTCTTTTGTCACCACGTGTACAGTAAAGAAACAGGCAACATGGCGCCAGCCAGGTAGAGACCCCATCCGCATAATAAAAAATTGGGGTGGGGTGGCAGCTTCTTCTCACCTATGCAAACAGTACACCTACTGCTAACCAGTTCTTTGCATGCTATGCAAATGGCACACCTGGTCCAACCAATCTTTCCTGCCCTGTGTAAACAAGACACTAACTCCGCAAGCTCATCTGCAGAACCATCTGCACTTCACCATGGACTGGAAGACCTGTTCAGGACCCCTCTCTCTGCAGGAGAGAGCTTTTGTCTTTCTTTTGTCTGTTTAACTTCTGCTGTGAACCTCACTCATTGTGTGTTTGCATCCTTGATTGCCTTGGCATGGGACAATGAACCTCAGGTATCACCCCAAATGAATGATGCCACTTCATTATGGGAAAGAAAAAAACTTCATCCCAGAAAAATGACTGCCCTCTACCAGCGCTGTGTGTTCTTTCCAAAAAGGAGCAAAGGAAACAAAAAAAGGGGCGGGGGGAGGGAAACATCCAAACAGGAAATTAGGAAACCATAGCTACCTGAGTACTGAAATCTATGATGATTTCTGCGACTAAAGTGCAGTCAGAATGACCTCTTTTTCTACAGTTCACTATTGTCTTTTGGGATAGGATGTTTCTTTGCCATACGGGCCTGTCCCACACATTGCAGGGATGGCAAGATCCAATAAAGCGCTTTAGTTCCCTCCAGACATTGTGACAAGCAAAAAAAAAAAAAACTAACACTCAGCCATATAAAGGAATGAATTAATAGCATTTGCAGGAACCTGGATGGAACTGGAGACTGTTACTCTAAGTGAAGTAACTCAGGAATGGAAAACCAAACATCATATATTCTCACTCATAAGTGGGAGCCAAGCTATGAGGACGCAAAGGCATAAGAATGACACAATGGACTTTGGGGACTCTGGAGGAAAAAAAGGGAAGGAGGTGAGGAATAAAAGACTACAAATTGGGTTGAATGTATACTGCCCAGGTGATGGGTGCACCAAAATCTCCCAAATCGCCACTGAAGAACTAACTCGTAACCAAACACCACCTGTTCTCCAAGAACCTATGGAAATAAAAAATAAATAAAAATAAACACTCTAGGAGTATTAAAAAACAAACAAACAAACAATCTAACAGACTTCCTAATGCCCTGGGAGTGGCAACACTCACCATTCAAAACACAGTTCCTGGTTAGATCAAAGCAAGTGGCCCAGGACAGAATTTAATTTTTTCTTCAGAAAGTCAGGAGTGCAGTATTCTGAAAAGAAAATGGGAGAATCTCTGCCCAGTCTCAGCGGTTGTCCTGATTTGCAAGGGGATGAGATACAGGGGAGAGGAAGAGTTCTCACTTGCTGCAGTGGACAACCCCATGTAAAAGTCACTGTCTGGGAGCTGTAGAGGCAAGGATTTTAAATAAGTTGAGAACAGGGCCTCTCCTAAATATAGAGGGCCCTCCTTGAGGCAGGGAGAGGGCAGGAACCATGGTACAAAACCAGTCTGCCCCAAACACACGGAAAGTATGGTGTGGACGCCCTACTGAAAAAAACAAAACATCACAGGAAATGAGGCCTCTGGTAAAAGAGCTTCATCCAATATGTAGAAAATGCATAGAGACGTGAAGTTCCTTTGCTAGAATAGATACAGTCCTTATCTCTTCCCCAATATAATGACAACACAACCAATAAGCAAACAATGAAAATATAAAAGTAATCAGAAAACACAAAAGATTCCACTACCTGGTAATAGATCCTGAAGTGATGTACAGAACCTGCATAAATGAAACTATAAAACTGTACTGAAGACACTAAAAGGAGACTTGAATCAATAGCAAAGCATGTTGTAATCCTGGATTGTAAGATCCATATAGTAAAGGCATAAATCCCATAATAAGATCAATGTAGTAAAGGTATAAATCCCACCTACTAAAGCATTTCTTAAAACCAAAGTTATGACAAGAAATTTCCAAATGGGCAAGAATTCCAAGAAGATATTGAGAAGAAAATTATTGTCAGCAGGAGTATAGTTATTGGGCAAGAGCGTAGCCCAATCCTAAAACGTATTTCAAGATTTCAGCAATTACCCGCAACCATGTAATGTCCATGGTAAGACAGAGACTAGGTAATGTATAGAATAAAATGCCCAGAGAGGACAGATCCAGAATTTATTAAAATGCCATTAGAATTTGATACATGATAACTGTGCCATTTTAAATTACTGGTAAATCTCTTTCTCATACACGCACACACACACACACACACAGACACTCACAAACACACACTTCTAAATGGCAAATAGCTGGCTTATAAATCTATTTGGAATTAATTTTTTAAAATGGCAAATCTTTATATTGTATTATACTCTTACAGAAATTCACTGAATTAAGGAGTAACACACACACATACACACACACACACACACACACACACTTCATAAAATAACTTCATGGATACAAAGCTTGACCCCCTACATTCAGATGTACAGGAAATGCCTCTTTATTCTTCTGTGTATTGCTTCATTTTCATTTGTAATCTTCCTGCCGTAACGTGGCAGGTATGTAATCGACTTCTCATTAGGGTTTTCTCAGCCCAGGGCCCAGGGATGTTGGGGGGTCCTCCAGGGTCTTAGAGAGCCCCGGGAATTGGGGGTGGGCGCCAGGTCCTTGGCGCTGCTGTCTTTCCCTTGAGCCTGTCTCCACCACTACTGCGCCCTCGCGGCCAGGGTATCTCCTGAGCTCTCTCATCATCTTTTCTTCATGCACTGCGGCAGTGGGAGACATTCAGAGGCTCCCTCCAGCGCATGGATGGGAGGAAAGTGTGGGCACCATCTCAGCATCTGAACCCCGGGACCTGAAGGGGTCAGGGAAGCATCTCTACTGCCCTGCCTCAGGCTGGGCTGGGAGCTGGACGCACTGTGAGTCTTGGCATCCCCCAGAGCCCCTGAGAAACACGGCGCGGACATCCTCGCGTTTCTCTCCCACCTCACTCCCTGCCCCGCAGTCCTCAGGGTCAGCCGGAGGAGAAATACTGGGGGCGGCAGGACGCAGAAGGCAGTGCTTCCCCCGGAACACTCACAGCGGCTTCTGAGCCTCCATCATCTCTCCATGTCCACCAGCCCGTTCTTTCAGAGTGCCTCCTGGCGTGGCTTAAATAAAAGAAGAACCACACGATGACCTAGCAAAAGATGACCAGGAGCACACAAAAGTTCATAAATTACTACACCGCTGTGCAAACCCATTTTAATCAACACAAAAAATAAAGGGTGCATATTTATCTGATACATAAATATGAAACGTTTTTCTATCCTAAAAGAAAATTAATAAACCATAAAGGAGAACTTACATAGGCCACTGTACAACATTTTAAAACTTCAGTTTATTAAAATTCGTTATAAATAAACTAAAAGGCAAATGAAACCTGGGGAAATAATTGTAATACAGAAGACAAGCCATTTGCATCCTTAGTATCCAAAGAACATTTATAAATCAACCAATATAAATACAAACTCTTCAATTAAAAATAGGTTAAGGTCACGAATAAGCAAGTGAGGAATGAAAATAATATAATGTAGGGAATATATATTATAGAAAAATATTGCATGTCATACAAATAAATACGCTAGAAAGGGTGTGGTGGCTCACGCCTGTAATCCCAGCACTTTGAGGCTGAGGCAGGAGTTCCAGACCAGCTTAGGCAACATAGTGAGACCCTGTCTCTAAAAATATAAAATAATTTAAAAAAACACTAAACAAAACTTCAACATGATATGTTTTACTCCTCAGCCTGGCAAATAATTTTTAGACATAATTTCCTTTGTTGGTAAAATATGCTAAAATGGCACTTGCATAGTGAGAGTGTCTTGAAGAACACTTTCACGATAAGGATTTAGGTCGAATGGAGCATCATATTTATCCTCCTAATTTCACTTCTTAGTATTTATTTCAAGCAAGTAATCAAGGTGGGAATTATGATAGAGGTGTTTTTGTGAGGTAAAGAGTTCCCAATTTTAGAAAAGCTTTAAGCAATATGGGATTAACTATTAGACAAACTAATAACATTTTTACATATGGGATGGGTTACACTAGATGGGCTAAAGATTACTTCAAGTCAGAAACTTTATTATTCAATCAGTCTGTCATCAAAATAGAATTAGTGCAGAACTATAAATGTTTCCTAAGCCTTAATGGAAATAGTGATTATGATGATGGATGATGATGATGGTGGTGACGGTGATGATGGTTACGGTGATGGTGATGATGAAGGCAGTGATGATGATGGTGGTAGTGGTGATGGTGATGATGATGGTGATGATAGTGTTGAAGAAAATTATGATGGTGATGGTGATGGTGATTATAAATGAAAAAATTTATAGTTGACTACACAAAATGTAATGATGATGGCAATAGTGATGGTAGTGATGATGGGGAGGATGATGATGGTGATTGCTGGCGTTCATTGAACAATCAGTTTTGCTAGACATCAATCTTAAAAGCATTTTATTTGGATTAAACCTAATTTTAACTTCATAGCAACCTGGTTAGTGGGGCTTATTATTTTACTCATTCTACCCATGAGAAAACTGAGGCACAGAAGATTCAAGTATCACTGCATAGGAATACCTAAAGACAGAAACCTGGGTCCCCGATGATGCTGTGAGCCACACCACAAGCCTTGGACTGCTGAGCCCTGTACCTATTTCACATCAGAAGCAATAGGCTTCTAAGATATTTCAGCCCATATTGTTTTGAATCTACATTAATTTCCGCTTAATCTAGTATTTTATAGTGGAGATTTAAAATATGGCAAAATCATGAACTGTGAGTATCCCTTCAAGACATCAACTTCCCTGGGCCATCTCCACTAATATGCAGCCAGGACTAAGAAAGGTGTGTTTGTTGGATGTTCTCTGCTAGCAGCTCCCGGAGGTCCACATGCCCCCCAGGGTGGCAGCAGGAATCCACGGAGGCCCCACAGCCTTGCTGTGCACTCTTCTCCATGTCCGTGCTTTCTCTAGACTTGGGGGTAATTTTTATCTCTTCAGGTTTTTGCTCAAAGAATTTCATTGTCATCCCAAATGTTCCCCTATACAGGGATGACACTTTTGGGAGTATAAGTCCGAAAGTCCAACAGACTGTGTGTGTTTTCTTTCAGTGCATGTGGGAGAAGGGGAGTGGAGTCCAGGGAGCATTTCAAAATTCTTCTGTCAGTTTTGAATGGAAAAAAAAAAAACACATAATATTGAATAGTTGGGTTTGGGATAGGATTTGCATAGTCTAAATAGTATGTGGCAATGTGGGAAATTCCCCAAAATTCTGCTTCATTAATGATAATAAAATTGTATTAAACCATTTAGGAGCATTTTCTTAACATTTTTAAAAATTTTATAAAAGTTTTATAAACACAGTAAAGGTAAAGTTCTCCATCTAGAAATCAAACTGTTTTTTTTTTTTAAAAATTATGACATTGTTGCACGTGATGGATCCGATTCCAATCATCTGTATGGAGTTTTGCTATGTGACTATCTGCTGGACATAGCCCCTCTAACCCCCAATGACATTTCTAAGGTAGCCACATCATTCGATTCCCCTACGCTAAAACTTCCTTTGTACTTTGAGTAAAATGTAAACCAGTCTTCAGGGTCCTGTATTTCTGGTCCTGGTGGCCTTCCTGGCCTTATATTCCAGTGAATCTGGCCTGCCTGCTGTTCTTTGAATGCACTGAACTCATTCACACCTCCAGCCCTTTGCATTCACTGTGCCCTCTGCCTGGAATGCTGTTTCCCCTGATCTCCGCATGACTCTCTCATTATTTCATTCAGATCTCTATTTAAATATTACTTCTCAGAGGGACTTTCCTTGATGCTTTGGCTAAAACAACACACTTCTCCCAGATATCCTTTGTCCCCTCACCTTGATTGATTTATTTTAAAAATGGTCACACTTGATACTTCCAGAAATTGTATTATTCTTTCTTTCTCCTGATTTACTGTCAGCCTCCTCATTGAGACTATAAGCCCCTTGAGGACAGGGCCTGGCCTTTATTTCCCCTGGCAACCACCAGGACACAGAAGATGTTTAACATATATTTGCTAAATTAATAAGTTAAAGAATGACCAAAACCGGAAACCATCCCATAAAATTTGAACTGAGTGAAGCCTTACCTTGAGTGTCTGGAAACAAATTAAAAGAGTCAATCCAATTATATAATGAAATTGTGAATTTGGAAATGTTCCCAGGTTACAGCCTTTTCTATTCAGAAATCAACTCCCCAACCACTGGGCTTGAGTCCACACTGAGGACCTGCAGTTATGTATTGCCAAAGGGGTAAGAAAAGGGGGATGCAGGACTGAGCTGAAACCCCATCACCAATTGCGTGGAAATAAATAGGCATGAGATGGACTAGAACAGCTAATCTGTCCCAGTTATCAGCAATTCTTTCTCTCCGGCTATTTTAGCAGTTAATTTCCCAGCTCAGCTGCAGCAGCTTCTCTTCTCTAGGAAAACAGATGACATTTCACTTTGAAGAAAGAACCCATTGTTCCCTGAAATGTGATGAACTGAAAGCCAACATTTCCTTTTATATATATAAACAAATCTTTCCAACAAAACAATGTCATTAGTCCAAGTTCCAGATGACTTTACCACCTTAGGAACTATATCTTCCTTTATATATTTTCCTTTTTTTTTTTTTTTTCAAAATGCTAGGGCCAGTTACTGACATAGCACTGAATCCAAGGACTTCATGGATATAAATATTTCCACATTCCTTTGCATTTTAACAATTACAGAGAATGGTCAGAATGGAGACACGTGATTCCAGGGTCTAATACCAATTGAATGGTAGTGTCTTAGTTATAAATCAGTTACCAGTATTTTTATTGGTTAAAAAAATAAACCAATAATAATACTTGTACACACAAGCTCGAGTGAGTCTCAGAAAGAGATGGCTCGGGTGGAATTCTTCAGAGTAACCCACTCGAGAGAAGGGACTGGGACCCCTTTACACTTCTAATAGACAGACTTGGAGAACTCCTGGGTTTTTTTGTGGCATTAGCTTGGTCTATGGTTCTCCAACATTTAAAATAGGCATTGGGACAATGTCCAATGCACATGTGTGTGGGAAAGAGCCTGATCATTTATTTTTCTCCAGTCGCAGAATTCTGGGCCACTCCCAATGCTGAGCTATTCCTAGCTCCTGCCTCTTCATCCATCATAGGAGAGAAGTGCTAGATATCACCAACTCCACCCAAGTTTCAAAAAATAAGGCACCTTTAACAGAACATATCCTCTTTGAACAATCTTGCTTATAGGGTTTTATCCCAAGCAAATAATTAAGATTGTGTCCAATGACATTCCCAAAAAGGAGATTATAACAGCTGTGGTGAAGTATTAAAATATGGCAAAAACCTAAATGTTGAACAGTAAGGGTTGGTGAAATAAATAGGAGTATCACTTTCAGCAATAGCTACAATAATTGAGCACTTACAATGGCTGGCACTGTGCTAAACACTTAACACTCTTTACAGAAATGTGTTAGTATTGCCTGAGTGAATGCACGCGTGCAATAATCCACAGCTTTAAGAATACTTTAAGTGTTGTAATTGACATGGCATAGGCTATATTAGGCAGCTATTGCTACAATAATGCTGCATACGAAGCAATCTCCAGATCCCAGTGACTTCCCACCGCAAGCATGTAGTTTTTGGTGGAGGGCCGGTGTCAGCGGTGGCTGAGAGAGGTCAGATCTGCTGCACACACCTCCTGTTTCTTCTCCCCCTCGGACCAGCAGGTATCGAGGCATGCTCTCCTCACGGTGGCTGGCAGAGGGACACAAAGGCTAGTCACACACACAAAGTACATTTAGAGCTCTGTTCATGGTATCATGGCTAACATCGCATGTATGAAACATATCTCGCGACAAAGATCCAAATCAGAGGGTCAGGACTTGAGTGGAAGGTACTCCGAAGTCATATGCAATGGGGGGTGGATTTCTATTTCTATTGCTAAGAGAGAGTGAATAATTGAGAAGGAAAAGATCATCTACCATAGATGTTTACAGTATCCCTTTAAGAGTAAACGTGTATTTGTTTAAATATCTGTTGCCTACCTACATGTCTAATGTGTGTGTGTACTTGTACATATAATGCATATGTATAGTCACACACATATATATGTATGCTTGTACAAATAAGGTTTGCAGTAGGCATACTTAAGTGCTAAAAGTTAAGTGGTTATCCCAGGGAGGATGAGCGCTTTACTTTTTTTCTCTGGCTAATCTATGTTTTCAGGTTTTTTGATAATCAAGCTGGGATGAGCCACATTTTATTTTCAGAAGAGAACTAAATTCCATCCAAGCAGGTGGTTTACATCCAAGCCCCTGAATATAAGGGGGTGGTTAGTTCTATGCACAGTCTGGACATCCTAGACTCTACCCTCTGCCTTCCGGCAGAGGAGAGGTCTTCCTCTGAGTGCTGAGATTGTCATCAAGACCCCAAATGCATTCAGGGCAGCGGGGCTCCCACCACCTGGCCCAGTCTTCTTCCTGTCTAATATTTGAGGTGGTACCCACAAGTGGGCTCTTCCCACCACAGCCAGACCTCGGGATCTTGCTGCTTTTAGGAAAGTCTGTGCTGAACATCCCAGGCATCTGGTTAGTCTCAAGTCTATGCTCTCTGGCGAGCCCTTGAGTCATTTATTGTACTTTTCTGGAGCAGGGATAGTCAATATCAGGTTTGTCCTTAATTCTCTGGTGTGGAAAGTCCTAGACGTCCTCTGCTTCACTTAAAGAAAAATATCAACCAGTTGAATTATTGAAGGTTCTGGCCACAGAGCAGGAGGAGGTAAAATCCAACAGAGTAATCTTAACGTCGTTCAAGTCCAGCTGTTTCAAATCCTACGTAGTATTGCTATCGAGCCCTCGGGTACCTTGGTGAAAACAGTCGAGTGAGACATTGGCTTCGAAAGAAAGACTTTAAAGAAGGAAAAGACTCATCAAAGCTTCCTTTCCTTGCAGCCATCTCTTCAGGAGAGCCCTGCTCAGGTTGCAAAATGAATGCCCTAAGGTCAGATTGCACTGCAGGCGTGTTTGATTGGCTCACACAGGATGTCTTGGTTGTTTCAGGGAGTGTCTAGCACAAACAAAGAAAGCTTGGATCCCACAAGTGACTGAGCACTACCATGAACCAAGTGGTGCAAGGGACATAGAACCGAGCACACGGCTACCCAAAAGCAGCAGAGTTAAGAAAGAACTTAGAAGGAACTTAGACTCAGCTCCAACCAACAAGTTGCATGATGCCTGATGAAAGCTCACAATTGCCAGCAACACATTCAATTTTTAAAATCACCTTATGGACCAAAACAAAAGTGAACACAAGAAACCAATACAACAGACAAAACTATCAGCCCATGCCAGAACCGCCAGCCTCAGTGACTGAGAGGCAAATGTTGCTCTAGCTACACATTCATTTATTCATCCAACAAACAGGCCTTTGTTCAGCATGGAGGTGTGGCTGGTGGACCTGGGCAATGTGTGGGAGATAGTTCATGGAGGTCAAGTGCACAGAAGGAATGGCTCAGAGATGGAGACCTGCTGGTGAGAAGTGAAGCCAGCTGGGCTTCTGCCTCCCGTGGGAACTTGGAGAACTTTTCTGTCCAGCTAAAGGATTGTAAATGCACCAATCAGCGCCCTGTGTCTAGCTAAAGGTTTATAAATGCACCAATCAGCACTCTGTAAAAACAGACCAATCAGCACTCTGTAAAACGGACCAATCAGCTGTCTGTAAAATGGGCCAATCAGCAGGATGTGGGTGGGGCCAAATAAGGGAATAAAAGCAGGCCAACCCTAGCCAGCAACGCCAACCCATTTGGGTCATTTTCCACCCTTTGGGAGCTTTGTTGTTTTGCTGTTTTCAATAAATCTTGCTGTTGGTCGCTCTTTGGGTCCACACTATTATGAGCACTCACTCTGAAGGTCTGCAGTTTCACTCCTGAAGCCAGCGAGACCACCAGACCCCTTGGAAGAACAAACAACTCCCGACGCGCCACGTTTAAGAGCTGTAACACTCACTTCTAAGGTCTCCGGTTTTACTCTTGAAGTCAGTGAGACCGCTAACCCACCGGGAGGAATGAACAACTTCGGACCACCTTTAAGAGCTGTAACGTTCACTGCGAAGGTCTGCAGCTTCACTCCTGAAGTCAGCAGCGAGACCACGAACTCACCAGAGGGAAGAAACTCCAGACACATCTGAAGGAACAAATCCCGGACACACCATCTTTAAGAACTGTAACACTCACCGCGAGGGTCCCGGCTTCCTTCCTGAAGTCAGCCGGAGCAAGAACCCAGCAGGAACCAATTCCGGACACAGTGGGGACTTTGGGGAGCTGCAAGAGGGGAGGAGAGAAAAGACTGGAAAGTCAGGGAAGAACCAAGCATGGAGGACTTAGGAGAGCGGGCTGGGTGCTCTGCTTTTCCCTCTGCAGGCAGCAGAGGACTGGAGTCTTGGAAGGTTTTGAGTAGGGAGCAGATGGGTGCGTTCAGGAGCAGTGCCTGGGGCAGTTCGGAGAGGCTGAAAGAATGAAAGCAGGGATTGCGCAGGAGACATGTTGGTCCATGAGTGTGGCTGTAACAGAAGGCCACAGACCGGACTGCTGATACACAGCAGAAATCCATTCTCACAGTTGTGGAGGCTGGAAGTCCAAGATGGTGGCACCAGCTGACTCGGTGCACGGTGAGGGCTCTTCGCTTCCTCATTCACCGGTTGTCTCCGTGCTGTTTCCTCACTTGGCAGGAAGGGGAAAACTCAGATCGCTTTGGACCCTTTTAAGGGCACTCATCTCGTTCATGAGAGTTCCACCCTCGTGACCTAATCACCTCCCCAAGGCCTCCATCCTAATACCATCTCCTTGGGGGTTAGGATTTCAACAGATGAAACGTGAGGAGACACAAACGTTCAGAGGATAGCAGGAGCCTATCCCAGTCCTCAGGTAAAGAAAGCAAAGACCAGCCCAGGACAGAAGCCACTGGAGCAGAAAGAGGTTTCCCATTTCAGAGCTGGTAGGGAAACAATTGGGGAGAGTGGGAAACGCGTGGATCTCATGAAAGGACTGAGAAAGTTAGCATGTAGAATGGAGGCTGGGGCAGAGCAGTGAGGACGGGGGGGCTTCTAAGTTCCCGTCTGACTTCTAGTGTGATGGAGCGAGGGGAGCACATTTAGCACGTGGTTTTAACTGATAGACCTTCACATAAATTGCCATATAACATAGTGTGTGTGTATATGTATTTGCGTGCACGTGTACACACACATGTATATATATATATTCTCTATTGGTCCATCTTGTTCGTGGACATTTAGATTGAATCTGTATGTTGGTTATTGAGAATAAAGCTGCAATGGACATGAGAGAGGCTGATTTTATTTTTTAAGGGCATAAGTAGTCAGTAGTGTATTGCTGGATTCTGTGGTAGTGAGAGAGTGGGATGGTGGTTTCCAGGTGCAGGTGGAGAGTGAGACGTGGAAAAACGTTTGTCAAAGACTACAGTGTCTCAGTTCTGGACACCTAATATACAGCAAGGTGACTGTAGTTGACAATAACATATAGTACACGTGAAATTTGCCAGGAGAGCAGACCCTAAATGTGAGTACTATACACACATAGAAATGGCTACTTTGCCAAGTGATGTGAATGAGCTTGATGGTGGTGATGGTTTCACAGTGTATCCATCTATCAAAAGACCGCATTCCATTCCTTAAATACTTAACAGTTTTGATTTGTCAATTATACCTCAATAAAGCTTAAAAAATCTATTAAAAAATAAAGACAAGATATTAAAGTTGAGGCAAGAAAGAAGGGAAGGGGCCATGTGGGGAAGAAATGGTCATTTTCCTAGAAGGTGATTGGAGAAGAGCAAGGTGAACATTCTAGGGGAGGTTATTCCTGCCGTGAATAGAGCCACGTGCTAAAGGTGCCTGAGGGGTTGAGGTGGATCACCCCTCATCCATCCCGGGTCACTGATACAGGAGACAGGGGATGAAGCAGGTAGGAGGGTGAGGAGGAAGAGAAGTGCTGGGGACCCCGAGCTTTACTTGTAGTGATCACTGAGGGCATCATGGAGCTGCCTGGCAGAATCGAGACAGAAATTGTCTCTCCAGAGGGGAGTTGCATTCTGAAGTTAGAACAGAAGCCAAACATTGGATCTAATCAGGTACTCCTAGAAAAGTCAAGTTTTTGTGTTTGTTTTCCTAAAGATGAAACACTTTATGGGGTCCCCACCCAGTGGGGGACAGGGCAGAAGCAGTGTTACCAAAACACCAGGGGTTTGGTCTGGGTCCTGCTGCTCACATCACAGAAAGCCAATCACTGAGACGACAGTTATTGCCAAGGAAGAAGGCTTTAATCAGAAGATGTATACAATTTGAAGAGAAACCAGAGTATAGAGGAAGGCTTTAATCAGGTGCTGTAGCCAAGGAGATGGGAGATCAGTCTGAAATCCATCTCCCTGACTGAATCCTATTAGGGGTTTACATAGCAGAAATGTAGCTACATGCAGGTAAACAGGACTGATGGAAGGGGAAGGAAAAGGAATTGATCCACAGGAAGCAGGTGGTGGGTTAGGCAGTCGCGGTGGGCGAGGGCTCTGGTGTCTCATTATGCAGATGCTGAGACGTGGTGAGTTTCAGTTCCTTGATACTCTCTGGGAGGCCTGATGGTTGGTTTCCTCAGCAAGGAACTCAGATAGGAAAAATGTAACTTTCTCAACTTTCAAGACTAGGAGGGTCCACTTCTATGTTTATTCAAAGGAAACCATAAACATCAGTTCTGTGGGACTATTGGGTCTGTTTCAGTAGCAGGTGGATTACATCGAAGCCCCTGAATATAAAGCAGTTGGTTAACTATGCACAAGAATCACAGGCCGTGATGTGGGGTGTGGCAGTCAAACCAACCAAGACAGCAGGAATGATCTCTTTCCTCCCTCCACATCAACTCAGCCCAATGGGCATGGAGGTTCAAAGTCCTGTTCTAGTATGCTTTCTCTCTCCTTCTCTCTCTCAGTTAAAATGGCCCTGGTTACATATGTTTAATCATAGGATTCTCTGATGTGTTCCCAGAGCTCAGGGAAGAGTCTAAATGGTATCTTATCTACGGAGTGTTCTGCAAAAACTCTTGGAAGGGATACAGTTATCCAAAGGGATCAAACCAGCAGTAATGATGGTCACAGACCTTCGCAAGCCTTAACAAGCTTCAGCCTCGCAGACCTTAGCAAGGCCACTTCCCCAGGGGATGTAAAATCCATGCCAAGTGCCTGAGTCTCTGGCCTTGCAAGTCTTTCTAGTCTACAGTGCTTAAAGCCACTACATGCAGTTTTTCCCCGTGTTCATCTTCCAGTTACAGATTGGTTGTTCAAGAAGAAAAGTGAGATCATTTACCAAAATGGAAATAAGACAGAAAAAGCCTGGCAGCGGCCCCTCCTGGCTGCCCACTCTGCCCTCACCTCCCTGGGCTACACCCACATGCTCTCCAGGAGAGCACAGCGTGTCCAGGAGCCCACAGTTCCTGGGATAATTGCCATGCAGAGGCCCTGGCTGCTGGGCCTTTCTGAGAAGTTATTAAAAAAGAGAACACTTTGCTGGCTTCTGGGTTCAGATGGTTTATGTCAATTACATTATCTTCAGAGGAAAGAAAAGGTAATTTCACTTCAGTTTTCTGGCTTTACTGTGCTTTGATGAGTTCCAGAAATAACAGAGTCAGAACCCAAGTCTGTTAACGACTTTCAGAGACTCTCCCACGTGGCACCAAGTCCTGTCTCAGCCACCACCCACATCACTGAGTGAATGTGGGATTAACCTTCCCTGTGAGAATTTTGCTTGTTAATTTCCTGAGCCTAGGACATAAATTATTTGTATGTGAATTTAATCTTTTTTTAAAAACAGGATGAAACAAACAAAAACAAATCAAAAGGCACCTTTAGCACATGGCTCTATTCACAGCAGGAAAAATCTCCCCTAGAATGTTCACCTTGCTCTTCTCCAGTCACCTTCCAGGAACACGACCATATCTTCCCCACACGACTCCTGCTCTTCTTTCTCGCCTCGACTTTAATATCATGTCTTTATTTTTAATAGTTTCTTAAAGTTTTATTGAGGCATAATTGACAAAATTGTATGCATATAAGGTGTGCAATGCGTATTTTGGTAGATGGATATATCATGAAACCATCACCACCATCAAGCTCATTCACATCACCTGGCAAAGTTACCATTTTTATGTGTGTGTGCTACTAAGACTTAAGATATATTCTTGCAAATTTCAAGTCTACAGTACGTTATTATCAACTACAGTCACCTTGCTGTATGTTAGGTGTCCAGAACTGAGACATTGTATTCTTTGACAAATATTTTTCCATTTCTCACTCTCCACCTGCTCCTGGAAACCACCATTTTACTCTCTAACTACCATAGAATTCAGCAATCCCACTACTGAATACTTATCCCCCTAAAAATAAAATCAGCATCTCTCATGTCCATTGCAGCTTTATTCTCAATAACCAAGGTACAGATTCAATCTAAATGTCAGTGGACAGATGGACCAATAGATAAAATTATATATATATATATGTGTGTGTGTGTGTGTGTGTGTGTGTAGTGTGTTTATACATATATATATACACACACATAATATGTTACATGGCAATTTATATGTGAAGGTCTATTAGTTAAAATTAGAGTCAGCGGCTTGAATAAGATAAAAGTTCTCTCTCTCTGTTAATAAAGCAATTTTTTTTAAAAAAAATTATTTTTATTTTTTTGAGACAGAGTCTCGCTTTGTCACCCAGGCTGCAGTGCAGTGGTGCCATCTCAGCTCTCTGCAACCTCCGCCTCTGGGGTTCAAGTGATTCTCGTGCGTCAGCCTCCCGAGTAGTTGGGACTACAGGCGTATGCAACCATACCCAGCTAATTTTTGTATTTTTAGTAGAGATGGGGTTTAGCGTTGTTGGCCAGGCTGGTCTCGAACTCCTGACCTCAAGTGATCCGCCCACCTCAGCCTCCCAAAGTGCTGGAATTACAGGCGTGAGCCACCACGCCCAGCCTCATAAAGCAATTTAAAGTCAGGCATCTGAGATGGGTGGGAAGCCTTGAATGCCTCGAATGACTCAAATGACACACACACACACACATATATATAAAATTCCACATATACGTGGAATGTTATTCAGCCTTAAAAAAGAAGGCAATCCCGCCGTGACCCCGCTGGAGATTTTCCATCAGCCTTCATTGTCACCCGTTGCTTAGTTCTCTTTCTTTTTAGCTCCATTTTATTTTTATGCATTTCTAACTGTGATTCTCAATTTGCAAATTTTTATCCCCTTGGCATGAGACACAGTTGAGACTCCCCTGTTTTTCTGGCCTCTTTTTACTGCATATCTTGGGGGTTGGGCTTTTTCCACCCCAAACGGTAAACCAAGGGAGTTTCAAAGCTAACGAGAGTTCTTTTGCCTAATAGCTGCCACATTAGAAAAGTGTTTCACTGAACTAGAAGAAGGAAAATAAAATAAAATCTTGGACAAAAAGGATGGTAGAGAACAGAGATGGTGCAGCATTTGCCGGCATAAGGATCGGCAGGAGTGGCTGAGACACAGAGCGTGGTGAGTGAAGGCGGGGAGTGTGAGGAGAGTCTGGGAGGTGTTGTGTGCCCAGAGCTTTACAGGCAATTTATATGTGAAGCCCCATTCGTTAGGGTTAGAGTCAGTGCCTTGAATAAGTTAAAAATCACCTCTCTCTATAAAGCAATTTGAAGTCAGCCAGTCTGAGGCTGGTGGGGTGTCTTTAACGATGCAAAGGACCCAAACTGCTTCTATTTTTCTGTTCAGCTGACATAACTCAAAGTCAAGGTGACTTCATGACCCAAGACAGCTGCTAGTGCCCCAGTTATCACATCCATGTTCTAAGCAGCAAGAAAGAGTAGGAGGCAGGAAAACCAAATGAATTACACCCTCTCACCTGCATCTGCTCCTTTCCGGAACTTCTACATAGCTGAGTTCCTGTTATTCAATACTTGACAACAGGGCACAGGATGTTGGACACAGTGAAATCGTAGGATCGAGTTTTTTATCCTAAAGAAGAAAAGAGAGAATGAATTGTAGTAGGCAGTACCATCCACCTTCGCTTGCTGCTCTGTGTTCTGCACATCAGAGGGCTTTCTTTCCCTGGAATTTATGTGGCTATCTGACAATGGCACACACCAGCAGGAGATCAGAGAAAGGGAGAAGAATGAAGTCAATGCATTGATTTCCCTGGCATGCTCCCTGCACCATGCTCTTGCTGCAGGCTGGCTGCATCCTTCACTGGCAGCCCCAGTTCCTTTCTGGTGGCCTTCTAAGCACAGCCCTCCCTGTCTCTGTGCTCCCATGTCCTCTGCAAACCCCTGTCTCTGCAGGCTGAGAAAAGGGCACAGTGCCCTACTAGAACCAGTCCTTGGTGTTGACCTGCACGTTCCTTTGCACATAGTCTTATTTGTTAATTTTTCCCCTGATTTTCCCAACTCATGTATGTCGTCTGTTTCCTACCAGGGTCCTGGACTATGAATCAACTGTTCTTAACCGCGATGATAGGAGGGTGGAGGAACCAGATACTGCTCCCCAGGCAGGGCTGTGTATGAGGTGTTTGACCTTTGTGCTGGCTGAACCCATCAGAATACTGTTAGTGACCTGGACATCTTAGGCCAGCTACTGCATGCTGCTGACAAAGTGGGGCACTAATAATGTCACCAGCGATGTCACTGTAGCAGACAGGAATCTCAGGCCACACAATCAGGTGCCAGAAATGCACGTTTCTACTTTCCTAAGTGAATGTATTTCTACTTCAAATCCCCATTGTGCTGAGTGGTAGGAACTTGGTTTCATCTGATTCTAGGTCATCTCGTCTCAGGCAGTTCAGCGATTTCTCTGCCATTTTTCGAGGCCATATCAATTCCAAGGTCCAGGAAGAAGGGCCTCTGGTCCTCTGGTTGCACCTGTTTCTGTTGCGCCTTCTGAGATAAACGTGATCTCCCCAGCCCTTGGTAATTAATTCATGGTGATCGATGCTGCTTTGTTTCTTTGACTCTTAGCTCCAGGGCCAGCTCCGGCTGAGCTGCTCCCAGGTCACTCTGGAGCCCCAGGAAAATCCTGTAGTATAAAAATATAAAATGCATGGCCCAGGTATTGTGTTAGTAACCATAAAGTGTTTACAAAGTAACTAACATAATTTTAATTAAACTTTATTTGATATAATTATAGGTTCACATACACTCGTTGGAAATAATAAGAAGGATCTCATGTGTGCCTTACGCAATTTTCCCCAGTGGTAATGACTTGCAAAGTTACAGCATTGATGTCACAACCGTGGGATTGGTATTAATGCAGTCATGATAAATATTTCCATCCCCACAAGAATCTCTCTGTCACCCTTTTATAGCTATGCTGACTCTCTTCTTAATCCCTGGGGATTCTATTCTGAATCCGGGAGAACTCTCCTGTTCTCCCTTTCTATAACTTAGTCCATGCTCCCCAGATAATCTCCACTGGCAGCTTCCTCCTAAGCATTCTTGGACACCACCCCAGGTTATGAGGTGGTTAGGGCATTGGAATACCTCTTTATACCTTCTGAGGTTGGAAATCAGGGTGCCCGTTGGGTTTTTGAGGCATGGGTGAGTGTGGCCGCAGTTTTTTTTTGTAGTGTTTGGCTGGTGTAGAGTGACTATTGTCCCATTGTTTTGTTTTTGCCTTGCCAACTGCCCCTTTTCTAGTCTTTTGGTTACAGAGAGTGAGCTTTTGTTGGGGCTCTGTTTTTTCTTTTTTTTTTTTTTTCTTTTTTTTTATTTTTTTGAGACGGAGTCTCGCTCTGTTGCCCAGGCTGGAGTGCAGTGGTGCTATCTTGGCTCACTGCAAGCTCCGCCTCCCGGGTTCATGCCATTCTTCTGCCTCGGCCTCCCGAGTAGCTAGGACTACAGGTGCCCGCCACCACGCCCGGCTAATTTTTGGTATTTTTAGTAGAGATGGGGTTTCACCGTGTTAGCCAGGATGGTCTCGATCTCCTGACCTCGTGATCCGCCCACCTCAGCCTTCCAAAGTGCTGGGATTACAGGCGTGAGCTACCGCACCTGGCCGGGGCTCTGTTTTTTTATGTGCCCTTTGACATTTATAGCTTTTCAGCTTCTGGAATAGAGGAGGCAAAAATACAACACAGACAACTCACTCCCACAGCATTCCCTGGGCTCGCAGTTTCATAACCCCTCTACTGTTTCTCTCCACCTTTCAGACCCTCCTGGTGCTTGTGTTTTATGTCATGTTCAGTTTTCTTTTTTTTTTTTTAAGGGTCTCGCTCTGTTGCCCAGGCTGGAGTCCAGTGGTGCAATCTCAGCTGACTGCAACCTCTGCTTCTCAGGTTCAAGCGATCCTCCTGCTTCAGCCTCCTAAGTAGCTGGGATGCCAGGCACATGCCACATCGCCCTGCTCATTTTTGTATTTTTGGTAGAGATAGGGTTTTGCCATGTTGCTCAGGTTGGTGTCAAACTCCTGGGCTCAAATGCTCCTCCTGCCTTGGCCTCCCAAAGTGCTGGGATTTATTTGCACTTAGCAGAAGGAAGAGGAAATAGTTCATCTTCCTGAAAAGTCCCAATATCTATGTTTTATATGTAAATATAAATGGTAAGTAGTGGTTAGTATCTCCAAAGCCCACTCTGCCCTAATGAGCTCCTAACTGTCTGGGCAGGGGAGGGGAAGGTGGCACTCCCCACAGCAGTGCCTCTTGTGATGGACTTCTAGACCCTGGTGGCTATGACAACACCTAGGACATGGTGACTACTTGGGACTATTTACTGCATTGATGTATGAGACCTGCACAACCATGGGAATACTGCATTTGGTGTAGCTTACAAGGTAAAAAGGAGAAAGGAGACTAAAACCAGTGACTGGAAATGATTATATTACTTTAAATAAACATTTAATTTTATAACAATTTTAGCCTTACCACAAATGGAGAAGATAGTACAAACCCCACACTCAATTTGACCCTTTATTAGCATTTTAAATTAAAGTGATACGTTTATCCAAAATAATGAACAAATACCAATACAGTATCATTAACTATGGGCAGGCCATTCATTTTTTTCTCCTCTTTTAAACCTAATGACATTTTTCCTGCCAGGATTCCATCCAGAATGCCACATTTCATCTAATGGCCCCGTCTCCTTAGGCTCTTCTTTGGTGTGACAGTTTCTCAGGCTTTTCTTGAGTTTGATGACCAGTTTTGAGGCATGCTGGTCAGGTACTATAGAATGTCCCTGAATCGGGGAAAAGCCCTGAGGCTTTTTATGGTTATGGGTTTCAGAGAAAGAAGATCCCCGAAGTAGAGTGCCATTCTCATCGCATCATGTCAAAGGTGCACACTCTCACGCGGTCCGTGTGACTTATGACTGATGACTGTCGATGATGATTTGACCACCTGGTTGAAAGAGTCTTTAGTTCTCCACTGTAAAGTTACCCTTTGTTCTCAATTTCCCTACTTTACAATGGGAAAACAAGTCATTGTCAGCAAACCACACACATGGAGTAAAGAGTTATGCTTCACCTTGAGGATGCAGTGTCTGCATGACTCATTTCTCTCCTGTTCTTTTTTATTTTATTTTATTTTAGTTCTGGGATATATGTGCAGAACGTGTAGGTTTGTTACACAGGTATACAGGTACTATGGTGGTTTGCTGCACCTATCAAGCTGGCATCTAGGTTTTAAGCCCAGCATGCATTAGGTATTTGTCCTAATGCTCTCCCTCCCCTTGCTCCCCACCCTCCAACAGGCCCCAGTATGTGATGTTCTCCTCCCTGTGTCCTCATTGTTCAACTCCCACTTACGAGTGAGAACATGCGGTGTTATGTTTTCTGTTCCTGGGTTAATTTGCTGAGAATGATGGCTTCTAGCTTCATCTATGTCCCTGCAAAGGACATGCACTCATTCTTTTTTATGGCTGCATAGTATTCCATGGTGTATGTGTGCCACATTTTCTTTATCCAGTCTATCATTGATGGGCATTTGGGTTGGTTCCAAGTCTTTGCTATTGTAAATAGTGCTGCAATAAACATACGTGTGCATGTCTCTATAGTAGAATGATGTATAATCTTTTGGGTATATACCCAGTAATGGGATCTAAGGAGAATTATTTTTCCCATTTATTGGTTAATCCAATCATGTATTTATATCAGTATAAACTCATGGGCATTACTTTGTAATGTAGCTAATACTCCAATATATATTTATTTTTTTTCAAATGTTCCCAATCTTGCACATTGAGAACACGTTCGGTTGGCCCTTGTGTTCTTCCCACATGCTGCCATTGTGTGTGTGTGTGTGTGTGTGTGTGTGTGTTCATGTGTGTGAGCACTTCCTCAGCTTCTGGAACTACAAAATGCTCAAGGCTTGTCTTACTCTGTTCAGGCTGCTATAACCAAATATTATAAACTACATGGCTTATGCATGGCTGATAAATACTTATTTCTCATAGTTCCTGGAAGCTGAAAGTCCGAGACCAAGGCACTGGTAGATGTGGTGCATGGTGTGGGCTCGCTTCCCCATTCACAGATGGCCTCTTTCTTGCTGTGCCCTCACATGGAGGAAGGGGAGAGAAAGCTGTCTGCAGCCTCCTTTATAAGGTTGCTAATCTTATTCAAGAGGGCACCACCCTCATGATCTAGTCACCTCCCAAAGGCCCTACATCCTAATACCATCACCTTGGGGGTGAAGGACTCAGTGTGTGAATTTCAAGAGACCTCAAGCATTAATCTTATGGTGAGGCTCATCTTCTGTGTTTCCTTCACCAGTCCTAGAGTTTGCCATTTCTCCAAGGACCCTTGGCTTTTTTTAATTGAAGAGCAGTGTTAAGAAAGTCAAGATCTTGGTGCTAGGTGTGCTCATTGTGGCTAAATACAAATAACTGGCTAGTTTCCTACCAGCAAAGAGAGGAAAGCGATAGAAAAATGATTCATAGCTTTGAAGGTAACCACAGAAAACTGATATTTAAAGAATAACCTCCTTTTGTTAGGTACATACACATTTAGGATTATCACGTCTTCTTGAAGAATGGACACAATCACTACGTAACATGCTTCTTTATCACTGATAATCATCCTTGTTGTGAAGCCTGCTTCATCTGAAACTAATATAGCTAGAACAGTTTTCTTTTGATTCATGTTAGCATGTTGTATCTTTCTCATTTCTTTACTTTTAACCTGAGTCTTCCTGTTTAAAGTGGGTTACTTGTAATCAAGATATAGCTGGGTCTTGTTTTTACTTTATCCACTCTCATGAATTTTGTCATTTAATAAATACGTTGAGATCATTCACATTTAAAGTGAGTTTCGACACCACTGGATAAATATAAACCATCATTTTAACCATTTTCTATACATGGGATTTGTTCCTTGTTTCCTCTCCTGTTTTTTGCCTTTTCTTGTTTTAACTTTGCATTGTATTTGATTCCATTTTATCTCCTCTGAGTTATACTTAAAAAAAATTTGTAATGGTTCCCCTGGAGTTTACAATATACATCTTAACTAATCTAAATTCACTTTCAAATTACATTCTACCACTTCCTATATTATGCAAGTACCTTATAACAGACTATTCCCAATTCCTCCGTCCTACCCTTCAGCAAGCTGATGTTACTCATTTTCGCTGTTTACATCCTGTAATCGACCATTACAGTGTTACTACTATTAGTTTAAACTGTTATATTTTCAATCAATTAATAATATGAAAAATAATATTTTATTTTCCCTTCCCGTATGCCTCCTCTAATATGCTTTATTTTTCTATGTAGTTCCCAGTGTCTGCCTTATACCATTTTCCTTCTGACTGAGCCAAGTGTTTTCACATTTCTTGCAGGGAAGATGTGCCAACGATGAATTTCCTCAAGTTTTTGTTTGTCTGATAATGTCTTTATTTCTCTTTCACTGTTGAAAAATTCTTTCACTGGACATAGAAGTCTGCATTGATGATTTTTTACTTTCATACCAACCTCTTCTTTCTTGCATGGCGTCTGATGAGAAGTCTACTTTAACTATTTTTCTTGTATTTCCATAGGTAAGGTAAGATACCCAACCTCCCACTTGGGCTTCTTTCAAAGATATTTATTTAATTTTTAGTTTTCTGCAATTCAAATACAGTTTGTCTATTTTACGTATGTATGCATGCATGTGTATACATGTATGTATGTATATACATGTATGTATGTATGTATATATTATTCTACTTGGTGTTTTTCTGAGGTTCCTGGATGTCTGATTTGGTGCCTGTCATAAAATTTGGAACGTTCTAAGCCATTTTTACTTCAAATATTTCTTTTGCTCCACTATTCCTTTCACACCCTCCTGGTATCCCAATTATACAGATGTTACAATTTTTGAAATAGTTGCACAATTCCTGAATGTACTGGGGTTCTTTGTTGTTTTTGTTTTAATATTGTTCTTTTTCCACATTAATTTTTGATATTTCTTGACTTATTTTCAAGCTCAATGATTTTTTCCTTGGTCATATGAACTCTGCTGGCAAGACCAGTCCAGAAATTGTTCATTTCTGCTATAGTGTTTTTGATTTCTAGCATTTTCTTCTGCTTATTTATTTCCTTCTTTCTGCTTATACGACGCATCTATTTCTGTTTGTTGTCCACATTTTCTCTTAGAGTCCTTAATGCATTCATCATAGTTATTTGATACTATCTGTCTGATTACTCCAACATGTGTTACATATTCGAGTCTTGTTCCGATGAGTTTTTTTTCTCTTCAGACTATGTTTCCGTTACCTTTTGTCATACCTTGTAAATTTTTGTTGCATTGAATACTAGGAACTGAGGAAAAGAAGGCTTTATTGTGATGACAATTTATGTCAGTCTGGTTAGGTGTTGGACCATGTTAAATGTTTGTCGTAACTCTGTGTACCAGAGGCTGTACATTCTTCACTGTTCTTACTTCTGTCTCCTCTTCACCCTAGGTCTTCCTAAACATTCCATCTCATAAAAGGTTTGTGGCTTGCAGCTCTTTCAGCTGCAATGCATTGCTGTTGTACTGGAGCCCTGTAAGCGTGCTGATAGGCTGTGCAGGGGAATCCTTCTATCATCTTCCAATTAAATTTCCATCTTTTAGTGGTCCCGTGTCCCCAGGCTGTAACATTGATGAGTAGTTCTTCAAGCCTGTGGCTATTGATTTCACCCTGCCCTCTGCTCCCTTTCATGACCTGCAGAGTTTCCAATCTATTTCTATGAAGACCTGTCCCTTTGATGACTATGCATTTTTCTCCTCCTAGGTGAATCAGGAAGAGATGTGCTGTGGTGGGAGAAACATCTTTCCCCAGGTGGGATAAAGCTCTCATAATCTTTTTATCTGGAGAATAGCCCTTTGTTGTGGAGATAGCTCTAGGCTTATTTCACAATGATTACTCTTCCTCTTGTCCTGCTGCGGCCATAAGCAGGTCTTTTTTGAATGCTCACAATGGCAATCTAGTGGGGTTCTTTGGAGATAAAGCCCATGAAAGTGTGGGGTCTCCTAAAACCGTGACCCCCAGGAGTTTCTCACTCTCCTCCTAGTCAACATCCAGATTCCCCCCAGTTCATCAAAATCCCCACTAAACTGGCTGGGTGTAGTGTCTCACGCCTGTAATCTCAGCACTTTGGGAGGCCGAGGAGGGTGAATCACTTAAGGTTAGGAGTTCGAAACCAGCCTGGCCAATGTGGTGAAATCCAGTCTCTACCAAAAAAAATTCAAAAATTAGCCAGGCATGGTGGCATGCACCTGCAGTCCCAGCTACTCAGGAGGCTGAGGAGGGAGAATTGCCTAAACCTGGGAGATGGAGGCTGCAGTGAGCTAGGACCACATCACTGCACTCCAGCCTGGGTGACAGAGTGAGGCCCGGGCTCAGAAAAACCAAAACCAAAAACAAAAAACCCTCTGAACTGAACCTACCAGTTTATGGTTTCAGGGGCTTCTGCTCCAGGTGGGAAGATCTTGGCTGTGGCTCTCTCGATTTACCT
The DNA here is from genome assembly GCF_000001405.40 of Homo sapiens. Lineage (NCBI taxonomy): Eukaryota > Metazoa > Chordata > Mammalia > Primates > Hominidae > Homo > Homo sapiens. Next base: position 127,812,600 of record NC_000012.12, on the reverse strand, counting down.
GTGTCTCCAGATTTTGGAATTGCAGTTTGCTTGGAAATCTCAGCTCTCAGATGGGTCTAAGAATAGTGACTGATTTTCAGTTTTCCTAGCTTTGCTTTGTTGTAAGGATAGGAGTCATGATTTCCAAGCTCTTTACATGTTGGAACTGAAACAGAAGTCCCCTTCCATTATGTTTTGAAAGATGTTTTGAAAGATGGGCTTTAACATCCAAATGTAACCTGAAGTTGATTCAAGGAGCAGCTGCTTTATGGTGCAGGGAATCCCGGATCCCCTATGTACAGAGCACGGTCTGAGGCATCACATTTCAGGAAAACGTGGAAAGTGGCAAGTGAAGGGATGGGAGGGGCGGAGGGAGGGGCCCGTTCAGCAGCTGCTTGAAGACTCTGCTTCTTTCCCTCTTGACTGGGGCAAACGAAGCTGCCAGAATCACGTCATTCCTAAGATGACTTCCCTGCTGCTTCACTTCAGGATGATGATGTGGGCTAGTTCTGTCAACTGAAAGATCCTAGCTGGAGCAATTACCATGCTTTCAGCAGCAGGCAGTTGGAAACTCTGACTCAGGGTCATTTAAATAATGGGAGAATTCTCTTTTTTTCCACACATGAAGAGCTGTTAAGATCTAGGGAAGACTACAAAGTTGGTTGATTGAGGAGCTAATCAATGTCATTACGGATCCAGGTTTTTTCCATCTGCTCTCCTGCCTGTAGCAAAGTTTCCAATCAAATTCTAGTTCCCCTACTCCTTCCTTGAAAGATGATTTCTAAAACAAACAGAGCTATGGCTTTTCTTATTCTCTCTCTCTCTCTCTCTCTCTCTCTCTCACACACACACACACACACACACACACACACAGAGAGAGAGAGAGAGAGAGAGAGAGAGATGCACCTACAACCTCACTGCAGTTATACACTGTAGGTTGACCCAAGCAGGATGAAGGCAACTGACTCCATCCTCAGCTCAAGGAATAGGGCTTTAATTGTATATGAATTGTCATTGCCAAGGCAAATGCTCTTGGTGCAAGAATGAACCCATGACCTAGGGTGACCCAAGCAGGATGAAAACAAGGGCTAAGAAGGCAACCAAGCAAACACTGATGGTGTTTCTTAATAACTGGTGTGTTCTTGAGAAGCACCTAGGTGAACTGGTGTCAACCTAGGTCATGGGTTCATACTTGCCCCAATAGCATTTGCCTTGGGAATGAGAAGTCATATACAGTTAAAGCACTATTCCTTGACCTGAGGATAAAGTCAGTTTTTCCTAAAGCCTCTAAGGAGTACACCTGAATAAAATCAGAGCTGTATTAGGAAGAAAAGGGATTCCGATGCGGGGCAGGCACCTAACCGTGCCCACTAGAGTTTGCAAGCCTGGCCCACTGGCTGGTCCCCAGAAGGTGCTCAGTAGTTAGAAGGTAAAAGAATGAGTCCATTTCTCAAAACCCCATTCCCATTCCCATCACTTTCCCCTGCTGTGGTCTGCCCACTCTGTAGTCCATCATTCTGGGGCCACGGTCACTGGGCTGTCTACTCATGTTCCCCTGATGGTCCACTATGAAGAGACCCCCCAGCCGCCTCATCAAGCTACAGGAAGACTCATTCATGGTACAGGAGAGGAGGCAGAAGGTGGACATATTCCCCATACTACTGAAAACACATCCAGATCTTAGCCCCTACTGCAGTTTCCATGGCCCAACGTCTAGATTAGAGAAATGCCACATTTCCAGAATGATTTCCAGAAAGGAGTGGATTCTTTCCTGTGATGGTTAATGCTGAGTGTCAACTTGATTGGATTGAAGGATGTAAAGTATTGTTCCTGGGTGTGTCTGTGAGGGGTGTTGCCAAAGGAGATTAACATCTGAGTCAGTGGACCGGGAAAGGCAGACCCACCCTCAATGTGGGTGGGCACCGTCTAATCAGCTGCCAGTGTGGCTAGAATAAAGCAGACAGAAGAATGTGGATAGACTAGACTTGCTGAGTCCTCTGGCCTCCATCTTTCTCCCATGCTGGATGCTTCCTGTCCTTGAACGTGGGACTCCAAGTTCTTCAGCTTTGGGATTCTTGGACCTTTGACCACAGACTGAAGGCTGCACAGTCAGCTTCCCTGCTGTTGAGGTTTTGGGGACTCGGACTGGCTTCCTGGCTCCTCAGCTTGGAGACAGCCTATTGTGGGACTTCACCTTGTGATCGTGTGAGTCAATACTCCTCAATAAACTTCCCTTTTTATATATATCTATCCTATTAGTTCTGTCCCCCTAGAGAACGCTGACTAATATGTTTCCTGACTCTGAAATTCATTCCAGACCCACATAACTACCACAAATTATCTTCCAGAAGGGGCAGGCTTCTGTGGTTACAGCTGTCTCTGACAGCTATTCCCTGACAACAGTGGGGATTACTCATGAATGAGGCAAGCACAGCCTTTAAACCCCATAATAATGACAAATCAGAAGAGAGCAACCAAGCAAACCCTGATGTTGTTTCTTAATAATATGCATTTGTAGTGAGACTAGTATGACTGTGTGTGTGTTAGAATACACGGGGTTTGATTATACGTTAAGGCATATTACACTTTCCAGTTTTACCCATTATAAAAATTTGGACACAAGTTCAATCTGTAATAATCATAACTTTTAAATACCAATATTTATGCCAGAGCTAATATCCATGTTCAAATAATCAAGGATTATAAATATATTACTAAGACCTGTGAAAAATCATTTTATGTTATATGTCTGAATAATTGGAAAGCAGGAATTTTTATTTTTCTTTTGAAGTAAGAAAAATATACCTTAAAGTTATTTCTTTTAAACTATTCTAATCGTCTTGCAACATTTATTAGAAATATCTGTTCCTATCATCAAAGATCATTCTTGGAGGGTTTATGCTCCCAGCTCAAATATTTATAGGTTTCAGGCTTGAGATGACTTATTTCTATTTGCTTTTAATTTCCTTATGCAATGTTTCAAATGTACCACAAGTCATTATGAATGGTTTGGAGCTGAATTATGTAGAGCTGCCACATTACTTTTGATTGCTTGCATTTGATGAGGTTATTAAAACAGCAGAAAAATAAATTACCATAGCAACAAAAACATAAATTCATAGCCTGTTTCATAATCTTAGGCCTGAAAATAATGGCACAGCTCTTAACAGCTCAGGCATGATGTAATGCAAACACTTAGCTGAGTCATGCAGGATCCAGAAATCCATCACAGTTCACTGGTATTGAATTTTTGAAAAAGTCAGCCTTGCAACCTTGAGCCTGGGCCATTTCTTTCTAACTTCGGAAGGCCTGTGGTTGTGCACAGTAAACTCACCTCCATGCCATGTCCATGGGCCTGTCATTAACAAGGCCTTGCTGAGAGTCATTTGTATGGCCAAGAAAAATCACCACCTTAGAAAAGCATATTCTCTTCTACTTAAACATTTTATGTTTCACCCATAGGCAATGACATCTTTGTCCTCAAAGTGATATACACATATCAGTAGGAGGGGAAAACAAGACAATTTTTAAAAGAAGGGGGATAGAAGTGTAACAAGTTTCATAAATAAAATATATGCCTAGAAATTATGTAAGACATCAGTATATTACAGGTTATCTTGTCTTTGATTGATAGGCTATGTAATTTGCTTGTGGCTTCATTTGATAAATGCCCAGAGATAAAAATGAAAGGGGGCACCTGTGTCTTTACATGGTATTTTATTAGCAGCTGGACTGTTACCACAAAAGTAAGTGTATTTTTATAAAGCATACTGTGCTGGCCTGGGAGGCAGCAGAGAAACTTAGGAAGAGACAGTTTGATCCCGATTCTTTTCTCTGGCTCTAGAATTAGCTCTGGATTCAGTCTCTCCATTGGTGGTTCTGGACAGAGTTAACGTTAGGCAGTATCATTTGAATAGGTACAACTCTTTCCCAGAACTTATTCCACATCAGCATTTAAACTAATTTAATTTTATATTTTGATACTTGGGAACCAGGAAGATTAATACAATGTTAGAGACTCATGATCCTAAAATACATAAACTATCTTGAATCTTAATGGCATGATGTAAAGAAAAAGTCAAAGTAAGATAGCCATATTCTTCATCATCCTTAGGAGAAAAATTATCATGTGATATGCTGTGTAAAGAGTTCATTCATGCATTCAATAAATAGTCAATAAATATGAACTCATTCATTCAATAAAGAATACATTTATTGAATACCTACTCAACTGACAACAGTCTTGTAGGCACCAGGACACAGGCATGAGTCAAGTGGACAAAGGCCCAGCTCTCATAGTGCGGACATCCTGGCGGGGCCTCAGGGTGGGGAAAGTGATGGCAGGGGCGGGGAGAGCAATTAGGAGGCAAGGACAATAGTCCTGGCAAGAGATAGGAGGGTGACTGGGACAAGGCGATGAGCTGAAGATGTGGGCAATGCATTTCTAAGTCTATTTTGAAGGCAAAGCAATGGCATGTTCTGATGAACCAGATGCATGTTATACGATATGGAGAGGAGCCAAGGATGAACCAGAGGGTTTTAGACTGACTTGATGAATGAATGAGGGAGCATGAGTGAGAGGAGGGACCTTGCGAGGAGCAGATGGAAGGATGGGTACTCATTTGGGGCATGTTTTATTTGAAAAACATCTTAGTTAAGTCGGTAGAGATGCCCAGTAGGGATTTATCTTGTGGAGTCTGGAGTTAAGAAGAGAGACCCAAGCTGGACATATCTGGTGGCTGATTGTTAATGTATATATGTGGGTGTGTGTGTGTGTGTGTGTGTGTGTAGTCATATATATGTATATAATATGAATATGTATACGTACTCATATTCATATTATATATAATATGATATATATTTATCTTATATAAATATGAATTTAAAATTTATATTATATATGCATGTAAGTGTATATATGTATATATAACATGAACTCTAAATTCTTTTTTTTTTTGTTTTTTTTGAGATGGAGTCTCGCTCTGTCACCCAGGCTGGAGTGCAGTGGCGTGATCTCGGCTCACTGCAACTCTGCCTCCTGGGTTCATGCCATTCTCCTGCCTCAGCCTCCCGAGTAGCTGGGACTACAAAATTCATATTTTATATATCATAAAATATGTATATATTTATATACACATATATAAGCATATTCATGAATTAAATATATACATATATAAAATATGAATTATATACATTCATTGATATATATGAGTATATATATCCAATTATATATATATCCATGAATACATATGGATATATATAATTATATATAATATTTTTATAATTTATATTATGCAATATATAATATAAATGAATTATATTTTCTTGTATTACATATGGATACTATTACATAATATATGCATATATAATTCCTATTATATTATGTATTATTATATAATATGACTTTAGAGTTAATAGAGACTATGTACAGAACCTGATCCCTGTAGCACTCCTAAATTAAAACATTGAAAGCTGAGGATAAAATCACAGACCTGAAGGTCTACTTCAGTTGTTGTGTAATTAGAGTAGAGAAGAAAATTAAAAGGGAGCATCGTCCTGAAAACCGAGCAAACAGGGTTCCTCCACGAAGGAGAAAGTCATCAACGGAGCCAAGCGCTGGGAGCTGGAGTGAACTGAGAGCTCATGATTTGGACATGGGGGCTTCTACGCCCTTCACAGCACCTGGCCAGGAGCATCAGACATTGGAAACTGCCCTGCTTTGACAGAGCTACTAAATAACCATTTTTAATGTGAGCTATCAACCTCCGCAACCAAAACTAAACAAGAATGCCAAAGGGAAAAAACAAGTATTAACATCTCAGTGTGATCCATGAATGCTCCATGTATATACTGGCATCCCGTTTGAGAACATAACATATTTTAGCAATATGCAAGTGTGATGTGGACATTTTTCCTGAGTATTAACCTATGTCTGGGTTTCAATCCCAGCTCTTCCACCTGCTTACTCTTTGAACTTGGGCAGGTAATTTAAACTCTCCAAACCTTTTATTTATTCCACTATACTTGGACCATAAGAACAGTCCTTGAATGTGGGAATTTTGTGGGGAAAAGTGAGTTAATGTATGAGAAATGATATGATATATTGTGGTATTAAGCACTCAGTGAGTGCTAGCTTCAGTTGTTATTACTATTATCATTTTCACTTAATAATAATAATATTTATTTATTTATTTATTTATTTTTGAGACAAGGTCCTGCTCTGTTGCCCAGGCTGGAGTACAGTGGTGCAATCGTAGCTCACTGCGGCCTTAAACTCCTGGGCTCATGCGATCCTCCCACCTCAGCCCCTCAAGTAGCTGGGACTACAGGAACATGCCACCATGCCTGTTTAATTTTTTTTATTTTTTATTTTTTGTAGAGACAGAGTCCCTCTGTGTTGCCCCAAGCTAGTCTCAAACTCCTGGGCTCAAGTGATTCTCCCACCTTGACCTCCTAAACACGGGGATTACAGGCATAAGACACTGTGCCTGGCCCAATTATTATTATTTATCAATGCATTTAGATGACCTGGTGAGGTTATTGATTGGTCACAATAGTGAATACAATACTGGGAACTGAATTTATCAGGCTTAGCTTTGTTACCAGCATTTCAGCTTGTTCTACACACCAGGGATCATAAGTCATAGCTCTCCTTGAGGGTCTATTTACCATTTTAGGAATTGCATATGAAAAGACAATTGCAAGCCCCCCATACGCTCTTCCTACTTTCTCTCTTACATCATCAGGCATCCACTCTGGCCACCAAAGGCATAACACGAACAGAGAGCCACGGGGCTCTCTGCCTGCACTGGGCTGGCTGAAGAAAGAGCAGATGGAAACCAATAGGGTCCACATCTCCCCAGGGACTTGCTGAAACTGTTGGCTGCTGCTCACCCTCAGTAGGACCCCTACAGACTCTAAGTTCCTCTATGGCCATGTTTTATTGCCTGGGGAAAGCACAAAATGAGAAGATGAGGAGAAGGGCACGGAGAAAAGCTGCTGCCTTTTTTCATTCTACCCTTTCTCACTCCTTATCCTCTTCTCCTGTCATTGTCCTTTTCTGGGAGCTTTGTTTATGAGACAGAAGAAGGAAAGGAGAAGAAACAGAAGGCAGAAAACGGCAGTCTATTATGCCATGGAAAAGAGGTTTTAGGGTTGGGCTCTAGGGTTGACCTATTTTATTTATTATTATTATTTTTTAATTTTTATTTTTTATTTATTTATTTTTTTGGAGACTGAGTCTCTCTCTGTCACCCAGGCCAGAGTGCAGTGGTGCTATCTTGGCTCACTGCAACCTCTGCCTCCAGGGTTCAAGTGATTCTCCTGCCTCAGCCTCTCAAGTAACTGGGATTACAGGTGCCTATCACCATGCCTGGCTAAAATTTTTTTTTTTTTTTTTTTGTATTTTTAGTAGAGGCAGGGTTTTGCCACGTTGCCCAGGCTGGTCTTGAACTCCTGAGCTCAGGCAAACTGCCCACCTCAGCCTCCCAAAGTGCTGGGATAACAGGTGTGAGCCACCATGCCCGGCCTGACCTGTTTTAGTGCAAACCAGGCTCCAGTCCTTTTTCATTTTGTGAATGTGGGGAAATTATTCCTCCTCAATTTGTCTCAGTCTTCTTATCTATAAAATGGTATCGATGAAAAGATTAAATGTGTGCGGACAGGATCAGTGGTAGAACATGACCTGGCATAGCCTTGGAGCACCATCTGTCCACTGTGGACTTGAATGAACAGGCACCTACCAACTGTGAGACACCTTTGTGCAGATTGCTTATACGAATAGGGAGTGTTCACCTGCTTGTGCCACGAACTGCATGTTGGGAGTCCTAGCACGGGCACAGCAGTCAGCTTACCCTTGTGTCAGTGGCGGTCCATGTTACCTTTTAGCCCCACCACCAAACCCACAAAATGAATGTCTATTTTATGAATACAGAGGCTGAGCTGAGAAAGAAAGATGGATAACATTGTATTTGAAAGCTTTGGACCAGGGTTCAAATTCTGCCATTCACAGGCTATGTGATCACAGGCAGTTTACTTGACAACTCTGAGCCTCCATTTTCCCTTTTGCAACATGTAGCTTGTTGTGCCACAGTGAGGATTAAATGAAAAAATGCATGTGAAAGCTCAGTCTAGATTCTGGGACACATCAATGCCTAATTATTCTCAGTGATGATTATCCCTGATCGAAACATGCTTTTAGAGCAAGTCTTCACCCCACTTCATTCATTGACTCTTTGGTAGGTGGGCTGGGGACCCAGGAGGTCTGGTTTTAGAAAGGAGGGGTCCAGAGTAAGGAGGCTTTAGACACTCATCAGAAAGTTGAGAGAAGGTAAAAATCCCATCAGCTGTTAATACGTATGAATGGACATTGTTCAGCAGGCACTGTATAGAATATGTATTAATGGATATTTTCCCCAAAAATGATAAAATTCTGACCTCCATAGAGATGTAAAATAAGTGTATTGTTTCACTCATTCATAAAGGACCAGAGAAGTTGTTAAATGAAGAATCCAGTGAGCAGTTCAAAGGAAAAGTCAAATAAAGCCACACTTACATGAAATGACATTATATTGAAATGAATTTACAAACAGATATGAAACTGACTTTGTCGATGGGGGAGAAAGAAGTTAATTGAATCTCCACTGGAAAGAATTTATTTTCTTATCTACAAAAAAATGAAAATAATAATTTGGCATCATTATCAGTTATCTACAATTTACAGATTATAAAACAGCTCAAAGGCAAAGTTGCATCAGAATCAGATAATCAGGATGATCTTACTAAGCCAGAAGTTGGCAAACTAAGGGCACCAGGCCACATCCAGCCTCTCCAGGTTTTGCACATAAAGGTTTATTGGAACACAGCCATGCTCATTTGTGTATTCATTGTCTCTGGCTGCCTTCACACACGATGCAGAGTTGGGGAGCTGTGTACAAGACTGTGCCATCTCCAAAGCCTGGAGTGTTTACTCCCTGGTTCTTTCTGGAAAGTGGGTGCTGACTACTGCTCTAAACAATGCATGGTTTTCCACGGAAGCACTTTCTTTTTTCTACAAAGGGAAAAGGGAAGGACCGATTAGAAGGAAAAGATGAAACCACATGGTGAGTTGATGGGGCCAAGTGCTATTTCCTCTAAGACAACCAAATGCATCTCAGGGTCCTGGAGGCACAGGGCAAAGCATGTCTTCTGGAGCAGCCACTTTGCTTTTCATGCAAATATCAAATATGCAGTTTGAAAAAGGTCCCCAGGGACTTTACTGCAAATAAAAGCCGTAGACGGGGCTGTCAGGCTGGGCTCCCTCTAGGAGAAAGCCTTGATGCTTTAGAGTCCGTGATGAGCTTTCACACATGAAGGCGGCACCGACACGGGTTGACCATCGAAGGCCAAGTCTCAGTTGTCCTGGACGTTTGCCTTTGATCTGGCACAGGAAGGGGCTTTAACTCTCCAGCCTCCCCACCCTGCAGGATTTCACATGGTGCCAATTCTCCTCACCTTGAGTTTTGTTAGAAAGCCAATAACAAGAATTCACTCTGTTCTTAGCATGAGTATTGGCTGGATTCACAATGCCCCTTTTTGGGAGGAAAATAAAATAGATTTGAACTTGAGAACACAACAGAGCGACCATTTCTCAAAAGTCGACCTTACACGTCAAAGTGAACATACTTCAGGCCACTCAACTATACACTGAAATGTAGTTAAAATGGTAAATTTTATATTACCATTACCATTATTAATTATATTAATGTGGTATATTTTACCATAATAAAAGCATTAAAAAATAAACCTGTGTCCTTAAGTCATAATGTGAAATAGTATGAATCAGTGACAAATATAAGTCAATTGAGTTATAAACTCTTTACCTTAAGATCTAGGGACAGTAATATTTTTCAAAAAATCTTCCATTACTGAGGACATATTGTAAGAAAATTGCGTTTTTGAGATGTTATATTTGAAGGGTTGCTGTTACAGGTATTATTTTGGTTACCCTTTTGGAAGGGGTATGATGAATTAATTAAATTCCACATTCGGAGGGGAAAAAAAAGAGCATTCAGAGACTCAGTCATGTTGGCGTGGGTCATGAGAGCTGAGATTGTCTTGGGTCACAGAGGCCTTTACCTCCCAGGGAATGAATATTCTCCCTTTGGCCGGAAACTGGTTTGGTAATTAAATGCTCACCCCATCTGCTCACAGCTTTAAAAGAAAAATAAAAAGGCTCGGTCTCAGACAGGAACCTTTCTAAGAGCTAGTCCGATTAATACAGCAGGAGCGATGAGAAACCCAAAATTCTAGGAGCCAAAGCAGGGAGACACCCATGGTCAAACCTGCCAACTGGACAGCAAGATTCTATCTTGTCCATGGAAACAAATATCAGTTTTTTTTTTTTTTTTTTTTTTTTTTTTTTTTTGAGGGGGAGTCTTGCTCTGTTGCCCAGGCTGGAGTGCAGTGGCGTGATCTCGGCTCACTGCAAGCTCCGCCTCCCGGGTTCAGGCCATTCTCCTGCCTCAGCCTCCTGAGTAGCTGGGACTACAGGCGCCCGCCACCACGCCTGGCTAATTTGTTGTATTTTTAGTAGAGACGGGGTTTCACCATATTAGCCAGGATGGTCTCGATCTCCTGACCTCGTGATCCACCCACCTCGGCCTCCCAAAGTGCTGGGATTACAGGCGTGAGCCACCGTGCCTGGCCCAAATATCAGTTATTGTCAACTTACAGATTATAAAAGAGCTCAAAGGTCATGGACAAACACTTTTCAATAAGATCAAGGGCTCTCAATTCAATGAAAAACAGTATTACAATAGTTACATAGGAAGAAGGAAAAAATGAGCAGTGAGGAAACTGTTAAAAAATAGCAGGTTTTTTGTTTTGTTTTTGTCTTTCGGATGCATGTCTCACTTCTCGTTATACATAACACCCCTACTTACTTTGGGAAATTATCCACCCCTATAGCATGTGGTTCATCAAGATGTCCTGGCCTGCTAGCTCAGTGTATCATCCATCTGCAGTCAACAGAATGCTCCCTTTGTGGAAGTATAATGTTGAACAAAGTGAAAAAACACTAAAGATATTTGGAACCTAATCATTTGTCAATGTCTCCTTGAAGATACAGTCAGATCTTTCTTCATTCCTAGGCCCTGTCAACGAAATAGCCAAACTCTAAAATACTTGAAGAGATTTATCCTGAGCCAAATGTGAGGACCCTAACCCATGACACAACCCCAGGTCCTGAGAACATGTACCCAAGGAGGTTGGATGACAGCTTGGTTTTATACATTTTACGGAGACGTAAGACATTGATCAGTACATGGAAGGTGTACATGGAAGGTATACGTGGTCCGGAAAGGTGTGACAACTGGAAGCAGGTAGGCTACAGGTCATAGGTGGATTCAAAGATTTTCTGATTGGCAATTGGTTGAAAGAGTTGCTATTACCTAAAGACCTGGAATCAGTAGAAAGGAGCGTCTGGGTGAAATAAGGGTTGTGGAAACCAGGTTTTTATTATGTAGATGGAGCCTTATAGATGGCCACCCTTAGAGGCAAATATTTCCTATTCAGTCCTTTAAAAGCTGTTAGGCTCTCAGTTTTAATCTCTTCAGGATCAGAAAAAGACCTGGAAAGAAAAGAGGATTCTCTATAGAATGTAGATTTTCCCCACAAGAGATAGAGTTACAGGAGCATTTTAAAATATGTCAAATAAATATTTTGGGGTAAAATACTTCAGTTTATTTCAATGCCTACTGTCTGTCATATGATGCTATACTAGAGTCAGGTTGGAATCTGGCATCTTATTGCTACAAAGAGTCTGTTCTGGCAGACTTAGGAACTTCGTTTTAATGTTAATGCTGGTCATTTGCGCCTGGACTTCAAAGGAAGGCCAATATAATAAAGCCTGTCCCACCACCCCTTCCCATCATGGCATGACCTACATAATCAGGTTTCTTTTTAATCCCCTGGTCGGAGAGGAGGGATCCATTCAATTGGCTGAGGGAGCTTAGAATTTTATTTTTGGTTTACAACTCCTAATGATTCCTGTACTAAGTTCCTTCTCTGGTCTTCTTCAGGGTCATCTTTGCACCAAAAATGCCTCATCCCTCAAATCTTCCACCTTCAGTGAAACCTCCCTGGCGTTTGAGCCCAGCTCTCTGCAAGGGGCACCACCTTTATAGATTTTTCTTCTCTCCTTCCTGTCTCCAGCATCTCAGCTCTGACATCACACATGGCTCACTACGTTAGTGATAGGAAATTGCCCAGCTTTGGCTTGTTTAGTGATGGAATCTTACAGATGATAACAATATATCCTCATTTGTCTTTCAACATGCCAGTTTCCTTCCCTTTCTGGGTTTCCTAGTGTTGCTGAGCAAGTGGGCTTGGTGTTGGATGCACATAGAAGCCAACGCTATGGCACTGGCTTTTGAAAACAGACAAGCTTTATTGCGAGGCCAACAGCAAGGAGACAGGAGATGCAGCTCAAACCTGTCTCTCTGATTTGGAGTCTAGGGCAAATTTTAAGGAGCTGGGAGGCAAGGGAAAAGATTTAGGAATGTTATCGTTTCTGATTGCAGAGCTTTTTTTATTATTCATCCATCTCCTTTGGTTTTATGTCTTCTATTTCCTTGATCCTTATTAACATCACCTTGTTTACTCCTTCTGCACAGGCTGTGTGTGAGTCCTTCTCTCTACAGTGCACTGTTGATGCGTAAAATTACAGAGTTTCGAATTTGACCATTTGTAGTCAAGGTATGTTGAAGTGGACTTTAGCTTCTGATCTGGGCCAACAGTCCCCTTGCCTTTGGAAGGGTTCAGGTTCCAATCACATCCAATATTCTTGGTGCCCCAGGGAGGAATTATTAGTTGCAGGTATTGTTAGAGGACAAACTTTTCTCTATTGCGCATGCCTGGGCTTCAGGACTTGCAGTTTTGGCTTTGTTACCTACAAAGTAACTTGACATTCTGTGATCAACAGAGTAGGCCCAGTTTGGGCTGGTCCTGCAGGTACACTAGTGTGTGCAGCTGCTACACTCTCACGTCCCCCGTCTCCTCCAGCTCCCTGTGTTCAAAAGTCAGCCTGCCCTTGGAATGATTCTATAATCACAAGTTTCTGGAGCTCCTGGGCACTTAGCTGCATCCATGTAAATACACGTGCTGTGTAAAATGTCTCCCTCCTGTGAGGAGTGAGCCTGCAGTTTTCTATGCCTATGTGAGTAGAGGGGTGGATACACTGAATTTTGAGTAAACCAGAGTTTTTAAAACTCTCTCAAAAAAACAGAAAAAGAGAAGCCTCTCTGGAGGGACAATGAGCAGTGTAGAGAGAAGGACTCATACACAGTCTGTGCAGAAGGACTGGCTACTCCAGAGGACACAGTGTTTCTTCTGTATAAAAGCAACCTCCTCTCCCAGGACAGGGAGCCTTTATACATAAAAGAGGTGCAAACCAGATATAAGGTAGCAAGAGTAAACAGAGGTGATTTTAATAAAGATCAAGGAAATAGAAGACATAAAACTAAAGGAGATGGATGAATATTAAAACAGTTACATAGGAAGAGGAAAACAGTGGGCAGTCAGGAAGTTGTAGAATACATAAAGCAGCTTTCTCTTGTCTTGAGCACGTTCATACAGTTAGAGAAAACACACACTTTTACAAGCACTTTGTAAAACAGTTTGGCAATTTCTTAAGAGGTAACCATGCACCTACTCGTTGATCTAGCCGTAACACTCTTAAGTCTTTGTTCAAGAGAGGTAAAGCCTATGTCTTTATAAAGTTTCATGCGCCGATATTCATAAAAGCTCCTTAGGTAATAGTCAAACCCGAGTGTCCACCAACAAGTGAATTGATAAAAAAATTATGGTGCATCCATACATTATAAACACTTAGTAATAAAAGGGAATAAATTACTGATATTCAAAACAACAGAGGTGAATCTCAAAATAATTATACTGAGTGAAAAAAGGCTGCCAGAAAATATTACTTGTTATATGGATTAGTTGGAGTTCTCTAAAGCAACAGAACCAAAAAGGTATGTGTACACACACACACACACACACACACAAAGTGAGACAGAAAGAGGAGAGAAAGCTTATCAGGAATTGGGTCATGTGATTATGGAGACTGGCAAGTCCAAATTTGTAGAGCTGTTGTTCCAAGTTGAAGGCTGACAGGTAGATGAATCCTTTTGTTACTAGAGGGAGGATCAGAATTTTCTTTCATCCCAACCCTCAACTGACTAGATAAGGTTCACACACATTATAAAAGGCAATTTGCTGTATTCTGTCTACCATTTTAAATATAAATTTCTTCTCAAAACACTCTCACAGACACACCCAGAGTAATGTTTGAACAACTCTCTGGACATCTCATGACCCAGTTAAGTTGATGCATAAAATTAACCATCATATTACATGCTTCCATTTTCATAATATTTTTAGAAATGCAAAATAATTGATAATGAAAGGAATGAATCAATGTTGTCCAGGCATGCTGAGAGTGACTGGAGGGCCAGAGGAGTAGGGAGAGCATGAGAAGTCCATTGGAGCTGATGCATATGTTAAAATTGTCTTAGGCCAAGCGCGGTGGCTCATGCTTGTAATCCCAGCACTTTGGGAGGGCCAGGTGGGCAGATCATGAGGTCAGGAGTTCGAGACCAGCCTGGCCAATATGGTGAAACCCTGTCTCTACTAAAAAATACAAAAATTAACTGGGTGTGGTGGCATGTGCCTATAGTCCCAACTACTCAGGAGGCTGAGGGAGGAGAATCGCTTGAACCTGGGAGGCAAAGGTTGCAGTGAGCCAAGATCACACCACTCCACTCCAGCCTGGGTGACAGAGTGAGACTCCATCTCAAAAAAAATGTCTTAGTCATGGTTGGTTTCATGAGTATATGATATGTCATAACTTATTAAATTGTACATTTAAATATATACAATGTGTTTTATGTCAATGATACCTCAGTAGAGTTGATCAAATGTATCATGAATACCAGTATTTTGGAGATAACACACAACACAGTCTTGAAAGAAGTATGTTTGATTGATTGTAGAAATTTCATAAAGGAATATAAAATATTTTAATTACTAGCAAGTTCCATCCAGTAATCACAGGAAAAAACAATTCACTAAGAGTTAAACTTTTTCCTTTTTTTTTTCTCGACCTTTGGTAGACTAGCTGTGAGAAAATCGAGGTAGTGAAATAATGGAATACTGCAACAATTTTATTACTAAGTTAAATAAATAGACCAAGCCCCTGAAAGACAGAAACTACAAAAGGCCACTCAAGCAGAAATAGATAACTTGTATAGTCCTAAACAACTCAAAGAAATTTAATTCAAAGGGCAGGGAACAAAAACTTTTCAGAAAGGAAAACCCAGACCCAATGGCATGCTGGTTACATTTATTAAATATTTCATAAGAAATAGTATGCTTTGTACAATATGTCTTTTAGAAAGTAGAAGAGGAAAAAACATTTCAGAGTTCATTTTATTAGCTAGCAGTACCCTGATACAAATACCAGACAAAGATACTACAAGAAAAGCAAATAGAAACAAATATTCCTCATAAATAGAAATGCAATAATTCTTAACAAATTATTTTAAAATCTAATTTAAAATAAATTAACACTATTACATTATAATCACTTCCATTATCTGAGAAATGCAAGATTGCTTCAACATTCATAAATCAATCAGTATAATTTAACATATAAACAGACTATTAGGATTCTCTAGAGGGACAGAACTAATGGAATACATGTATATATATATATTAATATATATATATATTATATATATATATGAGTTTATTAAGTATTAATTCACATGATCACAAAATTCTAGCATAGGCCATCAGTAGGCAGAGGAGGAAGAAGAGCCAGTTCGAGTTCCAAAGCTGAAGGACTTAGAGTCCGATGTTTGAGAGCAGGAAGGATCCAGCATAGGAGAAAGATGTAGGGTGGGAGGCTAGGCCAGTCGCTCTTTTCACATTTTTCTGCCTGCTTATATTCTAGCTGTGCCAGCAGCTGATTAGATTGTGCCCACCCAGATTAAGGGTGGGTCTGCCTTGCCCAGCCCACTGACTCAAATGTTAATCTGCTTTGGCAACAGCCTTATAGGTGTTGCCAATCAATACTTTGTATCCTTCAGTCCAATCAAGTTGACACTCAATATTAACCATCACACAGACTAAAGAAGAAAAAGCATACAACCATTATAATAAATGCAGCAAAAGCATTTGAGAAAAATCATTACCTCATTTATGATAAAAATTGTAATCAATTAAGAACAGAAAGAAAATCTCTTACATCAAAAATATGTCCAATTAGCATCGCCTTTAATGACAAAAGGTTAAATTTTCATCCCCTCAGATAAGGAACATGAAAATAATATTTTCTCTCACCTTTTTTACCTAACCTCATATTGAAGATCTTGGTCAGCATAATAAGTAAAGAATAAACAATAAAAGACATACAGAACATAAAATAAGAAATAAAGTTATTGCTATTTGCAGATGACATGGCAGTCTTCCTAGAGAAATCCAAAAATTCTACAAAAGAGCTACTAGAATTAAAATGTGAGTTTAATAAGACTGCAGAATACAGTTTCAGTTTACAATAAACAATTGCATTTCTATATATTAACAATGGACATTTGGGAATTTAAATGAAAAAAAATACCATTTAAAAAACACCAAATAGCCAAATATAACAAAATATGAGTAAGAGCTGTATGCAGAAAATGACAAAACACTGATGAAAAAAATTTAAGACCTAAATAAATGGAAAGATGTACCATGTTCATGGATTGAAAGACAATATTCTTAAGATGTGAACTGTCTCTAATAACATATAGTTTAAATGCAATTTCAACAAATATCCATGTGGAAATTATTATAGAAATGGATAAAGTGATTCTAATATTTATGGGGAAAGAAGCAGGAACTATAAGAACCAACATAATTTTGAGGATGAAGTTAAAGAACATGTACAATCTGACCTCAAAGATTTCTAGAAAGCTATAATAACCAAGACATTATGGTAACAAATATCAGATTATGTTTGGAATTAGAGTGAAGCAAATTTTGGACCAGAATACAAATTTTAAGGAGGCAATTACTTTTAGGTGTGTTCTATATCAGGATTTGTGTGGTGACCAGGCGGGCAGGTAAATGTGTAATAATTAATTGAACTGTTCTCTTAAGATTTGTGTGCTTTACCGTATGCATACTCCTCCTCAAAAAAAGTGATTTTTAAAAATAAAATTTTAAAGAATTAATATAATATAATATAATAGATAACCATTACTGAATGCTAGGTTAAATATTTTACATCTCTTTGGTGATTTTTTTCTTAAAACAATTATTTGATAACAGCTTGAATCCTCATATTTTTGGATGACATAACTGAAGTCCAATGAGAAAAATATGTTTTCCAAGTCCCTATACCAGGAGAGTAGCAAATCAAGGGTTCAGCCTAGTTCTTAGACATGAAGAGAGTCTAAGAGTGAAGAGAAAAAAGCAGGAAGCAGATAAATGAACATAAAAGTGCTATTTCTGGAGGAGAAGAGCATAGAAGGAAAGTGGAAGGACTTGCAATCTTTACCTTGATCTCTAAAAAATTATCAAAGTGTGTTTTCATAAGTATGGTGTTCTTTGGATTTCTAATTCTGAGAAAAAGAGGGTAAAGACTTTTGCCTTGATTATGGTCATTAAAAGAGAAAAAGAATAGATTCATGTCACATAAAACCTGTTTAGGTAAAGACCAGGTCTTTTGAGAAGTTGTGCCATTTTTTGGATATTAATATTTTAGGAAAGAATGCACTAACCTATTTCTACTTGGAGAATATCTCATAGAACAAACTTGAATTGATTCTAGTTGTGTGCCATGTGTGGATGTGCACCAAGAGAGATGAAGCCATATCTTCTACAACTCTTCAGTTTTTGAAATTCAGAAGTTTCAAGATTACGTTGACTGAAGTAGATCATATTTGGCAAAGCTGTAGGTGACAGGGAAAGTTAATCAACTGGAAGGAAATGGAAGGGAAGAATGTGGTCTACCTCTTCTCTCTCTACTTGAAATTCAAGCAAGACCTTGGAGAATACAGGTGGAGCTGGTGAGTCACAATCCTTGATACACATTTATTTATTTGTTCTGCAAAACTGTATTGATATTCATCATTGTCTTGCACACAAAGAGCTTAAAATCTAGTAAGAAGTCCATACTCTAATATAGATCAGCATAATACAATGAAGCAAGTGTAGTGATTGGAACTTCACTGAAGATAGATTGCTAGCTCAGTTTGTAGGACTCAGAGAAGGTTTTCTGTAAGAGTATGGAAACAAGGACTGACTGATAAAGACTAATTCCCCAATTATCTGTAGCAGTGATAAATTATTATGAGTTGTACTTGTGTTTGCATTTCTTTTCTGAAGGATTATAATTTAAGAGATGTCTTGGGCTATAACTAAGAACACCAGTAATTGAAAAATGTTCCCAAATGTGACCAGACTTCACAAATTCACTTAGCAACAGGAATCTGGGTTCTGTAGGTACTTTATTAATTTTTAAATAATTTCAATAGTTTATGTGCATTTTTGTAACATTAATATTACACATAACTCTCTAGTCTGAGTTGCAAAATGGCTTCAATAGTACAACTTTGTTAGGTGTGGAAAGCCTATAATAATTCTGTCCAGCTCACATATAGAGTTTAACTACCATTAAGAACCAGTATCAGGACATATGAGTGCAAACAAAAATATAGAACAACACCCATCACTAAGATATTCCACATTCACCACCTACCATATTTGTCCTCTCTGGGCCACAGGTATGAAGACTGTTATTGATTTAGGCTTTCATCCTTTGTGAGTATATGTGGTCTCCAGCCAAATATTAAAGTATCCTTCCAGATTATGTTCCAGTTTCTTAGATTTCTGTCTCCTTTGTCCTGGGGTCAGATGGTGGAGTAGGATTAAATATCAGAGCATCATTCTAATGTAGTTACTCATGGTGTTCACTTCACCCAAAATATTTTTTTTTTCTTTTTTTTTTTTTTGAGACGGCGTCTTGCTCTGTCGCCCAGACTGGAGTGCAGTGGCACGATCTCGGCTCACTGCAAGCTCCACCTCCCAGGTTCACGCCATTCTCCTGCCCGTGCCTCCCGAGTAGCTAGGACTACAGGCGCCCGCGATCACGCGGGGCTAATTTTTTTGTATTTTTAGTAGAGACGGGGTTTCACCATATTAGTCAGGATGGATGGTCTCGATCTCCTCACCTCGTGATCAAAACAAGTTTTATAATTTCTCTGGTTTCTCCTATGAGTTAATATTTGCTCCATGGATAAATTTCTTAGTGTGTCCTTAAATTTCCAAATATTTAAGTATTGCTTATGTATTTTGCCGTTGTTGATTCTCATTCAATTCTATAGTGGTTCAAGAACACACTTTGCTTTATATTTCTTTAATTTATTAAGGTTGGTTTATGAAATAGAAGATAAACTATCTTGGTGAATGTTCTAAGTATACTAAAGAAAATGTGTGTGCTCTTCTATTAGGTATTTTATGAATAACAATTGGCACTGGTGGACTGATAGCTTTTTTTAAGGTCTACTATATGCACACTAATTTTTTTTTCCTCCTTGAGCTGTTGGGTCTTTTAAATTTTTAAATTTTTCTTATTTTTATTTTATTTTATTTTTTTTTTTTTTGAGACAAGGTCTCACTCTGTCACCCAGGCTGGTGTGCAGTGGTACTATCTTGGTTCACTGCAGCCTTTGCCTCCCTGGCTCAAGCCATCCTTCCACCTCAACTTCCTCAGTAGTTAGGATTACAGGTGTGCACCACCTTGCCAGGCTAATTTTTCTTTTTCTTTTTTTTTTTTGTGGAGATGGGGTTTCACCATGTTGGCCAGGCTGGTCTTGACCTGCTGAGCTCATGTGACCCACCTGCCTCAGCCTCCCAAAGTGCTGGGATTACAGGTGTGTGCCACCTTGCTCGGCTAATCTTTATATTTTTTTGTAGAGACAGGGTTTCACCGTGTTGGCCAGGCTGGTCTGGAACTCCTGAGCTCAAGTGATCCACCTGCCTTGGCCTCCCAAAGTGCTGGGATGACAGGTGTGGGCCACCGCGCCTGGCCTCTGTGATGTTATTAACAAAAGTGGAGTGCTACATCTCCCATGGCAATTGTGAATTTGTCTGTTCCTCTTATCATTTCTTGCTGGTTTTGCTTCATATGTTTTGCAACTCTGTTGATAGATACATGCACATTGAGGATGTTTGGTCTTTTGAAGAATTTATCCTGTTATCATTATATAATTTCCTTCTTTATTCCTGACACATTCCTTCTTCTGAAGCCTACGTTTATCACAGTCAGTCAGCTTTCTTTTGATTAGTGTTCACATGGCATAGGTTTATTTTGGGGGGATTTTTTTTTTGAGATGGAGTCTCACTCTGTTACCCAGGCTGGGCTGCAGTGACATGACCTCGGCTCACTGCAGCCTCTGCCTCCCATGTTCAAGTGATTCTCTTGCCTTAGCCTCCCAAGTAGCTGGAACTACAGGCCTGTGCCACCACACCCAGCCAATTTTTGAATTTTTGATAGAGATGGGGTTTCCCCATGTTGGTCAGGCTGGTCTCAAACTCCTGGCCTCAAGTTATCTGCCTGCCTTGGCATCCCAAAGTGCTGGGATTATGGGATTACAAGCATGAATTATCACACCAGGCCCATTTGTTTATTTTGATACTCACAGCAGCATATAGTTGATTCTTGTCTTCTATTCAATCTGGCAATCTGTCTTTTAATTGGAAGTCTAGACCCTAGACTATTTGCATTTAATGTATTAATAATTGATATCCTTGAATTTAAGTCTACCATTTTAGTTGTCTTCTATTTTCTTACCTGTTCTCTCTTTTTCCTCTCTTCTGCATGCTTCCAATTAACTGTATAATTTTACAAATCATTTTTATCTTCAATATTAACTTATTTATAATTTTTATATTTTGTCTGGCTTTGCAATATACATCTTTAAATAATCAAATTCAAACGTCAGATAATATTATATCACTATTATCTGATTCATGCATTGCAAGAATCTTGAACAGTATACTCCCAATTATTTTCCCTCGTCTTTTGTGAACTGTCATACGGCTTAGTTTTACATATGATCTAAATGTATGCTATTGCGCATATGCCATATATATCATATACATATGCATATTGTACATATGCACATATGAAAATGTACATGCATTATACATGCACACAGTATGACGCTGGCCTTTCTTCAGACAATTATCTTTTAGAATG
Organism: Homo sapiens; assembly: GCF_000001405.40. Taxonomy (NCBI): domain Eukaryota; kingdom Metazoa; phylum Chordata; class Mammalia; order Primates; family Hominidae; genus Homo; species Homo sapiens. Next base: position 127,791,332 of record NC_000012.12, on the reverse strand, counting down.
GTCAAAAAAGTCATTGATATTCGGTTCCATTTTAACAATTTTTACAGTTATTTCTTTTTGTGGACCTCAGTTTGTTCTGACTGGTGTTGTATCCCTTAAATTTGCATCTAATCGGTTCCTTTTGAACTGAGAGGTTCAATATAAGTTGTAATGTAATAGATTATCCATCTTATTCCTATTGTTCGGTTGGGCAGAAAAGCTCTTTCTGGCTTTCGATATTTTAAGTTGCCTTAAGGCTAAGTGTCTATCGTATTCTACATCTTCTTGACATTCAGTTTTACTTCTTTCTCATGAGTCAGAGATTCATCTGTCAAAATTACCCTACTCTGTGAAACAAAGTTCTAATTGCACTTTTCCAGTCATTTAAAGCTCACTGTATGTGGGGGCATTTACCAGCCCATGAGGAATCCACATTATCAGGAAAGGCAATTTGGGGCACTACTTCCTAAAATCCCCCTATGCACAGTTACCCCATTGGATACAATAGAGCTCACTGTGTCTTTAAAGACTCTCTCCTTCACGGGTGACTGGGTCCAGGACAGTATATTCTGAGACAATCAGATTTAAGGTCACACATCTTTGCTCCTAGAGACCAATCCAAGTGAATTTCCCAGGAGTATGATAACCCATATTGGAGAAAGATACACACTATCAAAGTGTAAATATCACATTTCTTTAGCTCAACATTTCCACTGTTTCTAATGTGTGAAGTAGAAGATAATGATACTCTGGCTATGCAAGTCTGAAAGATGCTCACACATGCTCACACATGCTGACAGTCTGTGCTTTGGAATAAAGAATATTGGCATGTGTTTACTTTGCTGTTGTTGTCATTTTATTTCACTAATAAGAGCTGGAAAAATGAATGTCAGCCTGAACTCATGAAGAGTAATATGTCTGCTTTTTATGTTTTGTTTCTACTTTTTGTTTTATACAGCCATATTATAGGATACTTTTGGAGTGGGGCAGCTATTCTCAAATGTGATCATTAATGCTCTGTCGAATGTACAGAGTAATTACAAGCACAGACTGTTGGTACCTCTCAGACAACAGAAAAAATATGCAAGTGCTTAAAGGTAGATACCTGAGCTGGTCTCATTATTAGCTCATGGTCCGTGGAGAACTTTCACCAAAGAAAAGTAATACTGAATAAAAGAGGTATCCATTAGTTTTATCACTCCCTTTAATTTTTGAATGTTGTCAACCACAATCTATCAGAAATCATAACATAATGCCAAACATGAACTAAAATGGCCATATATTATGTTTTTTAATTAGATGGTTTTAAGATATGGAGACAGGCTACAGTTTGATGTCGACATTGAGAGACACTTAAAGAGGAGTGATAGGAATGGACCTGTTTTCCAGAGGGACTTTCTGTAACTAGAGGGTTTCCGTCTTCTCATTCCTCTGAAAGGGACCCTGAGTGAGCACATGGCAGAGAAGGAGATCCTCAGACTGGCGTGGAGGCCACGGATGCCTTGGGATCAGCAGTGCAAGGAGGGTCTGAGCAGCAGGGGAAGATGTAAGGGACTTCTCTGACAGGAACAGAGTGGCCCACTGGTCCACCTGGAGATGCCCTTCAGGCCTGAACATCTCCCAGGAAGGGAATGACAGAGCGAGAACTGGACACAACTGCCTGCAGAAGCCGCCTTCTCAGGAAGCTGTCCCCCTCTATGGCTGGACTAACCTGGGCCCATCTCCATGGTCTCCCAATCCCTTCTTTTGCCAGTAGGTTCAGAGATGGAGCTGTCATTAGCTTTGCGGAGGGTCCCTGCTCTGTAGCTGCTGGAGTCTTGATGGCAAGGGATGATGAGCTGAGGGATTTTACGCTGGCTGAGTCAGTCACCACGCAGTGTCCAAAGCAAGGACCAGTATTTTAACCCCAGGGTTTTGAGATGATATTGAGAGCTTACTAGGATCTGAAGGGAGTTTGAAGAACAGAATTGACATTACAAACATATCATATTGAATCTACACATGTGATCGTCTGTTCCTAGGGCCATCATACCATAGTCTCTAAGAAGAGGACGCTCCTGTGACATTCTAGTGCCTTACTCATGATCAAAATATATGTAGGCACGTCTTGGTAAAGATATGGCTATTCTGTGTATTCTTTAGTGTTTTTTTCAGGTGGCAGATATTATTACCAAGAATAGAGAGTTACCCTCCTCTACCTGATGAAACTCTGCCATAAAGAGATGGAATGCCAATGAATTAAACAAAGGAGATTGACAAAGTCACTTAGTGGAAGGAAGCTTTGTGTAAAAGCCACTGTACACTAGGCAAAGGAAAGATAGATGTCACTGAACCATCAAGCTACAGCACTGGAAAAAGTCAGAGGTACTTGCAGCACAAATAAACCGGTGTTTCATGGAAGGTCTGGAGGAGCATCTCACATCATGCCTGGCCCATCACAGCCAGAGTCTTGAGAGTTCCCCCTCACTAATCGCAATCCAATTTTCCTTTCCTATAACCCACTAATCACCAGTCACATCTATTGAGTTCCTTCTGTGTTCTCAGAAACCACGTGAAGCCTGCAAACTTCTCAAGAGCTGACACCATATGTGTCTGGACACTGCTGTATCCCCACTGAAAGTCTCGGTGTCCGACACATGGTGTGGTTCCTATATCTACTGGCTGGCAGATATTTTTCTAAAAATATTCATAGACTCATTAGTGTTAAGCTCTTAAACTATAAAAGATAAGACAGGATGTGACACGGCAGACACGTGTCACATGAACAGTGAGGACAGAAAGGACATCAAAGATCGGTGAAAAGAGAGACGTGAGTCAATGTAGCAAATCAATACCACAGGGAGATATAATCTTATGCCAGTCAGAGTGGCTATTACTAAAAAAAATCAAAATATGGCCGGGTGCAGTGGCTCACGCCTGTAATCCCAGCACTTTGGGAGGCCAAGGCGGGCGGATCACAAGGTCAGGAGTTCAAGACCATCCTGGCCAACATGGTGAAACCCCTTCTCTACTAAAAATACAAAAAAAAAAATTTAGCCAGACATGGTGGCGAACACCTATAGTCCCAGCTACTCGGGAGACTGAGGCAGGGGAATCGCTTGAGTCCAGAGGGCAGAGGTTGCAGTGAGCCGAGGTCGCACCACTGCACTCCAGCCTGGAGAAAGAGCGAGACTCCATCTCACAAAAAAAAAAAAAAAATCAAAATATAACAGATGTTGGTGAGAATGCAGAGAAAAGGGAGCCCTTAGACACCGTTGGTGGGAATGTAAAGTCATTCAGCCTCTGTGGAAAATAGTATGGAGATTTCCCAAAGAACAAAAAATGGAATGACCGTTCAATTCAGCAATCCCACTACTGGGTATCTACCCAAAAGAAAAATCTTTAGGCCAAAAAGATACCTGTACTGGTATATTTATCACAACACTGTTCACAATGGCAAAGATATGGAATCGACTAAATTGTCCATCAGTGGACGATTGGGTAAAGAAAATGTGCAGATGTATACACACACACACACGCGCATGCACACACATGCGCACACACGCACACGCGCACACACGCACACATGCACACGCACACACATGCACCCACGCGCACACACACGCACACACGCACGCGCACGCACATGCACACACACGCACCCATACATACGCAGACACACCATGGATACTACTCAGGCATAAAAAAAGAATGGAATAATGTCTTTTACAGCAACACAGATGGAACTAGAGACCATTATCTTAAATAACTCAGAAATAGGAAGTCAAATGCTGCATGTTCTAATTTATAAGTGGGAGCTAAATAATGTGTACACATGAACAACGAGTGTGGAATAACACACTGGAGACTGGAAGGGCGAGAAGGTGGAGGGGGTGAGAGAGGAAACATTAATTACCGGGTACAATGTACACCTTTTGGGTGATGGCTGCACTAACGGCCAAGACTTCACCACCATAACATGTCCATGTAACAAACTGCACTTGTATCCCCAAATCTAAAATTTGAAAAAAAAATTGGAGTGGAGATATTAAACGTAACATCTATTAAAACCCATACATTTTTCTAATAACCAGGAGATGAGAATCATGAAATAGGTACCAGGTGTTCCCCCAGAGGCTGAGAAAACACACAGGAAGGACATGCTAAAGACTGAACATGGATCCTCCAGCAGCAGCGGATCACCTGCTCCTGCCAAGATCAGAGGTGCTGAGATGACTTGGAGGGAAGTTATTGGTGTGCTGGCATCTCTCACCTCCTAAGCCAGTGAACGTAGCTTTAATGTAACCGTTAGGAAGGAGGTAATTAGTAACTAGCGACTGGAGAAGAGGTGAAGCAAAAGAGAGTCAGTTAGTTGCGTTTCTTTTCTTCACTACAATTTCTAAGCCCAGTGCAGACCTGAGATGGGGCAGGATCGAGCCACTGACTTGGATAAATTTGAGCTTCAGAGAAATCACATGGAGAGTTTGACTTGTGACCTCTGGCATGGAGTAGACGTAAGAACTCGGATCTGAGTCCAACCAGGCGAATTCTGAATGTCAAAGGCTGGGGTCAGAACTGCCTGACTGGGACAGAACACAGACAGAGAGGGACGCATTGGGAGACTCTGTGCTTTTACCAACAAAGGGGAAAAGAGCTGTCTGTTTTCTTGGGATGGTACAAGAAAGCCAGGTCGAAGGTGGTCTTCAAAGGGAACCTATAAAGGGAACTGCCTGGAGGAAGTGGACTGCCTGAAGCCAAGGCATGAACGGGAGAGCTGTTCACGGCCATCAGGAAAAGATGTCACTTGGATCAAGCTAATGCAGGCTACGTCCATGCCACGGGCCCCACAAAACTCAGATAATGATGCCATGGGAGGAAGAGTCAGACTTGGGTATCTGCTCCATCTAGGGGACATTGGTGTCAGTTCCTGATTGTGTCTGTCAGGGCAGATATTTTCCACTCCTGTACTTCTTTGTCTCACTCTGGGGCCATAATCAGAAGTGACTGGAGCGGGGGAGGGGGGCGGGGGCGGGGAATGAAACCAGAGAGAAGGAGCCGTCCCCACTTGCCTTTGTAAACTTCACTGCAGGTTCTCAGCCAGAAGCAGCCCCAGCTGGGGTAGGGTGGTACCGTTAACTTGCATACATTTCAGAGTTCTGATGTGACTTGGTATGACACTGTGTATTACTGGACAGAGATTATTCTTGTGACTGAAAGAGGTTGTTCTTGTGACTGAGATTTGCCTGAGGTTTTGCCCACAAACTGCTGGGTGATATGTGCTGGGCTTGAGGGTTGCTGTGTTGTGAGGGCTTCTGGCTGTGCACGGTCCACCAGCCTCTGCTCTGCCTGGCATCTCTGGGGGTGACCCTCCCCATATTCCACCACCTAGAATTATGTCCAAAGGGGCCTGGGAATTCCTTTGACAGCTTCAAGATGGAGCCATCAAAGAGACGGTGACATTGACAGCTTTAGGATTTGTTTTTCTCTTTCATTCTTGCTGCATCTTGTTTGAATTTGGAGTGAGGTGTCTTTAATTCACTGCGAGTCTGTGCCAAGAAAATGACTCAGAGTCCCACCCTGGGTCCTGCTGCATCATAAAGCTAAAGATAGAAGGATTGGGAGTTTCTGGATCTCTCACCACCTCTCCTCTAAGCCATGGCATATGGTGGATCTGGACACATCCCCATCTTGGAGGCAGACCTGGAGCCGTGGGCCCGGTGTGGCAAGCTGCTGCTTCTCCTCGTTCTTTCTGGCAAAAACACAGCCTGTGCCCCTGGATGTGTGTTTGCCCTGCTTCTGTGGAGGAAGGAACCTCTTGGATTGCAGAGACACCTCCACTCCCCAGTCAGTTCTCTGGAGACCTTGTCTCCCCAAACATGGGGCTCCTAAGCTGTGCATAGAAACTGGAACAGCAGTTGCTAAGCTATCACAGAACCCTCCACCTCCAAGTCTGCTGGCCTCTGCCTCTTACCCCCTACCTCCTGTTGGACTCATTACCATGCTCCTTCTGGGAGTAGGGCTTCCAGCCCTCCCCCAAGGAATTCCCTCTCCTCTCAACCTACGAGACCACTCATATTAATCTCCGATTTGTAGATGAGAATAATGACATTTAGAAAGGTTAAACATCCTGCCCAGGGAGGCTTCTTGAAGATACACCCTGTGATAATGTGTACGGTTTGTCACAGAGACTCATAAACCCCAGAGCACAGCATCCCCCATCTGCACAGCACCCCTTTTCCCACTCTACAAGTACCATGTGTGTCCCCAGCATATTTCTCTCCAAAAACAGGTGAGGATGAGACTTCCTGAAATATGGATGCTAAATATATGCATATTTATTTGGTGCAGGTGCCCTGTTGGAAAATGCAACCACAAAGAGTGAAGTTGAGAGAGGAACCAGGGGACATACAGCAGGGACAGGTTGCCTGGGGCTTGAATTCAGAGGCTTAGGTCCCTGTGTGACTGCCCCACTCACGGGATACTCTAATATATTAATAAATTGGGCATCTCCTCCCCCCAGGGTCAGGAGGTTAAATGTGCCATTTCTATCACTAGTGCTGCGATGTTGACTTCAACAGCAACAAGAAATCCCACCCTGTGTGGTCGAGGGTGTGTCTGAAAGCCCAGACCCAGAGAGGGATCTCCTTAGTACCGTGGAGCTTTGTAACAATGGATTCATATATTTATTAAGCAAAGAGAAGTGGGTCTGTCCAGACTCAATCAGGAACTCATGTGTTTACCCATGATATGATCCTGAGCCACTGGGAGAGTTTAAAAGAGCAAAGAAGGGTCCAGAAGAATTCCTCACCAGGGAGGAAAAGAAAATAATGGTGATAGTTATTTTAAGTCTTTCTTGATTTCTGTGTGTATCAGCCAAATATTGAGCTAGAGAGAATCACAACCAGTCCATGGACATTTTTCATTGTCTGTTGACAAATTCTGACCTGGCCATCCCATCTTCAGGCACCTGTGCAAACACAGAAAATTAAAAACTCGTGTTTTTTATTCACTCATGTGCAGAAGCCTGAAAATGTTGATCTCACAGAAGTAAAACATAGAAGACAGGATACTAGAGGCTGGGAGAGGTTGAAGAAAGGGAGGGATTTGTTAAAAGATAGCAAATTACAGCTAGGTAGAGGAATAAACAAGTTCTAGTGTTCTGTGACACTGTAGGATGACTGCAGTTAACAATAACATATTATTAGTTCCAATAGCTAGAAGGAGTATATTAAATGTTTCCAACACAAAGAAACGATAAATACTTTAGGTGATGAACATGCTAATTACTCTGATCCGATCATTATCCATTCTATCTATTGAAACACCACCATGTACCCCATGAATATGTACAATTATTATTTGTCAATTAAAAAATAAAATTAGGCTGGGCGTACCGGCTCACGCTTGTAATCCCAGCACTTTGGGAGGCTGAGGCAGGGGGATCACTTGAGGTCAGGGCATCAAGACCAGCCTGGCCAACATGGTGAAACCCCATCTCTACTAAAAATACAAAAAAAGTAGCGGGGCCTGCTGGTAGGCACCTGTAATTGCAGCTACTTGGGAGGCTGAGGCAGGAGAATCGCTTGAGCCTGGGAGGCAGAGGTTGCGGTGAGCCAAGATCGGGGGCCACTGCACTCCAGCCTGGGTGACAGAGTGAGACACCGTCTCAAAAAAAAAAATAAATAAATATTAAGTTAAAATTTAAAAAATGACCAAGAGATAAAAGCCCAACTCAGGTTCTTCACAAGGCAGCTAGATGCCAAATCTGGACACGGGGACCCTACATACATAGAAGATTGTCTCCAAATAGTCCAGGGCTTACACGAAGTTGAGATGAGGAGGTCGCCATGCAAGAAACCCGACTCAGGAATGTCGCTTTCCTACCGTAGGAGAGATGCAGTTCAACGATATTTTTGGCTTTAAAAGATCCACTGCATTTCTCCTTATCTCAGCCCCTTTATCAAAAGCCTCTTAAAAAGATGTACTGAGTCAGGTTGCCTGTTTGCAGTCAAATTTTTACTCAGTCCTCAAGATTTAGCCTTTTATTGTTTTTGGTTGTGGTAGATTTATTGTATTGTATTGTATTGTATTGTATTATTTTATTTTTACTTATCATTGTGGACTGCCATGAGTGAGAGTATGGTCAAGTAGGATGGAGAGTCAGGATCTACTAGCAACTAGATGTTAACTGTGGGGCTGAGGGAGATAGAGCATGGTTAAGAACACACACAGTAGCTGGGCACAGTGGCTCACGCCTGTAATCCCCACACTTTGGGAGGCTGAGGCAGGTGGATCACGTGAGGTTGGGAGTTCGAGACCAGCCTGGCCAACATGGAGAACCCCGTCTCTACTAAAAATACAAAATTAACCGGGTGTGGTGGCACATGCCTGTAGTCCCAGCAACTCAGGAGGCTGAGGCAGAAGAATTGCTTGAACCCGGGAGGCAGAGGTTGCAGTGAGCCGAGATCACACCATTGCACTCCAGCCTGGGCAACAAGAGCAAAACTCTGTCTCAACAACAACAACAACAACAACAAAAAGAACACACCCAGTGACTTAGACAGATGCTTATTTCCCTCCTCTGTAAATGTGATATATTAACAATAATAATAATAGTGCGTATTTTACAGGGTCATTGTCCAAAGTTGAGTGACAAATGCAATTTAGTATCATGCCTGAAATTTAATAAGCACTCAATAAGTGATAGCTGTTTAATCATCATCATTATCATCATCATCATCATCATCCAAGAAGGACCTCATCTTAAATAACAGGACCGGCCACAATGACATTACCAAGTTTTTAGCACAGTTAGCATGGTGCCCTGGAGCAGGCAAGTAAATGCACATCTCAAGGAACATCCTTGGCTGTTCTTGACCCATATCCACCCCCTCTCCCTTGTCCAGGTAATGGAACACCGATTTCCTGGGACAACACCTGTTCTCCACTTTGACACTCTGCTGTTAGCAGAGGCCCTGAGCTTCCGGCAATAGCTCTGGTTAGGAGTCCAAAGCTCCGCCAATCAATGCATTGCGTTTCCCTTCCCATGGTAATTGCCTCTGCATTCATCATGGAACCCGAAAGGGGGCAAAGAGACTCGACTCTGGGGTTGTGCTTGCATTACCAACCTCTTTGGTAGCATCTTCTACTAAAAGATTATGGATAGGAAATTCACGAGTAGCAGATCGTGAGCTGGCATCTCTGTTAAGTGATGCATAAGAGTTTCTTTAATGCTCCTGTTCATGGCATTTGTGATATCCTACTTTTGGTAGTATCGTCCCTAGGGCATTTATAGATACTTTTGGATTCTTCTAATTTGTTAAGCTCTTGAGTGGCTTCTTATGGGTGGTTGGCATACCAATGTTTCATGCTTAAGATTGTTTGTTTGTTTTTTTTAACCACTTTATTTATCAAAGTCAATGAAAAGAAACATACCGTTTTTATGTATGTTTTTAGTAACAACATACTAACAGTATACTAGTTATTACTAATTGTATTAGTAATATTATTACTAATTGTATTAGTAATAATATTACTAATAGTAACTGGTATTCCAGGTGTTGTTTGCAATGCAATGACGTATGGTTGGATTTTAAATTTAAAACTTGTAAATGCCAGTAAGAGATGACCTAGTTAAGAGAGCCATTTCCCTCATCAATGTGAAACTATTCAATCACAGTAAATACAGAGCCGCAGATAAGCTCCCACAAGTGAAGTAATTCTTAAGCACCTGACTCTGAAACCATGGCAGTTGGTATTATTCATTCTGTAGAGACAATTGAATGCAACGATGTTCAAACCTTTTGTTCTAAGGAATGGGATTTTGGAGACATTTGTACGCTTGCCAGGTGAACACAGTCAGCTTCCACGTCAAAACGCCATATGGAATGTGTTCTGCTTCAACAGTCACCTCCAGAATCATGTGTCACAGGGTTGTTTACAGAGAAGGAGACTTTCAGAACCCCATGGCCACAGTAATGAAAGTGTAAAATACTGCAGAACACAGGAAAAATTCTCAGTAAACAGTCTAATGCATGGGGCAGTCCCTCCTGTGTTTAAATGTTGGCTCTGCCATCTATATTTTATATAACCCTAGACAAAGCACTTTCTTTTTATGTGCCTCAGTTTCTGTAACCTCATCTGTAAAATGAGGTTATAATGATACCTACATCAAGGGGCTCTTGTGAGGATTAAAGGAGTTAATGGTAAAGGACCTAGAGCAGTATTCAGGGATGGCCATTATATCACCGCGCTACTTTACACAGCTGTTCACTTGTCCATAACCTCCACGAACCCGAGGCCTGTGGGTTCAGCAGTGGTTTCAGATATACGGTTGTAGCTACTGCACCAGGGTTGCTGCTTGACTCAGAAATGATTCTCAATAAACATCTGTGCAATGCATGGATGTTAGAAGAAAGACAACCCTACGAGAGAAAACACTTTAATTTGCATTAACCAGTTTATCTCAGAACAACAATGTGATACACTTACAGTCTTCATATTCACACATGGCCATGGTCAAGTCACTTCCTCTTTCAGAACATACATTTTATCTGTGAAATGGGGGGATTGCACTTTGAGTAAGTTAAAAAAATCGTTCAGATACATTACTAGAACATCATTCTATATTATAGCCTAGTGGTTTTCAATGCTGCTGCATATTAGAATTTCCTGGAGACCTTCAAAATATACCGATTTTAGCTATAACTATATACCTAATTATTCTAACTATGTCATATTCTAGGAAAGGCAAAACTATGGAAATAAAAAAAAAGGCCAGTGGTTACCAGGAATTAGGGGAGAGGGAGGGATGAATAGGTAGAACACAGAGGACTTTTGGTACATGAGATTATTCTGTTTCATACTGAAATGGTGGATATGGGACTTTCTGAAAACTCTTGAACTGGTGAATGCGTTTGTCAAAACCTGTAGAACATGACAACACAAACAGTGAACCCTAATGAAAGCTACGGAGTTTAGTTAATAATGTGTCAATATTAGAATTAGCTCATCAACTTAACCATCGTACCGCAGTGATCCAAGATGTTGACACTGGGGAGTGCTGTTTATTTGGGGGAAAGGAGGTATGTGGGAACTCTCTGTACTTTCAGCTCAATTTTTCTATAAAACTAAAACTGCTCTAAAATTAAATCTAGTAATTTGAAAAATATTCCCTCTCCCCACGCTCTAGAGATCCTGATTTAATTTCTCTGGGGTGGAGCCTGCACATTTGTATTTTTTAGGTTATGCACTTTATTCTAATGTGTAGTGTGGATTCAGAACAGCTCGTCTAAAATGAAGGGTCTGCAGAGACCGATGTACGGGGTGCCAGAGGGAAACCACGTGTGAGAGAACAAGGCCTTCATGCTTTGTAAGAGAGGACAGAACCAGATCACAAGGGCTACTTAAAAAAGCCCTCCTCTTGCTTTGCATTCTTCCAGGACCTGCAACCGGTGATTGAACTACCAGTTTCTGAAGGCCACCCATTCACACCTATTTCCCGCTACTCCAGGTAAGACACTCACGGCAGGCAGTCTCCCGGGAAACAGAAGTCTCTATTTGTTACCATCATCGTCTGGCTCATGATCCTAATGAGGACCAAGATTCCTGTGGGATCAAGTTCCCCTCTGAGGATTCTTGAGAGCCGCCTTCCTGAATCCTCACAAACACCTTCCTACCTACTTCCTTCCATTAACAATTACCTTTCCATCTTTATTTTTTTGCCTACGACAAGCACCCTTAACACACTCATACCTGTTTCACCTTTCTTCCGTAATAACCTAGATTTTATTTTCATGTTGAGGAAAAACACTATTTTCCACTAGGCTATCTGCAGCTGGAGGAGGCCGTGAGTCACCGTTTTGAGCCTAGAGATGTAAACAGAAGTTGCTGGGAAGAGCTTCTAGGAAGCCTCTGTAAGATGATTATCTCAGTTGGGTCTGTCTTTTTGCTTTGTCCATCCCTTTTTTAACTTTGGAGTGTGCGTGTGATACAGGAGGTGAAGCAGTCATTTTGTGACTATGAGGAGATAAAGCCACATGGGTAAGTTGGCAGAGCAGGACACTGGGAGAAGCATGTGCTTCTGTTGGCAATGAGGGATCATCATACTATTCCTAAACAGTCTAAGTCCTGAGGTCTCGTGTGTGTTCTTACTTGTTCATTACTCTACTTTTTCAGGTTGTATATTACTTACAGTTCAATACAATCTAAACCTTAACCAGTCATTCTCCTAGTTAGACTGTGAGCTCCTAGAGGGAAGTTTGGCATGTGATATGTTTCTTATGGTCCCTGCAGTATCTAGCACGTGCTAGTAGGGATCAGGTATGCAATACTCATCTATTGATTGATTTGGGATACAGTGAGTTGAGGTAAGAGAGAAACAGAAGTCAACTCCAACACGTCAAAGAATAAAGTTTGCTGTTGGTCTCAACAGCCCCAGGGCATCTTTACTGCAGTGTGATCTCTCTCTCCTATCCAGTGAGGCTCCAAAATATGGCTTTAATTATCCTTCCTAAGTTTTACAAAATTCACTGAGCTTTTGTCTTTAAAACAGTATTCCTTCCCCATCTCTGGTGTGAAAAAAAAATTACGACCAGAGTTTTACATCTTTTTCTTTCCGATATTTCCAGAAAAGTATGCCCTAGTCTAATTTGCAGGTGGAAATTGAAAATGTATCTCGCTGACCTCAAGGGATGATATTCAGGAGCTTCAGGGAATCTTCAGCTAATGGGAGAAGCACAAGCAGATTAATGGATCCCAAAGACAAAATGCCTATCCTAGCTCAAATGACATCTCGTGGATCTTGAAAAGTGGAGCTTTCTGTGCCCATCTTCAGAAAGAGACATCAGACAATCTTAACATTTCTGCAGCTGAACATGGGATGAGAAGAGGGCAATCTTCCAGTGGGTCCACCACATTTTCTTTCCAATTGAGCCAATTCATGGTCTCTTCTGGCAACTGCAAGGCCAGATGTGAATTTACCACTTTATTGAGTGAAGCGGTCTGGGCATTGTGAGACTCACATATGCACCCAGAGGGGAAGGGACCCTCACTCTGGGAATGGAAATCAATTCATAATTGTACCCAGACAAATGGGGCACACACTTCAGATCTATTACAGGATTTAGTCGGAATCAGAAGAACAAAGGCATAAAGTAGAAACACATTCATATGCCAGGCACAGGTAGGGGCTGGGGAGGGTAGAAAGTCCAGGGTTCCTGGCCGGCGAAGAAGGGCTCTGCTCAGCATCTCATGCTGGAGTGCAAGAGTATAAAATAAGGTAACTAAGGACATGAAGCTTGGCCGCCTGCACCATTTGAAAAAAGAAAAATCAAACTGTGTTTTATGAGTTTTTCTGGCTGAGTGGGCTGATGGTAAAAGTGATTGCATAAGTGAATAAATTGAAATATGTATCCTGGTTGTGTCAAAAGCAAAAATAATTATTTTGTTCTTGGTGAGATATAGTGTTTAACTGCCAACACATCAACCCAAATAAAAAGGAAATCTGCCTTTAGATCTAGTAATACATTTATTAACAAATGATGTATCTGAATTATCCATCGTTTTGATCCACATTTTGCAGAAAGGCAAGCCAGCATGGAGAGGCCATCTCACGGGTGATTAAAAATGTCACTGGAGTCTCAGGGCAATGGGAAGAGTTAGGAAAGAGGAAAAAAAAAAGAGAAGTCTCAGAACAATGGAGGTGGTTTTTTTCAGGCATTCTTGCCCGTGAAATGAGCTGATTAGGATTTTCCCAAGCCCCTCAGAATGGTGAAAAGCAATTGTGGAATGTATGATCTTTAAGAATTAGGCTCCATAGGGCTCTTCTATTTTCTCTCTCCTGAATTTGCTGTCATTTAATTGTTCTAAGCATGGTCGACTTAGGGATTCTTGCACACACACACATTTGCATTAAGTTCATTTATGCTTGTTTATGGGTGTGTGTTATTTAGACCCAGAATAATTGATGCATATTTGACAGAAAATTTGGAAAACTTAGAGAAAGAGAAGCATGATGCCTGGTGAACTACTCACTCATGAATATGGACATCCTAGCAGGGGGGTAGCATCCCCACTCTAGAGCGATGGACTGGATATGAATCCAGATTATCCACCTCCTCAAAGGGCGGTTTGAAAATTATATAATGGTTATAAAATGTATCTTCCCTGGCACATGATAAATGTTAGCTGAGGACACACACACCAAGGCACCTATGTAAAAAGATGTTCATTGCAGTAAAATGGAACTTTTAGAAGCAATAAAATACCTGCCAATGAAATAATCTTCCGGCATAGGTGTGCTGTAGCAATACTCTCAGAGAGCCCAAAGGATGCAGCAGGTCTATGCTAAATGTTAGGCTAAATGACAAAGACATGCATTGTTAAATAACCAACACATACATACAATGCATGATATTTAAAAATCACAAACCAAAACCATATTTTTTAGCACGCATATATATGTGTGCATGCATGCATAAGTGCACATACCTACATATGCATATATGTATGTGTGTATCTGTACCTGTATCAATATCTACGTAATATGCCACATTGATGACAATACAAATTAACTCAGGGTAATCATGAAGAAAAAGTGAGGTCAAAAGGACTTTATTTTTAAAGTTCATTCATTCTTTAATCAACAAATAAAAGTGGTATATATTTATTGTGTACAGCCTGATGTCTTAAAATAGGTACCAAAGAGGACTTCAGCTTTCCTGTGTGTATGTGTGTGTGTTTAATACTCATAGCTGCAGTTCAATGTATTGCTTGCTTACTTATAAGACAGGCTTAGTTTTGAGCTCTGGCATTGATTATTTTGGTGACTTTGGAAAAATTGCAAGACTCTGATCTTTATGAACAAAATGGCAATAAGAGACAAAGCCATCAAAGAGGGTCACAGGTGGCTCTTTGGAGGTGTTTTGCTGTGAAAAATATCAATAGATAATGTGTCATGGGTGGAGAGCAAGGTGTAGGGAAGAGAAGGTGCCAATGTTTTGTTTTATTTGCTTATTTGCTTGATTTTAATGTTATATGAAGCTATACTTTATCTTTTTTTTTTTTTTTTGAGACAGAGTCTCATTCTGTCGCCCAGGCTGGAGTGCAGTGGAGCAATCTCGGCTCACTGCAAGCTCCGCCTCCCAGGTTCTCTCCATTCTCCCACCTCAGCCTCCCGAGTAGCTGGGACTACAGGCACCCGCCACCACTCCCGGCTAAGTTTTTTTTCTTTTTTTTCTTTCTTTTTTTTTTTGTATTTTTAGTAGAGAAGGGGTTTCACTGTTAGCCAGGATGGTCTCATCTCCTGACCTTGTGATCCGTCCGCCTCGGCCTCCCAGAGTGAGCCACCGCGCCTGGCCTGAAGTTATGCTTTATCTTAAAATTATGAAAACTAAATGGACTAATACATACAAGATGCTTAATAGAGTGCCTGATACAGTAAGTACATACCCAGTATTATATAAGCTAATGTTAGAAGCTTTTTTTTTTTTTTTTTTTTGAGACAGAGTCTTGCTCTGTTGCCCGGGCTGAAGTGCAGTGGTGTGATCTTGGCTCACTGCAACCTCTGCCTCCTTGGTTCAAGTGATCCTCCCACCTCACCTCCCAAGAGTAGCTGGGACTGCAGGTGTGTGCCACCAGGCCGGGCTAATTTTTGTACTTTTTTGTAGAGACAGAGTTTCACCATGTGGTGCAGGCTGGTCTTGAACTCCTGAGCTCAAGCGATCCACCTGTCTTGGCCTCCCAAAGTGTTGAGATTACAGGCATGATCCACTGGCCCAGCCTGCTTCATTGTTTTTAAATGGTGAAAATAAAAGATCTGTATACAATTTAGGGAGAACACTTGCTTCTTTTAAGGGGATTTTTGGAAACTTTGCTTGAGTACTATTTATACTAATATTTATATTGGCCTGCAAATGACTCTTTGAAGTTTTGAAAACTCCAATCCTAAAACAAGAATCTCACCTGTCAGGCAGTTCAAAACCATTAAAAATTGGGGGCTTGGTTTCTTATTACTATAAATAAGTTTATTTTTTATTATGGTTTTAATTTTTATCTGACCATATTACGAACGCTGGATGACCCATCTAATTGTATTATTCGAAAATCTCAAAGCAATTTGTAGGGAAAAGAAAATCAGTATAGTAGTTCATCAGCATTACAATAATAAATCAACATTGGATACTCTTGAGAAGCTGGCATTTAGAAAGAACAGAAGAATATGAAGGAGTGAGCCTGGATTTCTGAAGGGAGAGTGTTCCAGGCAGAGACCACATGGTACAAAGGCCTCTTGGTGTTGGCAAAGGGCAGAGGGAGTCAAAAGTATGAAGGGAGAAGCAGCCCACGCTCGTCCTCCAGGCCCTCCCCACGCTGGTAAGCCCCCAGTGCTCGGGAAAGGGCAGCCGATGGAGGCTGTTCCTGGATATTCTGTGAGTCAACAGGGGCCCTGCCAAGTGCCCCTCTCTGCTCTTGGGAGCTTTTCTTGAGGTTTATTAAGCAACTCCACATGATGCAATGCTTCCTTCCCAGGTGAATGTTATTTTAAAAGCTTCTTTCCTGCTTCATGTGGATAGAGATTTGCATTCACCCCTCCTCATATTAATTTTGCATTATGGGTGGGGGTGAGGAAGAGCATCATCCCTAAAGGGAGTGTCTTCAATCTGTCTATAATTCATCTCTCAGCCAGGGAGCAGCGTCCGTGTCACCTGAGGAGGCAGATGCTCCCCTGCCCTGGCGTGTGGAGGGAAGACGGCGCCAAGGCGGAGGCACGGGAGCATCTTTCATTCCTCCCCCCATGCTTGCTGCTTCATCAACATCAACGTCCTGCTGCCAGGGCTGATGAATGGCTCAGGAGCGTCACAACTCGGTGGCTCTTATGCCACGTGCGCTGGCAGCTGTCACCGCCGTCCTACCTGTGACCCACACGTGTCTTCCTGAAATGGCCGAAAACAAGCTTTCCCCTCAAATGTTGCTTTCTTCTCAGAGTCAATCAGCAATGCTAATCAAGTCTGTGTGCTTAGCTAGGATTTTGGACCTTCTTACGTGAAGGCGTCTGAAAGGAGGTCCCCTTTCCTGAAGGCTGACTGTTGCTTTGTCTCCAGTGAGTAACCCTGAGACTGTGCACAGTGAGCAAGAGGAAGGGGCAGGAGATGGAGGGTGGAGGTGGTGTGTGAGCTGGGGTCCATCACACACTCTTGGGATTCTTTATTTGCAAATTTTGTTCCCGGTGCAATGGATGTTGATGATGTTTAAGTGGAGGGGCAAAGTCTGATGTATTCTGTAGGAGGATTGCTCTGGTAGAGGCATGAGAGGATCTGGGGGCAATTGGGACTCTTGCAATTGTTCAGATAGGAGGGTAGATGGTGGTGTGGACCAGATGGGTGCTGATGGACATGGTGAGGTGTGGACCATCTACATCTATATTTAAGCTGCAACTAGTAGAATTTGGTAAAGAATTGAATGGGGGAAATTTTAAAGGCTGTCTAAGTTGGTAATTTGATGTAAAAGGAACAACTCATTCCTGTTAAACTACATGTCATGATTGGGGTTTGGATCACCAGACGTTGACGTTTGCTGCAGGCGATGGCCAGCTGGCCTGATTCTTGTGTCTGTGGGGTGTATTGGCTCCAGTCAGCCTGCAGGTGAGTGTCACAGAAACACAAATGAGCAGAGACCCGTGCTGCTCGAGAACGTTTTCAGTGTCCACTGGAGGGCTCTGTCTGCTTTGATGGGGACAGAACTCATTTGTATTCCCCAACAGGTGTTTAAAATCTGAACTCCCTCACATCATATTTCTAATATTTCAGTGCCCAGATAGGACAGAACCCCAAGCAGGACCTAATTGGCCTAGCTTTCTTGTTTCCCCCAATAATATATTTTTAGAACGGTTTTAGATTTATAGAAAAATTTAGAAGGTACCCATGCACTTGTTTGCCCCATTATTAACATCTTACATTAGCAAGGTACATTTGTTACAATTACTGAACAAATAGTGTTTATGTATTGATTTATTTTGAAGGCAGGATCTCACTTTGTGACCCAGGCTGGAGTGCAGTGGCGCAACCATAGCTCACTGCAGCCTTGACCTTTCTGGCTCAAGAGATCCTCCCACCTCAGCTCCCTGCATAGTTGATACCACAGGCCCACACCATCATGCCTAGCTAATTGTTATTTGTTTGTTTTTTGTAGAGATGGGGCCCCAGTATGTTGCCCAGGCTGGTCTTGAGCTTCTGGCCTCAAGCAATCCTCCCGCCTCAGCTTCCCAAAGTGCTGGGATTACAGGTGCGAGCCACCGTGCCCAGCCCAATTACTGAACTAGTGTTGATACATTATTATTAACTAAAGTGCAGACTTTATTCTGACTTCCTTACTTTTTGCTTAATGTCCTTCTCTTTCGGGGTCCAGGAGGCCACATTAATTTAGTCATCCTGTCTTCTTCAATTCCTCTTATCTATGAGTTTCTCAGACTTTGTTTTTGAAGACTTTGGAAGTTTTGAAGAGTGTTCCTCAAGTATTATATAGCTATCCCTCAATTGGGGCGTATCTGATATTTTGCCCTGGTTAGGCTGAGGCCATGAGCCAGCTGGCCCACTTCCCATCCTGCTGTGTTCCAGACCCAGATGTGCCATTCCACATCCTTTCTTACCATGAGGGCCCCGACTCAGACAAGCACTGCAGGGTACGGAGGATTGCATGATGGATATGCTACCCTGGAGAAGTTTCCTTCCTGGGGAAAATAGAAAATGCATGGATGAAATTACTAAATATGGATATGGGGCACTGTATCACTCTCCAAGTAATCTAACCTGTTCCCATGGCTTTAAATAGCATTTGTGCTGACAACCCCCGAATCCATATCTCTAGTTTTGCTACATACTAATGTAGAAAGTCATCGGCAGAGGAAGAGTGGGCTCTCTCCAGGGATGTCCTAAGAAGAAGTTTTCAAAGTAAACAGAGCACCTCTAAAGGCTTTGCTGCTGATGGATAAATATGGACTGTCCCCAGGGACAGGAGTCGTGTGATCAGAGAACCCATGAAGCAGACAGCGAGGAGGAAGGGAAGGGAGGCACATGGCAAGTTGTCTCCATGCATTAGCTTCTCATTGTCTGCATGTGCTTTGCAGACACTGATGTTTTTCTTCTTCCTTAATGTCAGTGAGTTGGGGTGTCTAATGATAAAGATTTGTGAAAATACACAGGTGGCGGTGTACTTTCCATTGTGGTGTTTGATCCATTCCTTCTCTCCTGCTCTTCTCCTCTTCCTCTTCCTCCTCTCTCTTCTCTCTCTCTCTTCCTGTCTCCCTCTTTCTCTCTCCCTCTCTCTCCCTTTTTCCCCACCTCTCTCTCCTCTGTCTCTAGTTCCTCTTCTCTCTTTCTCTCAAATCCTCCTTCCCTTCCCTCCTTGGTGGTGGGCACATTCCTTAAACAGTCTCCTCAGTCTTCTGTAGAAATAAACAAAGCAATAGACGTTTTTGGATTCACATCTCCCTCAGCTCCAAAGACATTATTTGGCTAAACTCCCAGATGATAATACAGACAGGGAAGTATTTGAGTTTTGCAGTCATTTCTCTGAGGTTGAAAGAATTGGAATATAGAGCTAGAATTGAGCTAAATGCTGCACGATGTTAAATAAGAATTAATAAGAGATTTTATTGGACCCTTAGGGAAATGTGGCAAATGTAATAGTTTTAATGGGTTTAATTAGAAGTTGGTACAGGAGATGCTTACAAGACGGGCACAGGCCAGTCAGAATATGGCCTGGTGGTGAGAAATGGAGAACACAGGTGAATTAAAAAGCAGTGCTCCATCTCTTTCTCAATGCATGGAAATGGACCCACTGTTTCCCTTCTCAGAGTGTCAGTCTCCTCATTTGTAAATGGAGATAAAAGCAGAGTATTCCGGCCAGGCAGGGTGGCTCACACCTCTAATTGCAGCACTTTGGGAGGTCGAGGCAGGCAGATCACGAGGTCTGGGGTTCAAGACCAGCCTGACCAACATGGTAAAACCCTGTCTCTACTAAAAATACAAAAATTATCCAGGAGTGATGGCGGGCGTCTATAATCCCAGCTACTCGGGAGGTTGAGGCAGGAGAATCGCTTGAACCCGGGAGGCGGAGGTTGCAGTGAGCCAAGATGGCACCATTACACTCCAGCCTGGGTGACAGAGCAAGACTCCATCTTGGAAAAAAAAAATAGAGTATTCCTCATAAGGTTGTTGCAATTGTTGAATGGGATAATGATCGTAAATGTCTTCGCATGTTGTCTGCTACATGGTAGACCTTAGATAAATTATTATTGTTATCACAACTGTTATTATTATTGACAAAGATCATATGGGTAAAATATGTCCCAAATCTGGGATTTTAACTTAGATTTCCATGTTCTCAGCCCATGATTTTTTTTTTTCTTTTGTATGGCTAAAAGGCAAACAAACAAAACTAGCATTCTTTGAGTTTTCCAATCATGCATGTTTAAACCTTCTTGTTTGTCTGAGGGCAAGAATCAATAAAAGTATAAATTAAGCAGATAATAAGAAAGCAAAACTGTCGGCGATCTCTGCCCTTTGTATGGAAAGTGCCCGATTTCAACCTTTGAAGGTCGGTGTCATTTCAGAGCGGCTAAAGGTGAGTCTCCAGGCAGTTTGCATCCGTCTGGCGTCTGTTAGAGCTGCTATTCATAGGTCGGCCAGTCCTCTGGGGTTAGGGAAGCTTTTCTAGGATGTGTTTCTCCAGGTAGCCCTTGATAACCATTTGGACCCAAGTAGATGATCCCTAATGTCCAGCATTGCCAGACAAGACTGGGAAAAATGGCTTCAGCTGATAAAAGCTGCTGTGTGAGCAGGTTGCAAGTGACTCTACTCATCATTGTGTATTGACGACTGGGACAGGATAGATGGAGCAAGTATGCCTTAGGGATGTGCAGGGCACTTCCAGGAAACTCTGTGAAAGAGAAAAGAGGTCGTTCCTGTAAAAATGTGATAAGAATAAGAGCGACATTATCAATTGCCCGTTATGTGTCAGGCACAGGGCTCTGATGATCAGAGGCTCGTTGGATGCCCTGATGCTCAATCTCTAACCACGCTCTTCCTGGCTGCCTTCCAGATGCCACTATCACATTCTAGCCAGGGAGAGAGAAGCGGAAGTCAGCCACGGGGTTGGGGAAAATACATTTGCTTTTCAAATACAGCATCTTCTCCTCTACTTTCCTCCTCATTTTAAAAAAATTTTATTTTTATTTTTATTTATTTTATTTATTTATTTATTTATTTTGAGACAGTCTTGCTCTGCTGCCCAGGCTGCATGCAGTGCAATGGCATGATCTCAGCTCACTGCAACCTCTTCCTCCCGGGTTCAAGCAATTATCTTGCTTCAGCCTCCCCAGTAGCTGGGACTCCAGGCATGCTCCACCGTGCCCTGCTAATTTTAAAATTTTTTATTTTTATTTTTATTTTTAGTAGAGACGAGGTTTCACTATGTTGCCCAGGATGCTCTCAAACTCCTGAGCTCAGGTAATCTGCCCACCTCAGCCTGCCAAAGTGCTAGAATTACAACCATGAGCCACTGTGCCCAGTCTCCTCCTCATTTTCTCCTTTGAACAAAGCTGTGATGGCTAGAGCTACTGCAGGCGTCTTGTGACTATGAGAAAGCAGCCCAGAAAAATCAAAGCCCTTGGCCCAGATAGCACCAAGCTTCTAAACCAATTGTCCAAATTGTCTACTCCTGGAATGTGTGTTATATTTTTAAAAATACCTTTATTTGTTTAAGCTAATGTGATCAGGTTTTCTGTCAGTTGCAGACAAAAACATCTGTATCAAATACAAAATGACATCTTAAATTACACTTATAATATTAAGTATAATATCTTTAAAAATGAGAAAAACAATTGAAGTTTATAATGGCAAGGAGCAAAGCTAGGACCTGAACCCATATAAGACACTATTCTTTACGTTATATTCTGTTGATGCTCTGAAAAAAATGTTCGTCTTTAACTCCTTACAATCTCAGTTTTCTTGGTACCTTATTTAAGAAATATGTAAATAAGAAAAGAGGAATTGCCCATCATCCCACCTCCCAGAAATAACCACTGAAAGTAAAAATTTTTAAATTATTTCCTTTATAACTTTCATCTGCAAAGTAAGGAACAGGTGAGTTTGTACTATGCACACACAGATACACACAGACACTGATTTTCCCTTTCAACTCAGTTGTGACAAATTCAGGGTACAGGGTACAGTATTGTTTATTCACAAATTCCATGAATTCTAGCTCTCTACTTACTAAAAGAAGAAGTCAGCTGTCCTCAAGGCATCTTCCTTTTTGTTTGTTTGTTAGTTTTCTGTAGAACCCCAAGTAGAAGGCTCCCTGGTACCTACACACCAACTTGCTAGCCCTTATTCACTGCCAGGTTCCGCCTCTAGATTCCCCTAGGTCTGATACCTGAACAGTCACACAGCAGAGCCCTGTCACTACCCCTGCTAACGGCCCATGGAGAGAACTGCAAATTCCACATCAATGGTGCTATCTCGTAACAATGTCAAAATCACCAGTCCTTGATGGGTTAGAGTCGTTATCAGCATTTTCTTCTTTAGGAATAATAATAATCCTCTCCTCAACTCTGCTCTTCACCTTATCTCTTGGGGTTCATGACAGCCTTCCCCATCCCAAATTCCTGCAATCTCTCCTCTGAAGTTGTCAGCAAATTTAATCCCATGCAGACTTTAATTCTGGGTCTTCTCCTGGCTCCTCAAGACATCCTCACATCAGAACCCCTTATAAATTCCCAGAAGTCTCATAAATAAATGAAAGCCTCCCCTCTGAATCTGGTTAGCACTTTAATATTTACTGAATATATTTTCCCAAATTAGTTTCTCTATTGGCTGGTTGCTTCCATGAGAGTGAAAGGACTTCCTAAAGAAAATGGATTTGTGTATATATGAAAAGCAGTAGAAGGACTATATGGTTTCAGTGAATTTCTTTGGAACTTGTTATGATTTTGTCTTGCTGATGTCCTTTTGCTCTGGTTACTGGGAAAGAGAGCTGTGTTTCTGAGTAGTGCTTGATGATGGAAGAAAGGGGGCAGGTCCTTGTGGGACACCATCCTGCAATTTCTCTCTTGTGAAGTGGTGCATGGTAACCTACAGATGACTCTCAAGTGTCTGCACTTGGTGGGGGGAGAACCTACCTTATGTGTAACCATATCAGATTAGATCAAACACAGTGGTTGTTAAGAGTCCCATCAAGCAAGACGACAGTGAAAACTACACAGCAAGGACTGACATAACTTTCCAAGAGTGAGCTGAGGGACGCTGTATGGGACCGTGTCTTTATATCTAGAAAAGGAAAAGAAAACCCCATTCATTTCTGTTGATGGATTTGGTCACGTACAAAAGGCAAGGGCACAATTTAAAAGAACAAGATGTCTTTTGTAAAACAACAGCTGGAAACACTTTGCAGCAGCTGCCAGTATAAATAATTCACTGTTAATTGATTCTGAGGCCACTCCTGAAACTGGCAAGCCAAGTTGCATGACAGGAAGGTGCACCATGGAAAGTGATAATGACATGGATATTTATTCTCATTCACCCTTGCATGGGATAAGGAAGAGGCCAGCCACACTCCATTGGATTCATTTGTGAGTCAGCCCTAGAAGCATCTTTAAAGCAGCAGTCCTTGTTGTGCCCTTCAGTTCCTGGATGAAGATGGAGATGCTAGTGTTAACAGTGACTTATTTCTTTTATATTTCCCTTTCACTGAAAGTTTCTGCATTGACATCCACTTGCCACTGGAGTGTTCAGGGGATATTATGAGATTAGCAGCATAAGAGGGTGGCTGAAGTAGCATTTGACCTCTGGCTTCAAACCCATATGGGGGCTCCCATGTGAACATGCATCTTTATCTCAAAATCAGTCCTTTTACCTGAGTGTGCAATTGGTGTTTTAATAGTAAGCATTAAAATACAAATTTATGTATGCTTGCTTTATTTTTCCATATAAAAATAGAAATAAAGTATGCATGGACATAGATAATTCTCAACCTCTGAAAAGCCTGTGTTCTCTGGGGCTTATTAACCCACACCACCCATTTCTCCCACAATAGGTTTGCTGAGCTTAATGGACAGACTTTTGTAGATTTACTCTTCACTGGCCTTACCACAAGGTTAAGGAATTAACTAATTATATGACCAACTTTTTGCTTAATCCCTCTCTGTGTTTCCTGATTGTAAGCTCAATGAAGGTAAGACAGGACCTTTGTTTGTTTCATAATAACCCGTTGAGAAAGAAGAAAAGTTGCCCCTGATTCTGAGATAGGCTAGGCCTTGCTGTCCTCTTATAAAATAGGAATAATTTTCACAGAATATTGATATCACAGAAGCCCTCTTTGTGACCATGATGGATTAAGACAACGGTGAGATCATCCCACAATCTTGTCTGAACACAGGCAAGACAAAAACATTTGCCAAAATACAAAATTCCAAACATTTTCTTGCCCCAGGTAATATGAGTGACTGAAGCTTAAATTCTTGCTTCTGATGGGTGAAAAAAAAAAAAGAATGACTAAGAACTACTATTTGATAGCACAACAGAGTGACTATAGTCAATTATAACTGAATTGCACATTTAAAAATTACTAAAAGAGTATAATTGAATTGTTTGTAACACAAAGGACAAATGCTTGGGGGGATGGATACCCCATTCTCCATGATGTGATTATCTCACATTGCATGCCTGTATCAAAACATCTCATGTACCTCATAAACATATACACCTACTATGTATCCACAATTTTTTTTAAATCCCTGCTTCTTTGAACCCTCCCAAATCACCCAGTGCTTGTCTCTGAATCCTATACTAAGCTCTTTCTAACACCCTTTGAATAAGAAAGCCCCTCAGTTCCCCATGCTGTGCTAAGAGAAATCAACGCAGCCTGTTGAACTTCAGGTGTCTTCTTCCGGCTTTGGCCGGAGGGCATTGACAGCAGGATGCAGCATTGGGTCTCGATTGGCAAATGTTTGAACATGGATTCATGAGGCCAAAGAATAATTATATTTTCTGCAATCAGGTCCTTGGAATAAGTGAAAACAGAAAAGCAAATTAATAAGAAAAGATCATACACAATATATAGCTTAAATGAATTAACATTTTCCTACAATACCGTTGCAATTTTAAAGTAAATGATAAGTAAATTCTAATTAATGAAAATTTCAGTTCCCTACAGTTTCCTGAACTAAAATTCCAGCTTTGTAACTGGTTGAAGGACAGGATTCTTGTAGCCAAAGGATGCTTTGAAGGGAGCATTCCTTATGCCTCCGGGCTCAGCTGTTTCCTCCACTTTCTCCTCCTCCAGGCAGCCCTCCCTGACCACTGCAGATTGCCCTGGCCCTTATTTCTTCTCACCTGCATGTGTTAACCCTACGGATG
Organism: Homo sapiens; assembly: GCF_000001405.40. Lineage (NCBI taxonomy): Eukaryota > Metazoa > Chordata > Mammalia > Primates > Hominidae > Homo > Homo sapiens. The sequence continues at coordinate 127,765,962 of NC_000012.12, read as the reverse complement.
AGCTTCGGGGCCTCCAGGGCCTTCACAGGGAATGGAAAAGAAATGGAACAAGTGTCTCTCAGGGTGGGCCAATCCTTGTCCTGCAGAAACACAGGGTCTCTATTGTCAGGTCTCTGATTGTTCTAGAGAAGCCAGACATCTCTGTTTTAATTTGAAGTATCCTTAGTTTTAGGATGTTTTTATTTTTGTTTGAATCCTATATGAGCCCACCAAAGTTGTTTCTTGATGCCAACTAGTCTTTGGGCCACCATGTCATCAGGCCTGACTTAGTCTACAAGTGTCCTGAGCTTCTTTCTGTTTCCTCACTTTTGCCTTTATTTCCTGTCTCTACTTCCCTTCCACTTCTATCCATGACAAGGTATAGAAAGGTCCTGTGTGCTAATAAAAAAGTAAACTGGGCTGGGCACATCTGGAATCCCAGCACTTTGGGAGGCCGAGACAGGTGGATCACCTGAGATCAGGAGTTCAAGACCAGCCTGGCCAACATGGCAAAACCCCGTCTCTACTAAAACTACAAAAATTAGCCGGGTGTGGTGGTGGGCACCTGTAATGCCAGCTACTCTGGAGGCTGAGGCAGGAAAATTGCTTGAACCCAGGATGTGGAGGTTGCAGTGAGCCGAGATGGTGCCACTGCACTCCAGCCTGGGTGACAGAGCAAGACTCCATCTCAAAACAAAAAACAAAAAAAAGTACATTGACTCAATGAAGTGGTGATGGAAACCTTGCAAACAGGCTGCCCCCAGGATCCACTGAACCCACCAACATATTATATTAGCCACACCCTCGCTATACTCCCTCCCTTTAAGCAGAGGTGCAGAGGTGTAGTTGTTGTTTGAGGATTCATCTTTATTTATTTAATTCATGCATTATCCAACATATATTTGTCAAGTGCTGTATTGCCAAGTGTTCTTCTAGGCACTGAGTTTCAATACATATATTAAATATATATAAAATATGTATTATGCATATTATATTTATAATATATCATATAGTAATATAAATATATATTATATTATGTAATATATATTAAAACATATATATGGATAATTATATATGTATAAAATAACAGACAAAAATCCCTGCCTTTATGGAGCTTGCAATTTTGAATGGGAGAGACAGCAAATAAGATAATTAAGTATGTCCTATGTCAGGTGATGGCAAGTGCTAAGAAGAAAAACCAAAACAAGGAAGAACAACAATGCAGGAGAGAACAGATGCAATCTTTAAAAGAATGGCCAAGGAAAATCTCACTGAGAAACTCACACTTCAGTGAAGATCTGAAGAAGGTGAGGGATTCAGTGACATGGTTCTCTGGGAACAGCACGTGCAAAGGTCCTGAGGCTGAAACCTACCTGGTATCTCCCAAGCTCAGCTCAGAGGCCAGCTTGGCTGGAGCACAGGAAACAGGAGCAGAGATCTAAAAAGAATGGAGGAAGGTCTGGGCAGCAGGGAAGGGAAGTGAGATCATTCATGGGCATAAGAACTTTGGCCTTTACTCTGAGAGAGTTGTGAGGCCCCTGGAAGGGGAACCAGGCTGACGATTCTGGAGTCTGAGCTACATTGCAACAGGACAGCCTCCCTCTCCTGGCTCTAACACTCACAAGGGTGTAATGGGCCCTTCATGGTCCCATCTGCACTCTTGGTTGTCCTGGGCCAGGCCTGCATTGCTCATGTCTATTACCTGCCTGGTCAGTGAAGGCTTTGGGTTTTGCAATCCCAGGGTCAATGGAAAAGAGTAGACATACAAGAGGCAAAGACATCTGGGAGTGAAGGCATCTTGCATTGCTTCTAGGTTGCTGTTTCAAAAAGCCCTCCTCATTCATACGCTTTTCAACTCACGAGAAATTAGCTCTCTGCTGGAATTTCAATGTCCTAACTTTTTTTTTCAAATTTACTTAATTATTATTTAATGTGACAGATAAACTCATAAAAGGAAATACAAAAGAAATGAAACAAAAGCGATGAGCAAAAGGTAAGCATTTTTGTTTGTTGGCTTTGGACTTCGGCCCTGAAATTTTTGACCCACAAGATATGAAACAAACAAGTAACAGTCCCATCACTCTTTAGAAATGTCCTGGCTCCACTAGTAGTACTAAGGTGAAGACATACCGATAACATTTTACAGATCAGTAAAGGCCAAGTGTCAGAAGTCAGCACCTTTGTCCTCCGGTACTGACCTTGTCTTTGCACCCGTCTTCCATGACTGTGTTCATTAGAGTAGAACAGAGCTGCAGCCAGTGCAGATTAGGACGGTCTTTCTGTGTGCTGAGCACTGCACTTGGAGTCTCTTTCCTCATAAATGGTGTCATTAGTGGGACTCCATTAGTGGGACTGATTTGTACTGGCTGCTCTGGGGTCATGATTTTGACCTCTTCCCATCTCAAATTCTCCAGTGCTGTGGTGCAAGTAATGCGGCCAGACTGGATCCCCATCACTGTACATTGTTTTCTGGCTTTTTATTGCCTTCTTACTACTGAGATTGACAAAAGCAACTTCTTGCTGTATGTGCTCCATCTACACTGCTTTCTTCTGACCTTCAAGTGTGCCTGCTCGTTTCTGCCTTAAAAGCCCTTTACATGCATGAAGCGTGGCTTTAAAGTACTATAGAAGTGTGTAAAACAATCAGATCACGACTGCTGACTCTAGGCTTATGCATGCTAGGTAAAGTGTGCGTTGATATGACGGCATCAGCTCATCGAATTAAGGTGCGCAAATCGTCCCAGTTTGTCCCTAACTGTCTCCGTTTAAGCACGGAAGGTCCCAAGTCCCAGGAACCCACTGAGTTTAAGTAAACTAGGACAGGTGAACGCCCCACATTTAATGCGTACCACTACCTTAGCAGGTGGGGCCAGTACTAGCGCATTTTACAGATGAGGCCTCTGAGGTTTAGAGAAGTTAAATGCTTTACCTAAATACCCCCACTCCCACTCCCACCCCAGGGTTCGAGAGTGAGAGCCTGGTCTTAAAGTCCTTACACAATTGTTCTGGAATCAGCCTCAGTACAGGTGTTTTTAAAAGGTGTTCCAGATGTCTCCTGAAACGTGCAACCAATTGAGGGCCATTGCTGTCAAGTTGAAAGAACTGGGCTCAAGTCAATCTGCCTTCATCTGCATCCTGGATAAGCCTCTTATTGACCATGGAGCACTGGGCAAGTTGTTTAACAGGCCTGGCCTCAGTTTCCTGGTCTGTAAAGGAGGGATCAGCATAGCACCTACCTCACAGGGCAGTTCAGGGAATTAAATACTTTGACAATTGTAAAGTCCTGAGAGGGGCGCTTGGCAAAGAATAAGTAGTATGTGAGATTTGTTATTAGCTATTACAGGATAATAATTTTCAAAATGAAAAAATGTAATGTAATATAAAGATTCAAATCATATAGGACCTGTATTATTTATTTTCAAACAAAATGTTATTAAAGTTTAAAATATTGTCACTGACTCAAACAACATTTTCTCCCTTGGCACTTTGGACAGGATGTTCAGACTGCCTTGAAGAAATTGAAGTTTGCAGCTTGGGCTGCTGCTCTCATTCATTTTAATACAGACACGACTAACATCTCATCCAAAATGTGAAACATAGCTTTTAATTTAGTACCATGGGTTCCTGCAGGACTGAGTCGACACACTGGGAAATATGTCAATTAAGCTTGTTTCCCAGGAAGAAACAGGGAGGTCTTGCAAACAACCCAGGATAGAAGGAGCCCAGGTTTTGAAGGTGAGCCAAGGACAACGGTGCTTAACGAGAGAGGCAGGGGGTGGGGCAGGTGCTGCCTGGGTTTCTAACCACGTGTTCTTGCTCACAGGTGGTGAATAATCTCAGAAAGGCAGGGGACAAGATGAGAGGGGGCCCCTGGTTTGGGAAGTGTTTGGTATCATCCCCCAACCCCCCAAGTTGTACGGAGCACTGCATGCCCCAGCTCCTGCAAATGGGAAGTGACATTCTGCAGCCGTGGGTTGATACCATGGAGACGGGGCCGCTTCTTTTCTGTGGTCCTTCCTGCATATTACATAACAGTGCGATGGCTTGCATTCACCCCACGCTTTGGGGAGATTCCGTTTAATTTCTTCAGCAGTGAAAATTTAGGTATCTGTATAGTTTTTCTGAGCAGAGTTCTCCCTCAAACGTATTTAAAAGGGGACCAGCAGATAACTCAATGAATTGATTAAATTTTAAAATTGTTATTTTGAGAGAGACTAGCTCAGCTATTAACGTTTCTGCTTGTTGTTGTTTGTACTTTTGGTTTTTCTTCCTTTTTTTTTTTTTTTTTTTTGTTTCTTGTTTTTTGTCTTCTCCAGGGGGTGTTCCCTACATGCCAGAGCTAAGCACAGGGTTGGAGGCTAGGGAATGGAAAAGCTTCCCAATTCAGGCATTTCTGGAAGCAGTTGTGGCTATTTCAGGGGGAGCTACAAACACAAGGCAAAGAGTCTTTTGATCCCACACTTCTGTGTGAGCTTCGGAGAGACAATCTTCCGGATCTGGTGGTGACTTTTAAAAAAAGCGTCTCTGGAATCCATCCCCAGGCAGGCAGAATTCGGTCTGAAGATGCTCCCCAAGAGCACCTCAAAGAGCACCAGCAGGCCTTCCTCGGCAGGGACCTCCTTTATCCATGAGCGTTCTCTTCCCAGCCTCATGTCCCACGGGTCCCTCCACTCTCTCCCTGAAGTCAGATGGCGCTGGGGTTTCCCTGCGGGAACCACCCGCACATTCGTGAGTGGAGAGAGTGCCAGCCGGGAGTCAGGCTCACTTGACTGAAGCTCCGCTTCCCTCGCTCCCCACCCACCCCTTCCGCGGCTCAGCCTGGATCCCGCTGCTCGATTCTCCAAGTGCCGCGTTCATGCTGGAAGCCAGCGTTCCCCACAGTGTCTTCTGTGAAGACAAATCCTGGGAGACGTTGGCGTTCCGGGAGAAGAAATCGATTCCTCAAAAATAAGCAAATTTTTAATTTAAGGTGATGTTTCAAGGAGACGTCGATATATTAACGTGCTTTGCGAGTGTTTAAGAGGAAGGGGTGAAGGGCAGGGTTCTCCAAAGTTGTTGGCTACCTGGAGACCGTCTCGAGGAGTTGGACTAGAACTTGGTACTCACGATGATAAGCAGTGACAGGCCAGGCGCGGTGGCTCACGCCTGTAATCCCAGCATTTTGGGAGGCCGAGGCAGGTAGATCACTTGATGTCAGGAGTTGGAGACCAGCCTGGCCAACGTGGTGAAACTCTGTCTCTATTAAAAATACAAAAATTAGCCGGGAGTGGTGGCGCACACCTGCAACCCCAGCTGCTCCGGAGGCTGAGGCATGAGAGTAGTTTGAACCCGGGAGGCAGAGATCGCAGTGAGTCCAAATCGCGCCACTGCACTCTGGCCTGGGCGACAGTGAGACTCCATCTCAAATAAATAAATAAATAAAATAAGTAAATAAATAAATAAATAAATAAACAAACAAACAATGACAACATTCCATGCTCCAGGAACTGGTCTCGGTGCGGTACTGAAGATTGATTCAACGGTGAGAACGTCAAGCACGTACTAGTCTCCACGGGCTTACACTGTGGAGGAAAAAATATAAACAAACAAACAAAAATAGCTATATTATACAGCAGGAAGTGAGAAGTGACTAGAAGAAAAGTCAACCCAGATAAGAAAAGGAAACAATTATAATAGAACTTGAATATTTTATATCTTTTCTTTTTACACATTTTGACATTTATTATGAAAATGTTGCAAGTTGAGATAAAATTATAACAAATCCCCATATGCTAATTACTTTTTAAATTATCTTGTTTAATCTATAGACGCACCATTCGTTTCCTGGTGTATTTTAAAACAAATTACAGACACCATTCTATTTTAAATAATAAATGGTTTAGCATATAAATCTAACAAATAATGACTTTTTGACACAATTGCAGTGGAATTATGGCCTCTAAAACATTAACGATAATTACTTAATAGTACAGGTTGATTCCTTGTCTGAAATGTTCGGGATCAGAATTGTTTCAGATTTCAGATTTGTGGGGATTTTAGAATATTTGCGTATACATAATGAGATATCTTGGGGGCGAGACCTAAGTCTAAACACGAAATTTATTTGTCCTTCATATGCACCTTATATGCATAGCCTGAAGATAATTATGTATTTTCACTAATTTTGTGCATGAAACAAAGGTTGTGGACACGAGGTCGCGTATGAATTTCTTTACTTGTGGTATCATGTAGGTACTCAAAATTTTACAAATTTGGAGCATTTTGGACTTGATTTTTGGATTAGGGATGCTCAACTTGCATCTAATACTCGGCTAGTATTATTTTAATAATTTGCTAATCACCTCAAAATGTCTTTTATTATAGCCAGTGTGTTAGAGTGCAAAAAAATAAGTATTCACATTGCATTTAGTTGATAAATCTCTTACGTCTTACTTGGAAGGCATTTCCCTCCCCGCTGCCACCGAACCATCGTTTCTTCAATGAAAAGGCAGATTTGTTTTTCCTGTGTTTTTTTCTCCCATTGTGATTGGCTGCCTGCATGCTAGAACTTTTATGTAACATGTTCATCTCTGTACCATATATCTTCTGTCAATTGGTAGATAGACCTACAGCCTTCATTAAATTTGGCTTCATTCTTTAGGCAAAATTAATTCATTGACTGTGTTTGAACTTCTTGTTGCACTGTATCTGGAGGCAGGTATTATGGTTGGCCAGCACGGTCCCATGGTGCCAATCTCAATCCTCTTTCAAAAAATTGCCTCAGCATACTTTGCTGCTCCTGATCTAGGAGCTACTGGTCTAGGAGCAATTTTATTCAGGCTTTCGGAGTTATGATTTTCAATTTCTACTATTTCTTCTGCATAATTAGCCAGAATCTTTCTATGCAGAAGAAACCCTTCTAAAGATTACAGCACTTTGGGAGGCCGAGACGGGCAGATCACGAGGTCAGGATATCGAGACCATCCTGGCTAACACAGTGAAACCCTGTCTCTACTAAAAAAAAAAAAAAAAAAAAAAAATTAGCTGGGCATGGTGGCAGGTGCCTGTAGTCCCACCTACTTGGGAGGCTGAGGCAGGAAAATGGCGTGAACCCGGGAGGCAGAGCTTGCAGTGAGCCAGGATCGCACCACTGCACTCCAGCCTGGGCAACAGAGCAAGACTCAGTCTCAAAATAAATAAATAAATAAATAAATAAATAAATAAATAAATAAAGATGGTTTTTGTTTGTTTTTTAAAGATCAAGTGTGTAAACATAAAGAGGCTGTGAATGGTTAGGAACACAGGCTTTGTGGCCAGACATACCTGGGATTGAATATTGGCTCTATCAGTTTTCTTCCCCAGTCCAGGCAATTCTCAACTGTGTCCAAGGAAAAACTCACATACCTTCTGGAAACTGTTAGTCTTCTATAAGATCGAACTTAGATGTCTCGTGTCTTTTACCTAATGGTTTATGTGTACATCTTTCCATAACCAACACACAGAGATTGACCTTGATTTTTTTTTTTTTTTTTTAATTTTACTTTAAGCTCTGGGATACATGTGCAGAACGTGCAGGTTTGTTATATAGGTAAACATATGCCATGGTGGTCTGCTGCACCTATGAACCTGTCATGCAGGTTTTAAGCCCTGCATGCATTAGGTATTTGTCCTAATGCTCTCCCTCCCCTTACCCCCCAACCCCCAGAGAGGCCCCATTGTGTGATGTTCCCCTCTCTGTGTCCATGTGCTCTCATTGTTCAACCCCACTTATGAGTGAGAACATGCAGTGTTTGGTTTTCTGTTTCTGTGTTGGTTTGCTGAGAATGATGGCTTCCAGTTTCATCCATGTCCCTGCAAAGGACATGCACTCATTCTTTTTTATGGCTGCATAGTGTTCCATGATGTATATGTGCCATATTTTCTTTATCCAGTCTATCATTGATGAGCATTTGGGTTGGTTCCAAGTCTTTGCTATTGTAAATAGTGCTGCTATAAACATATGTGTGCATGTGTCTTTATAGTGGAATGATTTATAATCCTTTGGGTGTATAGCCAGTAATGGGATTGCTGGGTCAAATGGTATTTCTGGTTCTAGATCCTTGAGGAATCACCGCACTGTCTTCCACAATGATTGAACTAACTTATACTCCCACCAACAGTGTAAAAGCATTTATATTTCTCCACAGTCTTGCCAGCATCTGTTGTTTCCTGACTTTTTAATAATTGCCATTCTCACTGGTATGAGATGTTATCTCATTATGGTTTTGATTTGCATTTCTCTAATGACCAGTAATGATGAGCTTTTTTCCATGTGTTTGTTGGCCACATAAATGTCTTCTTTTGAGAAATGTCTGTTCATATCCATTGCCCACTTTTTGATGGGGTTGTTTGTTTTTTTCTTGTAAATTTGTTTAAGTTCCTTGTAGATTCTGGATATTAGACCTTTATCAATGGGTGGATTGCAAAAATTTATAAAAGGATTACAAAAAAATCACACACGTAGCAACATTTAAGAAATGAGCTGTTATCACTGTTTGATTCCCCGGTTCTCTGCTCTGCCCCAGATGCCCTCAGCGTATTTTTAGGCGAGTTTTCTCCTCCTCCACCCTGACATAGGCTTATCTCTCTTAAGTCTTTGTATCTCTGTTCTTCCTTCCATCTTCCTTCTGACCCAGCCTCAGTCTCAAGGATCAGTGGAGCATCTCCCTAGAAAGGCACCTCTTCCTTACCTCATTCATCTCCCCAGTGCTACTAACTCCTCACAGCATGGTGCCTCTAGGTCCTATCTCCTCAACTGGAATACAGGCTGTGACTCCTTTATTTTAGCATCCTCCAAGGGCATCTAACATAGGTTAGGGTACAAAGTAAGGCTTAAAAATTCTGGCTAATCATATAACTGATTGATTATCCACTTGACAAATTTACTTTAATTGATTTCCTTCCTGAGAATGTTGCAGATATTGGAAAATCCACCTATTTTACTTTGTAGGCCATAAGTTGAAAATTACAGGGATAAACAAGTCATTCAGGAGTATGTGAACCCTGAAAGTTTGAGACAGGTCTCAGTTAATTTAGAAAGTTTATTTTGCCAAGTTTGAGGACATACACCCATGACACAGTCTCAGGAGGTCCTGGCAACATGTCACCAAGGTGGTCAGAGCACAGTTTGGCTTTATACATTTTAGGGAGACATGAGACATCAATTAACATGTGTAAGATGAATATTGGTTTGGTATGGAAAGGCAGGAGAACTGAAAGTGGGGAAGGGGCTTCCAGGTCATAGGTAGATAAGGGACAAATTGTTACATTCTTTTGAGTTTCTGATGAGCCTCTCCAAAGGAGGCAATCAGACATGCATTTATCTCAGTGAGCAGATGGGTGACTTTGAATTGAATGGGAGGCAGGTTTGCCCTAAGCAGTTCCCAGCTTGACTTCCATTAGCTTAGTGATTTTGGGGACACAAAATATTTTCCTTTCATAAGTAGTTGTTATTGTTGCTGCTACTGCTAGTGTGTTTTGTTTGATATAAGACAGTGTATTAGTCCATTTTCATGCTGCTGATAAAGACATACCTGAGACTGGGCAATTTACAAAAGAAAGAGGTTTATTGGACTTACAGTTCCACGTGGCAGGGGAGGCCTCACAATCATGGCGGAAGGTGAAAGGCACATCTCACATGGCAGCAGGCAAGAGAAGAGAGAACTTGTGCAGGGAAACTCTCCCTTATAAACCCATCAGATCTTGTAAGACTTACTCACTATCTACCAGAACAGCACAGGAAAGACCTACCCCCATGATTCAATGACCTCCCACTGGGTTCCTCCCACAATATGTGGGAATTCCAGGTGAGATTGGGGTGGGGACACAGCCAAACCATATTGGATAGTTTATATATAATTTGTACATCTATGTATGATGCCTAAGGCCTTTTGGAACTCATCTATAGAGATTTCATGACCAGGAAAAGAGATGCTCTGATGTTTACATGTAATCAGAATTTCCCTGTAAAAACCATTGCCTGAAGCCCCAGCACTAATTTGGCTGTGTCTGTGATTGGGACACATCTCCTAAAGCTAAAGCAATTTTATTTTTCATGTTTAAAAAACCATTTGGTGGCAGTTTTGTTTCCACATGGGTGCCTCTGGATGTCCCATTTTTTTTTTCAGAGGCTGGGTTCGGCACCAGAGGCCTGGTTTGTCTCTCAGATGCTGCCATTTTTCCTCATTTTCTTGGGAATAAGCACAGTACGTTGGCACTTTTTAGCAATGAGCATTATTACCTAATATATCAACATCGAAAGCAGGACTGAAACGGATTTGGTAGAACGGGGATCGTTAGGGAAACAGAAAGATAAACATTGATATTTCCCAATTAAGGTTGTCAGTCTTGTCTGAAGTACCTTGTAGAGTTTCAAGACTATGCCCAGCTCCTTGTTTTTACAAATTGTTTTTTCCAAAGATGAACAAATAACTCTGAGTTAGGGAACTCACAAAGCTGATGACATTGAATTCTAGAGAGCTGGTTATACACACTGTGGCCTCGTTTTTTCCTTCTTTCTTTCCTTTCTTCTCTATTTTCCTTTTCCTTTACTTTTAATCTTTGCCCTGCTTCAGTTGTCTCTGAATACAGCAACCAGATTAATGTTATTAAAATACAGATCAGTCATCTTACTCATCCGTTCAAAATCCCACAGTGACTATAATTTTACTGGGAGCAAAAGACAAAGTTTTTATAATGACCTGCAAGTCTGGAAGACCTGCCTTGGAACACCTGTCCATTACCTCTCTGAGCTCAACTCTTACCAGCCGTCCCATAGTCTCTGAGCTGCAGCCATGCTAGCCCTGCTGGTCCCCAAACTCTGAAGCTGCACCCCTGCCCCAGGGTTGCACATACCACTCCCTCTGCCTGGATCCCCAGAAAGCCTCATGGCCCCTCACAGCCTTCAGATCTTTGTTTAAATGCCACTTTTTAATGAAGTCTTCCCTGACCCAGCCTTGGTAGAATAGCAACTCTTCTCTCTTTCTCTTTATCACATTTCACCTTTCTTTTTCTTTAAAATAAGCATTGCCTCTGTGCATGTAATATATTTACTTGCTTATTGGGATTTTATAGTTACTAAGAGACACATTCCCTGAAGGCGGAGGACTTCTTTACTTTGCCGCTCCCAGTGCCTACAACAGTTGCTGGGCACAGGAGAAAAACTCAAACTGTAGAATAAATAAAATAATGAAAAAGAGTTTCTCAACGAAAAGGACCTTATCTTCGACCTCTGAGATCCTGGGAGGTATTGTTTAGGGAGATTAAGTAACTCTCAGGGAAGTTTTCTGATGCGTTGGCTTGTTGGGACCAGACATGAGCTGCACAGAAAAGAGTGTTTTTATAATTGCTACATGTATCAACTAGTCCTCTTCTGTTGAATCTAACAGAAGCAAACTGTGGCTCCCTTCAACAACTACAAAAAAAAAAATATTAAAGTGATATAAATGCTTAGAGATTGATGGGAAAACCCAGACATGCTCAAAAAGCACAGGGTACAAGGGGATTTGGGAAAAACAGTTTGCAGGAATTAATTAATTAAATTGTCAAGGTGATACAGCTGGAAAAATCAACTATCATCATTTTTAATTTTTGTACCATTCTGCTTGTGAATAAAATTCCAGGAGAAGTTTACTTGCTTAGCCAGAGTGACACCTGTGCCACTTGTGTGGGCAGTAAGTTATCTATGTCGATGGCCCCATCGAGACTTGACACAATGGGGGAAGATAACACCCTAGAGCAAAACAAAGATTCTGGCTGGGAACAGTGGCTCCTGCCTGTAATCCCAGTACTTCGGGAGGCCAAGGCACGAGGATCACTTGAGGCCAGGAGTTCAAGACCAGCCTGGTCGATATGGTGAAATCTCGTCTCTACTAAAAATACAAAAATTAGCCCAGTGTGATGGCGCATGCATGTAGTCCCAACTACTTGGGAGGCTAAGGCAGGAGAATCACTTGAACCGGGACGAGGAGGTTGCAGTGAGCCGAGATTGTACCACTGCACTGCAACCTGGGTGACAGTGAGACTCCATCTCAAAAACAAACGTTTTGCTCTCTCCCAAAAATAATAAATCGCCGTGATATTAACATTTTTTTGAGAACCGAGTCCATTACAATGTCCTGTTCGGGTGGTAAGCAGTGTTGAGAGTGGGCATATTTTTGTTCCTATATTTAATAATACTCAGAACAAACACTATCTGCTTGCTCCAGAGAATACTGGACCCTGCAATTAAAGCTGTAAACAACTAAAATTGCTTAATTAACATGATTTATGCTTTTCTCATCAAAATTCTATTTGAGACCTTTGCCTCCCTGTGTCCACAACTAATCCCAATTAGCTTCCTGCCTTGCAAGACCTATCTTAAAAATGACCCAGCCCAGGCCATAAAACGCCATAAAAATACTCCCCTGACTTTTTCTGTCTGCACCAATAAAACAGTATCAAAGTGGTGATCACTCACATTAGAAGATATAATATTGGATAGGATATAGTGGGTATGTAATGTGCATAATGGTGATTAACTTGCTTGGTGAATTCACAGGTTTTTCTAATGGTCACTTTATGAAGTTCACTTCCCACACAAAAGCTCAAAGGTGCTGAAAAAGAAAGCAAAGGTCAGTATGTCTAATGTAAAGGCATCTCTTCACCTGTTTTATCAAAGTGCCAAGGAATGATTCTGCAGTGTGTTCAACGCTTATCTTAGACCAGTCTCTGAATGACAGCTATGAACACCATAGCAACCCTTCCTTGCCAGTTTTAAAATACATGGTGTGGGCTCCTTTTCTCTGAGTAGGTTCTGGAAAGATGAATTAAGGGATTCACCATGCAAAAATGTAGACTGGAGGCAGGAGGAACTTTTTTGCATCAGCTGGACAAACCCAGAATTTGTCCTTTTCTTCTCTGGAGCAGGCTTCCTGTCTCTGGAGTTTAAACTCACAAGTTAAGTCTGCACATAATTTATGGGAGTAAGATAAGTGCATCTGTGAGGTTATTCAGATCAATGAATGTTTTGCAGTATTTGGGTGACCAACTATGCTGATTTCCCTGTGAGTGGTATTGAAAATCCTGCATCCTGGAGAATGTTTAGTACTGAGAATCCTGCATCCTGGGGAACCTTTTGTTTTCAGATAAATTTGGAATGTCGGTCACTCTAAGTAAACTATTAGTGGGCAAGGGGATGAATTCCTTATGTTTTGGCACCCAGTTCCCATGAAGCTAACTGCATGAATTACAGGCATTCACAGAATTGCCAGATCACTCTCATTGGATATGAATATTATGGATATGCAATGTGTGTAATGGTGATCAACTTTCTTAAAGAATTAGCAGCCTTTTCTAATAGTCACCGTATGAAGTTTGCTTCCTACACAAAAGCTCAAAGGTGCTGAACAAGAAAGCAAAGGTCAGTATGTCTAACGTAAAGGCATCGCTTCACCTGTTTTATCAAAGTGCCGACATCATTAAATGGATGTAAAGGTGCTCAGCATTGTGAATCATCAAGGAAATGCAAATGAAAACATCAATAAGCTATGGCCTCACATTTGTTTAGATGACTATTAACAAAAAGACAAGTGTTGGTGAGGATGAGGAGAAATGGGAACTCTTGCCCACTGTTAGTGGGACTGTAGACTGGTACAGCTATTATAAAAAAGTATGAAGGTGCCTCAAAATCTAAGAATATAACTACCATATAATCCAGCAACCCCTCTTCTTGGTATATATCCAAAGGATATAAAAACGGTATGTCAAAGAAATATCTACGCTCCTATGTCCATCGCAGCACTATTGACAGTAACCAAGATACGGAAATAATCTAAGTGTCCATCAGCAGATGAATAGTTAAAGGAAATGTGATGTGTATGTATACAAACACATATATATGTATACACACACACACACATACGAATATAATATGGTTCAGCTGTGTTACCACCCAAATTTCATCTTGAACTGCAGCTCCCATAATTCTCATGGTGTTGTGAGAGGGACCCAGTGGGAGGTAAATGAATTATGGGGACGGGTCTTTCCCGCGCTGTTCTGGTGATGTAAGTCATGCGAGAACTCATGGTTTTATAAAGGGGATTTCCCCTGCACATGCTTTCTTGTCCATGTAAGACTTGCCTTTGCTCCTCATTTGCCTTCTGCCATGATTGTGAGGCTTCCCCAGCCATGTGGAACTGTGAGTTCATTAAACCTCTGTCCTTTATAAATGACCTAGTCTCGGGTATGTCTTCATTAGCAGCATGAGACTGGACTAATACTGTATATAGACACACATATACACAATGAAATGTTATTCAGCCTTAAAATAAGAAGGTCGTTTGTGACAACATTGATGACCCTGGAGGACATTATGCTGAGTGAAATTAGCCAGATACAGAAAGAACGATACTGCATCAACTCACTTCTATGCAGAATGTTAAAATGTTGAGCACATAGAAGCTGAGAGTAGAACAGTGGTTACCAGGGGCTGGGAGAAGGGCAAAATGAGAAGATATTTGTCAAAGGGTACAACATTTCAGTTATGCAGGATGAGTAAGTCTACAGATCTAACGTACGGCACGGTGACTGTAGTGAATAATATTGTATTGTATCCTGGAAACTCGTTAAAAGAGCAAATTTCAGGCCGTGCATGGTGGCTCACACCTGTAATCCCAGCACTTTGGGAGGCCAAGGTGGTGAATCACGAGGTCAGGAGTTCAAGACCACCTGGCCAACAGCGTGAAATCCCATCTCTACTAAAAATACAAAAATTAGCCGGGTGTAATCCCAGCTACTTGGAAGGCTGAGGCAGGAGAATTTCTCGAACCCGGGAGGCTGAGGCAGGAGAATTGCTTGAGCCTGGGAGGCGGAGTTTGCAGTGACCCAAGATCATGCCACTGCACCCTAGCATGGGCAACAGCGCAAGACTCCATTTCAAAAAAATAAAAAAGAAAAAAAAAAGAGTAGATTTCAAGGGCTCTTACCAAAAATAAATAAATAAATTAGGAGATAGATAAGTTAATTTGCTTAATAGTAATTATTTTACTATGTATATGTCTATCAAAACACCATATTGTACATTGTTGAAAAATCTGATTCACTATTTTTCTTGAAGATCATGACGTTGTTATCCTTCGCTTCTGCACATTACCCCTGTACAAGGTCAGAAGACTGAGACAGGCCACAATTGCTCTGCCTTAGGTCTGAAATAACAAACCTTGCACTATACAGCATCCCTTCTGCCTTATTTCATCTGTAGTTATACTTCACCGAGAGCCATAACTTACATTCCTCTGCCAGATAAGTGTCTTAGAGCCATTCTTTATCATCAGTAGCACCAACCCCCAGATCCCAACTGAGAAGGGCAAGAAAACTTGCACAACTAAAGCCACTTATCATAACACAGATGGGACGTGGGCTGGTGCCGATGACAAACGGCCCCTGCACAGTACACCGTGAGTGTGTGTGTGTTTGCTTCCTTCAGAAAGAGTTGTCTCCTTCTCCCACTTTATCGTGGGAGAAGTCCTTTATATCCTGTTGGGGTACAAAGCTGCCCTAATATAGATGCTAATCCATATTTTTAAAAATCTTGCATTGCAAATATTCCAAAAGTGAGTCTGAAATGCTTATCCCCGGCTGCACATTTGAATCATCTGAGAAGTTTGTGTTAGTTTGTTTTGTTTTTAAGATATACTTACAGCTGGGTCTCATCCCAGAAAACTTGAGTCACTATTTCTGGGGTTAGGTCCTGAGCATTAGCACTTTGTTTCAGCTCTTGAGGTTACTCCATTGAGCAGCCAGGGTGGTAAGGTATGAAATAGACCAAATCAAAACAAACAAACAAACAAACAAACAAACAAACTGAGGTTTAGGTTTAGGTAGCTGGAGTTTATAGGCATGGCGCATAGGTCAGAGCCTCAATTTTCTAGCTAAATGTCAATGTTTCCCACTTATTTTATTGCCACAAACAAATAATTGTGCATTACAAGGTGGCACTCCGGAGTAGCTCTGGTCTTTGGACTCGGTGGTCTCTCCGGCCCACCCTACTTCCCAAAGTTATAGAGATGGCCAAGTCGAGGGTGCCTGGCTCAGAAGGCCCGGAGCTACATCCTTCATGGAGCATCTCCAGATGCTGCAGAGGGGAGGGAGGCTGGGCCTTGGCCACATTATTCGTGGAGCATCTCCATGTGCTGTGAAAGGGAGGGTGGTCCCAGAAAGGCAAGCACAGAAGCCAATGTCTCAGCTTTAAACATCAGTGGCCACCACAAAAGGTGTCTGATTCTTGGGCAGTAGCACTTCAGAGAAAGCTCCTCCTCCTTTTGTGGGAGTCTGTGGTTTCTTTGTCCCTCCCACTTCTGGCATGGAAGCCAACTCTGCTACCTGAATTATCAACCCCAATATGGCCACGTGTTTTCCAGGAGGCTTTGCGTGTGGTCAGATAGAGATGCCAGCTGCTCCATAACTCCTGACCATCACATGCTTGACTTAGAGAGCAAGAAGGAGAGAGAAAGACAGGGAGAATTAGGCACATAAACTTATATTTATGAATTTACAAGAAAAACATGCAAAAACTTTTATGCTACCACCCAGCTCAATTATGCCAGAAATATGACCTACTTTAATTTCTATAAGTATCTTTGTTCAGATAGAGATAGCTATCCTCTTAGGGGTCTCTATTTTCCATATCTATTTAGAGTCCCCTAAAGGGATATAACAATCTCAGTCACTTTTGGGGTGATTCCCTTTCTCTAAATTCCAAGCAGGAGGAGCTTATTTGCACCCAGGGTACTGAGAGTTGGGGCTTCTTGGGGCTGGTGACATCAGGGCTCTTGTTTCATCCACTGCTGGTCCCTAATTGTCCCAGGACACATGACTCCTTCAGGTCCAGCTCTCTCTTGCTAACCCTGCCCCATCCCATGCGGGAGAGCCTTCCTCACTGGAAATCAGCTGTGATGGGGGGCGGAGGGCTTGGTGCATCCATTTCTACACTAAGGATTTTTCATCTCCCTGAGCTCCATCTTGGAAAGTGGAGCTGAGCCTTCACACTCAAATGCTCTAAACATTATCTAGGCTTTTTCTTTCTCACCGTCAGGCCAAGTCCCCATCTCTCTGGAATCCACCGTTGACTTTAGACTTGCTTTCCCCGGCTGCTTCCTCTCCCTCCCGAGAGTCAGAGTGTATCTCTCTGTGTGCCGGGTCCTGCTCCTGCAATCATTCACATCTTCCAGAAATGTAGCATGTAAGCACGTAAGCACACACACAGAGATTTTCTCTCCAATTCTCCTGGATTTTCTAAAAATACTTCATTGTTGTTGCTCACAGTCTCCCTCCCCAACCCCAACTACCTTAGGTCTAAAGCTTTGGACATTTAAAAATAAAGCACTTTTGATTCTCACTTTCTGATGAGTTGTCCCTTACCTGAGGTTTTGGCACAAGACTGAGATGGGGAGGAGGAAAAGAGTCACAGCATGAAAGAAAGTTTGGGGAAAAACACATGATTACACAGTAAAAAATATCACTGCACACAAATAGGGAAACAGCGTAGCTGGAACGTGTCCCCAGACCCCAGCATGAGCACCCACAGTGCCAGCAGTCAGATCCCAGATTTCTTTGTACAATGACATGGCTCTCTCCTAAATCGAATTTTTCTGCAATAAACACTATGTAATAATTAGAAGGATGTTCTTCTTTCTATTGGGAGCTTGAAAATATATTGAGCATCACCGGCTTCTAAATGTGATATTTCATAGGATTTGTTTGTGATTGTTATTGGAATCTCCATGCATTCGCTCATCTCTTCCGTAAGTATTGGTGTAACACCTGGTGTGTGCCAGACACTCTATGACAATTTGGGATACTTTGGCACATCCATGAATGTAATTGCACACACACACTCACACACACACACACATACATATCCCCAAGCTTATGTAGCCTGCATTCTCCCAGATCAAAATATTTGCCCACAGCCCTCTAGGCAGGGTAAGTATGAGTATGGTTTTGAGGGCTATAAGCTGAAGCAACTCCTGAAGACGTCCTGTTAAATACACTAAGGATTAAGGACTTGGGACTAATTATGTAGCAGAACTGAGCTTGGCCCACACCATGGTGAAATAGCTGCAATCTTCCTCAGCTCTTGAGCATAGATTTTGAGAAGTCCTTCTTATCTTTGGAACCTGATTACACCTACAGGAGGGTGTGTTTTGTGAATTTTCAATGCAGATCATAAGGCATCTTTAATTCAACACTTACATAGGATAATGCCTATGTAAGCACACTGAGTTATCTTTTATCTGTAATTCCTATCCTCACTCTCCTCTCCTATCCTCAGGGAGGGAGGGAGGGAGGGAAGGAAGGAAGGAAGGAAGGAAGGAAGGAAGGAAGGAAGGAAGGAAAGAAGGAAAGAAGAAAGGAGAGAAGGAACCTACAGAAGCAGAAGGCAGATTAGTGCTCTCCAGGGTTTAGAAACAGCTGCTGTGGAGGTGTGGGTAAATGCAGTAATGTATTAGGCCAGGCGCCGTGGCTCACACCTGTAATCCCAGCACTTTGGGAGGCCGAGGCAGGTGGATCACTTGAGGTCAGA
This sequence comes from Homo sapiens, assembly GCF_000001405.40. Taxonomy (NCBI): domain Eukaryota; kingdom Metazoa; phylum Chordata; class Mammalia; order Primates; family Hominidae; genus Homo; species Homo sapiens. The sequence continues at coordinate 127,747,403 of NC_000012.12, read as the reverse complement.
AGTTCGAGACCAGCCTGGCCAACATGGCAAAACCTTGTCTCTACTAAAAATACAAACATTAACCAGGCATGGTGGTGCACTCTCAACTACATGAGACTAGAGGCTGAGGCAGGAGAATTGCTTGAACCCAGGAGGCGGAGTTTGCAGCGAGATCGCACCACTGCACTCCAGCCTGGGCAACAGGGCAAGACTCCATCTCAAAAAAAAAAAAAAATCCAGTAAGATTTGCTCATATTGAATACAAACTGAGTCTCAGAGAAGTTAAGTGACTTGTTTAATGTCATCAAGCTGGAAACGTGCCAGCATCAACAGTATTCTAAAACTGTCTTAACTCCTCCATCCTGTGCATCCTCTAGCACTGCTGAGCCCTGCTGTGTCTGCAGGAGTTCAGCATGGTGGCTACCTAAGACAGCAAAGCCTCCCTTCTCAGATAGGCAAAATGTTAAATAACACCAATCCAGAGGCACGTCTGTCTGCAGTCCATTATTCGGGGGCATTCCCTTTGCTTCCTGCTAAAAAATGAAATATTTCCTGCTGACATAACATTGATCCTGAGCCCTGGATGGTTAATGGATTAAGTATGTTTGGGTGTCAATCATTGTCAAGAGGTCTTTGAATAAAAGCTAAATTACTTGGCTACATTCACTCTATATTTTCTACATACCCTTTTTCTAGAATAAGGAAACAATTTGCTTGTGATATTTAATAAAGGCAAACAGCACTTCATTAATATGTTATCATCAACACTGCCATCTGTCCCATCAGCCAACATAACCAGCCAGGAAGCTGGAGGGATATAGTTAGGGTACATATATTGGTTATATATATATATATATATATATATGTGTGTGTGTGTGTGTGTGTGTGTGTGTGTGTGTGTGTGTGTGTGTGTATGTAGAGAGAGAGAGAGAGAGAGAGAGGCTATATTGGCTACATATAGGACATATGTAGCCAATTAATTCAACTTTTATTCAAAAACGCCCTGACAATGATTGACATCCGAACATGCTTAATCCATTAAGTGTCCTGGGCTCAGGATCAATGTTTTGTTCAAATCTCAGCTCTCAGGCTTACTCCATGAACCTAGGACAACTTTCAACCTTCAAATTCTTTGATTCTCCATGTCCACGACTGGAAATGGGAATAGTTGCAACCCATCATGCCGCTTTGATGATTTAATGAGATACTAGAAAGTTTCCATCTAACACAATCCTTGACGTAATTTAAGTGCTCAGTCCCTGCTAAAAGCACACATCAGCTTAGAGTTGTTGATGGCCTGCAGGCATCAGGGAAAGCAGGCTTGAAAAGATACCCATGCAAAGACACATCCTCAAAATAGATCCCATCACTAGATCTATTCATCAAGCCTGTTTCAATGGTGTGCATGTTTCCCTGCTATTGGCCTCTTCAACCCCAGAAAAGGTCATGAACTATATCCCTCCAGCTGCCCGGCTTGTTACGTCGGCTGATGGGACAGATGGCAGTGCCGATGATAACACATTAACGAAGTGCTGTTTGCCTTCATTAAATATCACAAGCAAGTTGTTCTTTTATTCTATAAAAAGGGTGTGTGGAAAATATAGAGTGAATGTAGCCAATTAATTTAGCTTTTATTCAAAACCCCCCTGACCATGATTGACACCCAAACATGCTTAATCCATTAACCATCCTGGGCTCAGGATCAATGTTTTGTCAGCAGGAAATATTTCATTTTTTAGCAGGAAGCAAGGGGAAGGCCTCTGAATGATGGACTGCAGACAGACATGAAACTGCCTTTGCAAAATTATGACTGAGACGGTGAAAGAGATCTAATTTAACTGAATCCGTCCTGCTTCTAACCTCCAAGCTGTCTTTGTTTGTTCCTGGGCATAGGCTGAACTAACAACTTTGGGAGAAACTTAGTTTGTAGTTTATAGTTTAAACAAAGACGGTAATCACCCTTCCCAAAGCAGACATCCTTCTTGCCTGGGGACTAGACTAATGTTAGCCACAGGACTAGAAATGATGGTTTAGGAGTCATGCAGCTGGAGACTACAAGATTCTGACCCTCCCTAAACTCCTCCTAAGATCAGGGCTCAAGATATTTTGTAGACCCTGAACTTGATGGATCAGTTGGCACCACCCAAATTAATAAACTGGCTTGTCTGATTTTGTAGCCCTCAGCCAGGAACTGACTCAGTGCAAGAAGACAGCTTTACTCTCTACGATTTCACCCCTGACCAGTCAGTATCCTGGCTCACTGGCTTCCCCCCACCCACCAAATTATCCTTAAAAACTCTGCTCCCCGAATGCTCGGAGAGACTGATTTGAGTAATAATAAAACTCCGGTCTCCCGCACAGCCGGTTCTGCATGGATCACTCTTTCTCTATTGCAATTCCCCCGTGTTGATGAATTGGCTCTGTCTAGGCAGTGGGCAAGGTGGACCCTTTGAGTGGTTACAGACGGGCCTCAGGATTGGTGTTATTTAATATTCTAAAATACCTGATCTGGAGGATTTTTTTTTCAATGAAATCGTTAAATCTGCAGATGATGCTTAGCTCTTCTGAGTTGAAATTATCAAGAGAAATTGATGAGCTAAAGATGCTCTCACAAGATGCATAGGAAAAAAAAACAGAAGCTAGATTTCATTGTTAATAAGTGCATGTTGCTGCACGTTAAGAAAGAAACGATTCAGATAGTTTCGGAACAAGATGTAAGCACTGTTAGAGACATCACACAAAATGGCAAGAAAATGTAGACCCGTAATCAGGAAAATAAAACTTGAAAACACATTTCCAGAGTAGTGTCTATGTGTGTATACCTGGATAACAAATGCTCTTGGGTGATTTATGTTATCAGAAATGCATGCTTATGCCTAATAAAAAAATGCCTTAAATGTTATTTATTTATGTCCATTTTTATTAGGAAAATTTCAAATATACAAAAATAGGAAAAGGGAGCATTCAAGCCAATTGTTTCTAATTGTATCTGTTGTTGGGTATCTATAAAGTTGTGCATATGTGTTAATTGGCCAGATTTAGTCATTCTGCAGCATAAATACACTTAAAACATCATGCTGTACGGATTTATACATATGATTTTATCTGCCGATGTAAAAAAAGGAAACTGAATTTAAGAAAATACTTCTGAGGCTCTCTCTGTCCACTGGCCTAAAAATATCAACAATAAACCAATAAAACAAACGATGCTGGAGATGGTGGCTGCTCTAGCAGGCTGGATCTGAGTGAAAACAGTGGCCAGAACGTTCCAGCCTATCTGAGTGAACAAGTAGTAGGACCGACAGAGGGAAATGTCATTTTTTTTTTTTTTGAGACAGAGTATCGCTCTGCCACCCAGGCTGGAGTGCAGTGGCGCCATCTCAGCTCACTGCAACCTCCACCTCCCAGGTTCAAACAATTCTCCTGCCTCAGCCTCCTGAGTAGCTAGGATTACAGGTGCACACCACTATGCCCAGCTGATTTTCATATTTTTATTAGAGGCAGGGTTTCACCATGTTGGTCAGGCTGGTCTTGAACCCTGGACCTTGTGATCCGCCCGCCTTGGCCTCCCAAAGTGCTGGGATTACAGGCCTGAGCCACTGTGCCAGGCCAGGAAATGTCATTTAAATCACCGAGGCCAGAGGGCTGTTTGTTCCAGCAGTGTTACTCACCCACTTCTGACTGAAAGATGGTTTTGGCAGTTTGATGGTGGCATCTTTACACAACAATAGCAGAATTTAGAAGGGCAGTGGGTGGAGGTGGGAGGTGTGGTCCTTTTGTTTGTCTCTGTATCTTTATTGCAGAAGAAAAAGAAGTCCTCGCACTCTCAGAAGAAGTCTCTTCACATCTCACTGGCTGCAGTTGGGTTATATATCTAAGCCCTAACTGCCAGAGAAGTTGGAAAGGGCATGTCTGTCACATCATTGAAATCACCTTTGCAAAAATTATGCCAGTGAGAAAATTATGGCATTGTGGGAGATCTGATCGAGCCAAGGCTGCTCTGGCCTTCAGCCTTCAAGCTGCCCTTAATTATTCCCGGGCTTAAGCAAAACTAATTTTGGGAGACATTTAGTTTATAGTTTACACGGTAATAGCACTTCCCCAAACTCAACTGCCTGTATAAAGCTAACGAGAGGCCACCAGGCTGGGAGGATAAAGGAGGCTGAATTCTGCTAAGGTGTAGCTATAAACAATTGCCAGCCATTATTCTGGAGGTCACAAGATATGCAAATTCCCAGTTACTCCTGCAGATAATATCCCTGCTGGAGAACCTAGGATTGGCCTTTTGAGATACCTTTATAGTTTTTTTGCATGTCTGACACAGATGACTCCACCTGGACCTCCCAACTGCTCCTGTGACCCCACCCAGAAGCAACCCAGTTCACTGGAGTACCATTTCCCACACCCCTGTGATTGCACCCCAACCAATCAGCAGCAGGCACCCATTGCCTAGCCACCCCCGCCCCTTCCCCAAATTACCTTTGAAAAATCCTAGCCCCCAAATGCTTGGGGAGATTGATTTGAGTCATAACTCCGTCTCCTGTATGGCATGGCCAGCCTCACATCAATTAAACTCTTTACTGCAATGCCCAGCCTCTGTGAATTGATTTTGTTTGTGCAGTGAGCAGAAAGAACACTTCAGGCAGTTACATTTCCTTTTCTTTTCTTTTTTTTTTTTTTTTGAGACGAAGTTTTGCAATCTTGGCTCACTGCAACCTCTGCTTCCCAGGTTCAAGCGATTCTCCTGCCTCAGCCACCCGAGTAGCTGGGATTACAGGCACCCGCCACCAAGCCTGGCTAATTTTTTGTTGTTGTTGTATTTTTAGTAGAGATGTGGTTTCATCATATTGGCCAGGCTGGTCTTGAACTCCTGACCTCAGGTGATTCACCCGCCTCGGCCTCCCAAAGTGCTGGGATTGCAGGCTTGAGCCACCGTGCCCGGCGGCAGTTACATTTTCTATAGCCTTCTATAGTGGGAAAAGTGATCTTCCAGAAAAGTAGAGGCGGGCTGGCAGTTGAGTGTGCAAACAGGACCGACCACAGCATTAGATGTGTAAGTGAATAGGAGGAGGGGAGGCTTAGTGGTTAAAAGCTTGGGCTTTGGAGAATGTCTTAGTTCAGGCCACTGGAACAAATGACCACAGACTGTGACTTACGAAAAACAGAAATGTGTTTTTCACAGTTCAGGGGGCTGGATATTTGAATTAGGGTTGGGATGATCAGGTTCTAGAGTGAGCCCTCATAGGGGCTGCAGACAGCCGTCTTCTCCCTGTGTCCTCACGTGGCTGAAGGAGCACTGCAGAGCTCCCTGGAGTCTTTTCTGCAGGTAGTCTCAGAGATGTTTGAACCAGAGCGACCATCTTGAGTAGGGGCTGGGTACAATGAGGCTGCATTCCTAGGTGGTTAAGGCATTCTAAATCATAGGATGAGATAGGTGGTCCACACAAGATACAGATAATAAAGACCTTGCTGATAAAACAGGTTGCAGTAAAGAAGCTGGCTAAAACCCAACAAAACCAAGATGGTGATGAGAGACCTCTGGTCGTCCTCACTGCTACACTCCCACCAGCACCATGACAGTTTACAAAATGCTGTGGCAACATCAGGAAGTTACCCTATGTGATCTAAAAAGGGAGGCATGAATAATCCACCTCTTGTTTAGCAAATAATCAAGAAATAACCATAAATATGGGCAACCCGCAGCCCTCGGGGCTGCTCTGTCTGTGGAATAGCCATTCTTTATCCCTTTACTTTCTTAATAAACTTGCTTTCACTTTACTATATGGACTCACTCTGAATTCTTTCTTGTGCAAGATCCAAGAACCCTCTTTTGGGGTCTGGATCTGGACCCTTTTCCAGGAACAATAGGGCACTAATTTCATGGGAACTCCATCTACCTTCACGACCCAATCACCTCCAAAGGCCCCATCTTGTAATATGATTGCTGGGAGGTTAGTATTTCAACCTCTGAATTTGGAGGAGGTACAAACATTTGGTCTCTAATGGAGATAGTCACTTCTGGGTTTGAATTCTGATCTCTCAACTCAGTAGTGCCATAACCCTGGGAAAATCACTCTGAGCCTCAGTCTTTTCATCTATAAAGTGCAGAGATAATTACAGTGTATCTCATAGGTTTGTGGGAAGAGTTAAATGACTCAAAACATGCAGAGTGGACAGTCCCAGTGCCCATCAACTGAGACTGCAAGCAGAAAGAGAAAGAGGAGAAAAGCTGAGACCTGCTGTGTGGCAGGCAGGGTGTAAGGCACTTCCTAAGTCATATTACTTTTCCTCTTGTCATTAAAATAACCCTCTGAGGAGCAATGTGACCCAACACTGTCACTTACCCAGGAAATCTAGTAACACGCTCCTAACACACAGAAAGAACACTGAGGGAGGAAAGGGCAGCAAGGATCAGCGCACAGGAAAATCATTAGGCAAAGCCTTCATTAGGCTGGTTAGATCATTGATCTTAAGAGAAAAGTTTAGCCAATGGGAAAAGATTCAACTTGGAGGTGTAAACACAAATTCTATGGGGTTGAATGAATAGAGAGGCCGTAGTGGTTTTGTTCTTGTTTTGAGATGGAGTTTCACACTCATTGCCGAGGCTGGAGTGCAGCAGCGTGCTTTGGGAGGCTGAGGCGGGTGGATCCACGAGGTCAGGAGATCGAGACCATCCTGGCCAACATGGTGAAACCCCGTCTCTACTAAAAATACAAAAAATTAGCCAGGCATTGTGGCACGTGCCTGTAATCCCAGCTACTCAGGAAGCTGAGATAGGAGAATCACTTGAACCCGGGAGGCGGAGGCTGCAGTGAGCTGCGATAGTGCCATTGCACTCCAGCCTGGGCAACAGAGCAAGACTCCATCTCAAAAAATAAATAAATAAATAAGATAAATGAGTTTTTCTAAAGTTATGTGTGGCATTTGAGGGAATGGTCATTGTATTATCTTCCATTCAATTTTTAAACAGTTTTCTTGAGTTATAATTTATATACCACACAATGTACCCAACTAAAGTACAAACTTCAATTTCTTTTCTTGCTTTTCTTTTCTTTTTCTTTTTTCTTTTTTTTCTGAGATGGGGTCTCACTCTGGGGTATTCAATTTCTTTTCTTTTCCTTCCTTCATTCCTTCCTTCCTTTTTCTTTCTTTCTTTCTTTCTTTCTTTCTTTCTTTCTTTCTTTCTTTCTTCTTTCTTTCTCTTTCTCTTTCTTTCCTTCTTTCTTCCTCTCTCTCTTTCTTTCTTTTCTTTTCTTTTCTTTCTTTCTTTCTTTCTTTCTTTCTTTCTTTCTTTCTTTCTTTCTTTCTTTCTTTCTTTCTTTCTTTCTTTCTTTCCTTCTTCCTATCTTTCACTTAAAGGTGAAAGAAACATACGTTCTTTCACCAGGATGGAGTGCAGTGGTGCAATCAGAGCTCACCGCAGCCTCCACCTCACCAGATGACCCTTCTTCCTCAGCCTCCTGAGTAGCTGGGAATACAGGTAGGTGCCATCATGCCTAGCTAATTTTTGTATTTTTAGTAGAGACGGTGTTTCACCATGTTGCTCCAGGCTGGCCTTGAACTCCGGTCTCAAGAGATTTGCCCGTCTCAGCCTCCCAAAGTGTTGGGATTACAGGCATGAGCCATCATGTCCAGCTTTTTTTTTTCTTTTTCTTTTCCTTTTTTTTTAGATGGGATCTCATTCTGTCACCCCGGCTAGAGTGCAGTGGCGTGATCACTGCTCACTGCAGCACCCATTTCTGTGTTTGATTTTTTTTTTTTTTTTTTTTTAGTAAATTTAAAAAGTCGTACAGATAAGACTACAATCTAATTTTAGGACATATTTATCACCTAACAAAAAAATACCCATTAGTATTCATCTCAAATCAAATCCCTCCTGACTCCATTTCCTGACAATCATTAATGTACCTTTGCTACTGTAGGTTTGCCTCTTCTGGACATTTCCTATACATGGGGTGATGTGGTCCCTGGCCTTGTGTGTCTGGCCTCTTTCACTCAGTATGATGTGTTCTAGGTTCATTTCCAGCATGCATTGGTACTTCTCTCCTTCCGGCTCTAGATAATATTCCGCTGTAGCGATACACTACCCTTCGTTTATCCATTCACCTGTCCGTGGGCATTAAGGTTGCCTTCACTTTTTGACTATTATAAATATTGCCACTATGAAGTCCATGTAGAGTTTTTGTGTGGCTCTATATTTTTCATTTATTTTGACATTCAGTGTTTAAGCAACTTTTTCTCCTTTTACGATTGAAATAAATACGTTTTTCCACCATGGCTGGTTTTTTTTACCTATAAGTTTTAAATCTTTTAATACTTTTAATTGACTTCTAACAATAAAATTCTACTTGTTGCAATAAGCAGATGAATCGCTCTCAAAATTGCGTCAATAAGATAAATTTCATTTTTATTTTCATGGCACTCTTTCATGTCAAAAGTAGAAGATATTGTTAGACATAATTGAAATCTCTGCCCATTTGTGTCCCTGAATAATGAAAACCCTCTCATGTGTCTAGACCTGGTCATATTTAATTTAAAGTATTGCAATGATTCATTTATTTGGTTTCATGCCTTGTAATTATACTCAAATGTTGCATCAAAAGGGTGAATTTTCTGAGAATAGAAAGCCTCAGACTCAATGAAAACAAATAATTGAAATGCAAAACACGAGGCCCTTCCTTCACTGAAGTGTAAGATGAAGCTTTCCAGGTGGGGGCAATGGTGCCAGCCTCATGTGCAAACCCAGGGTGTCCGTGACACGGTTCTCAATCCCCAGTCCCCATAAGGCACCCCCACCCACTGAGATCTGCAGGAGGCATTACAATTGCAAGGAAGGGGTGGTGGGAATAAGAATGGGTTTGCTTTTACTGGGTCATGGAGACCCTGAAGGCCTGACCAATCATCTTAAAAATGCAAATATGGAGAGGAAATTGAGGATCATTTTCACCTTAACTCCTGTGACTCATAGAAGGGGCACCAGGAACCCAAGCCGGTGGAACCCTCAGCAGCCAGGACATAGGTGGCTTGGGCTGCTTTACAGAGGTAGATTGAGTCAAGGAATCTGGGGAGTAAATAATATTTCAGGAAATTGTTCAGACCACTTCCAAGCACTATATACCTTCTGGGAACATTTTGGAAGCAGTCATTTAGTGTAAACAGCAAGTAGCTACCCAGCATTTTTATGTATTTATCAAAAATGTTCTACAGAGACTTTTCTAGTGAAAACATCCTCACAACATTTAAAGCTTCTATGTTCTTTGCTGCTGCTTTCACTTAAAGGTGAAAGAAACACCTACACATTCCTAAATATTTTATAAAGACCTTCATTCATAGTCATAATCATGTAGTCTAAATTTTACTCTAATTAGTTCACCATTTGTACATAAGGTGACAGCCATTCATAAAACAAAAACAAAACAAAGCATACACACACAAAATCCCCACGAGACTTCCAGATAGACATGTTTTTATTTGGGGTCTTAAATAGGAATCCCTGAGACACATCTATTTGTGTAGCTAAAAGCATCTGGGTTTGAATTCAGGTCTAGGCACTAACAGGCTGTTCCCTTTTACGTATTTAATGTTACTTCTTAGTCTTTGTAATTCTGAATCATGAGAACTTATTTGAGCAATTTACGTATCAGTCAACAAAGCAAAAAATAATAATAATAAAATGCCTGTGTGAAGAAATGGGCTGCCCTGGGTAGGGCTGTGCTCCCAAAGGACTCCTTATCCTTAGGCCTGAATGTTAAGCTTTACATGGCTGGGGGATTGCTCTGTCTGGTTTACTGCTGTGACCGAGGGTGCAAGTTGGTGTAGAGCAGATGATCAACAGTTGTTGAATTGATTGAAAGTATAGAGTCTTGCTCCTCAGCAACCCACTCCACTCCACTTTCTTGTATCACCCCTGACAAGGGTTTTGTGACATTCTCGAGGGAAGAGTGAGATCTTCTTTTCAGTAAATTCATGGTGTATGTGGAGGTTGCTTATTTGGGTTGGGGTTGCTACACTGAGACAGGAGTGTTGAGTTACCCATTGTTCTATCTATCGAGGAAGTCTGCAGCTAATTTCCAAGCTTGGTCATTTAGTATGAATGAAAACGTGCACATCTTGGTGAAACACAAGGTTCTCAATAGGTGCTCAGCCTAGACGATGAGACTGATGGTCCTACTCAGAGGGCACTTGGATTGCTAAGAGACAAGCACCTCCAGGTAAGAGGAAAATGGACATACATCTGTATTAGTCAGGTATTGATGTAACAATGCTGCGTAACACAACTCAATAACTGAAAACAACAAAAATCTATTCTTGCTCACCCTAGTATGAGTCAGTTGAGAGACATGGTTGGGTGGAAAGAAATATTTTTGAAAAACCAACTAATCCACCAGAACATGTTTCTAATAATGTTTCATATTTTAAAAATTCTTCAAAGAATTCTTCCTTAATATTCCACACATTGGAAAGCTAGTCTTGAAAACTCTCATGCCGCCACACACCTTTACTTCCTAAATTATTTAAGTTTATAATTATACAATTTATTTTGAATATTTTTGAATCAGCATCCATTTTTGACACCAGAAACTAAGTTCAGTCAGGGAAAGTATGTTTTATTTTATTTCATTTTTTCAAAAGGTGTAGGATTATGTCCAGCATATAGGCATCACCCAACAGTTATTTGATAAAAAAACAAACACACGAATCTTCCTATGAATAGAAAATGTGGTTTCTGGCCCAGTGGCTCACACCTGTAATCCCAGCACTTTGGGAGGCCAAGGCGAGTGGATCACCCGAGGCCAGGAGTTCAAGACCAGCCTGGCCGTTTCTACTAAAAATACAAAAATTAGCCAGGTGTGGTGGTGTACACTTGTAATCCCAGCTACTCAGGAGGCTGAGACAGGAGAATCACTTGAACCTGAGAGGCAGAGGTTGCAATGACAATGAGCCAAGATAGCGCCACTGCACTCCAGCCTGGTGACAAGAGTGAAACTCCGTCTCAAAAAAAAAAAAAAAAAAAAGAAAGAAAGAAAGAAAGAAAAGAAAAGAAAATGTGGTTTCTGAAATACCTGGAGCCAGATATAAATGCTGTCTTGAAATTTACGTATTTATCTTACAATATAATTTGAGCACCAATAGTGTGCCAAGCCTGAGACACTGTCTTAATATGACACTCGTGTGTATTCTAAGTGCCAGGTTGAAGTATTTGGGTTACATAACATCTCTATTATCATGGAGCTTATATCTGTAGACCGGGAGGTAATCAATGAATAAGACATTCAAAGATTGATTCTAGGTAGGGATAAGTGTTATTAAGAAAATTAATTAGGTAGGTGAGAGAGAGTGATATTGGGGTTAGGGTGGTGATATGGTTTGGGTCCCCACCCAAATCTCCTGTTCAATTGTAGTCTCCCGTGTTGGAGGTGGGGCCTGATGGGAGGTTATTGGATCCTGGGGGTGGTTTCTCATGGCTGAACACCATTCCCATTGTAGGGATAGTGAGTTGTACCAAATCTGGTCATTTAAAAGCCTGTAGCACCTCCCCCTTCTCTCTTCTTTCGGCTCTGGCCATGTACGATACGCCTGCTTCCCCTTTGCCTTACACCATAATGAAAAGTTTCCTGAGGCCTCCCCAGCTATGCTTCTTGTACAGCCTGTGGAAGCGTGTGCCAATTCAACCTCCTTTCTGTATACAATACCCAGTCTCAGGTGTGCATAACAGTACAAGAACGGACTAATACAGGTGGCTACTTTGGATATTGGAGGCTAAAGAAGGTCTCTGAAGAAGGAATTTATGCTGGAAAATACAGAGGCAGTTGATTCTGGGTGTAGTTAACAGCACATACAAAGGCCTTGGGGTGGGCACGGGTTTCCTGCATTGTAGGATCAGGAGTTAGGTCACTATTGCTGTATATTAGCATGAGGAAGTGAGATCAAGAAATGCACTGGGGGTAGAGCAGTGGCCGCATGGGCCGTGGCAGCGAGTTGGGCATATTTTCAGTGTCAAGTGAGGCCCCTTCCACTTTGAAAATTGGAGTGTCATGACACGGTCTGGGTTTTGTGAAGATGATCCTGCCTGGTGCACAGATGATGGACTATGGGGACGGTTGAGTTAGAAGGCCATGGAGATGATGATGGTCCGGAACAGGGCCATAGCTGTGGACATGACTTCATAGATGATACTGCCTTATGGCTGACTGAGGTGGGCACCCCTATTCCTGCATTTCACTAAACCTTAAGTCATAAAATCTCACTTTGTGGAAATGGAATGAGGCTCCTCTGAATGTGTCACTTCTAAAAGTTACTGAATGGGAAAACTTAAATGGCCCAGTCCAGTTCTGCACACCCCATGTCCCCTACAGATCACTCTGCCAAGAGTTCTGGGTTGCTTTGGGTGAGAAGCTATGAGAGAGGAGGCAAGCAGGAAACCAGGAGCCTCAGGCATGGCCCTCTTAACACCTTGGCCCACTAGAGCTTGAAGACATGAAAGGGACTTGAAATGTTCTTTGTCGAGCAACTTCTTGGGCATACTTCCCTCCTCTATGAAATCACTAAATGCAGAAATGCTCTGATGAGAATGACAAGGGAGGCCTGGATGTAGTCAGCTCAAAGCCCCCACCCCAAACCAGACGTTGCTGCACATTTGATTAACTCTAGGCTTGGGAGCAAAGATTGGCAATTGCTCCTCTAACCATCTGAATTTTACAAAGAAAGAAATGAAACACAAACGGACAGTTCACCTTGTAAGATCATACTGGTTTCCTCTATGGAATCTAGACTAGAAACATGGCTCAGCCCTCTCAAACCCTCTTTTACAATCACAATGATGATTTTTATTGCAATTATTAACACTTACATTGCACCTATTAGGTACCACACACTACGCTAGCAATTGAGCTTTTCTTATTTCATTTAAATTATAAAAGTACTCAGCAAGACACTTATTTGTAGATTTCAATATTTAAGACTAGGGTAGCCTAACTCAGTGTTACCCGAAGCCTAGGTCATAATCACTGGTTTTATTTGAGGTAATTATTGGTCCATGATTATGTTATTCAATGACATTGAATCATACAGTGGTTCCCACTGCTTTTTCAGTGCAGAGTATTAAAACAGTTTAACATTAGGAAGATTATTGCTAACATCACTTGAGTACTTTATAATCCCACTTTTATCAGGACTACAGCCTGTCTCATTTCAAGAACCATTGACATGGATCAGTTTCAGGATGTGATTTAATAATGTCACCACATTTTCCCTGGCTTGATGGTCCTCTTAACTTTGGTTTATGACAAGCAATTCTAATTTTCTATTCATAATATAATATAAAATATCTTGAAAACTAATCAATTAATGTGGATCTATTGAAAAAATATTTCATGAATAGGACAGGTATTTTATAAATATTGCAAAATTTATAAAAGTGGTTTAAGGAGGTACAGGGATAAGGCCAAAATTATGACTGTAACAGCTGGAGTTTGAGGAAAATGGGGGTAACTTGTTTTCCTCAACTCCCCTTTACATTGCTTAGAGCTAGGAAACACACCTGCCAAACTCAAGCTCAATGTTTCCTAATGGGCAGTGGTAATGGAAACCTTTGTAGTTTAGAGAATCCTTAGAAAGCTACAGAACATGTGGCTGTCAGGCAGCACCAAAGATGGTTCACAGTGACTCTATTTCCTCTCCCCTTTCCCCTTTTTAAAAGCTGAATTAGTTGCAAAGAGCAAGCGTTCATTCTTTTTTATGGCTGCATAGTATTCCACAGTATATATGTACCACATTTTCTTTATTCCGTCTAGCACTGATGGGCACATGGGTTGATTCCACGTCTCTGCCATTGTGAATAACACAGCAGTGAACATGGGAATGCATGTGTCTTTTTGGAGGAATGGCTTATTTTCTTTTGGGTATATACCCAGTAATGGGAAGGCTCAATTGGATGGTAGGTCTGTTTTAAGCTCTTTAAGAAATCTCCAGAATGCTTTTCACAGTGGCTGGATGGAGCTGGAAGCCATAATTCTAAGCAAATTAACTCAGGAACAGAAAACCAAATACTGCGTGTTCTCACTTATAAGTTGGAGCTAAACATTGAGCACACATGGGCATAAATATGTGAACAACAGACACTGTGGATTGCTAGAGGGTAGAGGGAGAGGGCAGTGAGTTAAAAAACTACTTATCAGGTACAATGTTCACTACCTGCATGATGGAATGTATCCTCCAAAGCTCAGTATCACACATGTATATTCCCATGTAACAAGTCTGCACATGTGCCCCCTGTATCTAAAATAAAAGTTGAAATAAAAAAAAAAACAGAATTGGCACATAAGTAGAGTGAACATATAATTTATGGTCCAGACCAGGACTCTTTGAAAGCAAAAGGAGTCACTCTTATTATTATATCAGGAAAACAGGCCCCTAAAATGCAACTGTACCAAATAAACTGGAATATATGGTCACCTTACTAGTAAACCCAATTGTTCACCCTATTTGTGAGCAGTCACTCTGAGCTTTAAAGTTAGATTGGGCCTGATGTGGTGGTGGCTCAGGCCTGTAATCCCAGCATTTTGGGAGGCCGAGGTGGGCGGATCACCTGAGGTCAGGGGTTTAAGAGCAGCCTGGCCAACATGGTGAAACCCTGTCTCTACTCAAATACAAAAATCAGTCAGGCATGGTGGTAGGCACCTGTAATCCCAGCTACTCAGGAGGCTGAGGCAGGAGAATTGCTTGAACCTGGGAGGCAGGGGTTGCAGTGAGCTAGGCAACAGAGTGAGACTCTGTCTAAAAAAAACCAAGAAACAAAAACAAAACACACACACACACACACACACACACACACAAACAGTTAGACTTGTTCATCATCCCCGAAGAAAAGGTGTAATTGCTGCTTTTATTTGTATATGTAGACGCGGTGACCAATCGTCAGGACAGAATTTCCTCACGCCTGTGGTCTTGACTATGTTGAGTCTTGAATTGGCTCTGTGGGAACTAATTCTCTTTTTGTGGAAATCTCTGTTTAAAACTCAGCGCCTTCCCCTAGTGCCTAGTATGTGCTTTGGGGAGCTGATTTCTGTAACTGAGCCTTGGCTTAGAGCTCTGCGCTGTCCAGACAGAATAAACCGGACGCTTTAGAAATGTTGTTGAAATTCCCTTCAGAGGAAACAGTAGCTTCTGTTTGAAAAGGATCTGACAGAATTCCTCTTGTTCCTAATGTGCCTATGACCGATTGCTCTCACATCCCTTCATTTGTCCCAAACCAGGACAGATTTAGTTTCTTGCAGAACACAATTCCGAAATCTTGAGCTCCACACCCCATCTGTCCCAACGGCACCTGCAGGTTCGTCTTCCTTTCTGAGTTACTCGTTTTCACAGTTCAGCTCTTACAACAAGGAGAGATATTTTAACCAAGACAATCAACGTAACAGCCACAGGATATTGAAAAAAAAGTCTTCTTCCAAAATCATCCAGTCTTCCCTCCTCTATGAATACTTGCATCTTGTTTCTCCATCAACAACAGATGTTTGAAGAGGTAAGTTGGTGGTAAGTGTTGTGTTCTGTGCTGGGGCTAAAATGATGTGATACCGTGACGTCAGAGAATGAGGTTCCTTGTGCATACCAGGTGTTTCAGAGGAACTGAGTAAAGGAAGAGGCGGCTCCCTGGGTGCTGATGGGATGACCCTGTGGCATTTGGAAAAACGGCAGTCTGTTTAACAAGGCCCCGCAAGGCTGTTCATTTAAACCCTGTCCTATTCCCTGGTGACTCAGCCAAGCGAGCCAAGGTGGAAACTGTTTTCAAAGCCTGCTGGTTTAGCGATGCTTTCAAGTTCCCTAAATCTTTAACAGCTGAAGAGTTTTCTGTGGCTCTGAAAATTCTTCAGTGCAAAGACAACCTCTGCTCCTCATTTGTTATCTTCTAGGATGCAAGTGAGGTTTGTTTTTTTTTTTTTCTCACCTCAATTAATTTAGCTCAGGGATTTTATATTTTAATTGAAGTGGCAGTTTTTATAAATATTCATCAAACATTAATAAATTTCCAGGGTCATCAGGCGATGTGTCAAGAATGAAGAACAGGGAAGAGCATCCTTCCTGGAGCAAGCTGCCACTCATGCATATGCATAAGTAGCTCTAGGTCCTAGTAGAGCCCAGCAGTCTAGTGTTCATCTGTTTGTTCAATAAGAATTTACTGAAAGCCAATAGGTATGAGGTGTGTGGATGGGATCTGTGGATGCAGAGTGAGCAAGGCATGTCTACCTACTTACAGCCATATCTTTCTGCAAATGCACCCACCTAACTGTGGTACAGTTACCCCTACACCTACATCATAGCTCTAGCTCGCTGTCAACATCTATGTATCTTATTAGGGTGGCACAAAATAATTGCGAATTTTGCCATTACTCTTAATTACTTTTAATGGCAGAAACTGCAATTGCTTTTGCACCATCCTAATACATTTACACATACATACACACTGATATATATATACACACACATATCTATTTGTATATCTACACAACTATGTATTCGCATATATATCACAAATACCTACATGCATATATATGTGCATGTAGGTATTTGCAAATACAATTTTTAAATTTTAAATTTTTGTAGTATGTAGTAGGTGTACATATTTATGGGGTACATGAGACAGGCAATACATAATAATCACAGCATGGAGAAATCCCCTCAAACGTTTATCCTTTGTATTATTACAAACAATCCAATTATACTCTTTCAGTTATTTAAAAATGTACAATTAAGTTGTTATTGAGTATAGTCACCCTGTTGTGCTATCAAAGGGTAGGTCTTATTCATTCTTTCTATTTTGTACCTATTAACCATCCTCACCTCCCCCAAAACTCCCCAATCCTTCCCAGCCTCTGCTAACCATCCTTCTATTCTCTATGTCCATGAGTTTGTTTTTTATATTTAGATCCCACAAGTAAGTGAGAGCATGCAATGTTTGTCTTTCTGTGCCTGGCTTATTTCACTTAACATAATGATCTTCAGTTCTATCTGTGTTGTTGCAAATGACAGCATCTCATTCTTTTTTATGGTTAAGTAGTACTTCATTGTGTATTATAAGTTCTACATTGTCTTTATCCATTCATCTGTTGGTGGACACTTAGGTTGCTTCCAAATAGCTTGTTATCAGTGCTGCAACAAACTGGGAGTGCAGATATCTCTTTAATATACTGATCTCCTTTCTTTCAGGTATATACCCAGCAGTAGGATTGCTGGGTCATATGATAGCTCTGTTTTTAGCTTTTTGAGGAACCTCCAAACTGTTCTCCATAGTGGTTGTACTAAGTTACATTTCCACCAACAGTATAAGAGGCTTCTCTTTTCTCTATATCCTTGCCAGCATTTGTTATGGGCTGTCTTTTGGGTATAAGTCATTTTAACTGCGGTGAGACGATATCTCGCTGTTTTGATTTGCATTTCTCTATTTGCACATATATTAAATATATGTATGACATATGTAGATGATAGATACAGCTATAGGCATAAAATCATAGAAGCAGAACACAAGGCATTGGGGAAAGAGAAGGGGTCAAAGAGTTCATAGCACAAAATGTTGACTGGACAGAATTAAAATTATCCATTCTTTGTATGTTTATCCATTTTGTCAGTCAGGATAAGCCAGGTTTTGCTGTACAACAAATTTCCCACAAATCTTAAATGTTTACAATAGAAAAAGCTTAATTATCCCTTCTATTGCATGTCCACTGTGAATCACTGTGGCTTCACTTAACATCTTTTTCTCTCTGGAACCCAGGATAACAGTGCAGTCACTACCTAGATCATTTCTGGGCATCATGCCAGATAAAAAACAGGATGTGGGAAAACACAATTTATTTCTAAAAGTGTCTGCTGAAAGTGACCAAAGTTATTGAGGCTCATGTTTTATGGACAAGAGCTTGTACATTCTTGAGTTCAAGAGGTTGAGCATGTATGATTGTCCCATGGGGAAGAGCCATGCATGAAAGAGCACAGAATGTGGGTGAATTCAGGAAGTACGGATCACCTGATTTTTATTATTATTTTTTTTAGACACTCTCTCCCAGTCGCTGCAGTGGTGCGACCTCAGCTCACTGCAATCTCTGCCTCCCAGGTTCAAGCTATTCTCTTGCCTGAGTCTCCCGAGTAGCTGGAACTACAGGCACGTGCCACCACACCTGGCTAATTTTTGTATTTTTAATAGAGACGGAGTTCTGCCATGTTGGCCAGGCTGATATCAAACTCCTGATCTCAGGTGATCTGACAGCCTCGGTCTCCCAGTGTGCTGGGATTACAGATGTGAGCCAACACGCCTGGCCAGATCATGTGATTGTAAATTCAGTTGATAGCTTTATTTTCTACCATGATTTCTCACCAAGAGGGATTTCTTAGTTCTCTTTGACTTCCCCGTAGAACCAGCAGCCAGTCCAATCCCCTGTGAGATCTCTGAAGCATCAGCAAAAAGGAAAAAAGAAATGACATCAGATGACCTCTATGAGCTACTCATTTCTGACTCTTGGCATGAAACAATGGAGAGTAGAGGCTCCACCTCATCTTATTCTAGACCTTTCTAGGGTGACTGTGTTTAAGTACCAGTTTCTTCCTCAGTCCTCAAGGGTATATCACAGCCCGAAGAAAAACCCAAACAGAATAAACATGGAAAAGCTGGTCGGAAGGTACTGTGGGTTTGGAGAGCGTTAACCATCTCACCGTTAATCACCATGGGAGACTGAATTTTCTTCTGTTGAAGACCAAAATTGCAACAAAACAAAACAAAACAAAAATCCAAGCAGTCCTCCAGAGAGGGAAATCTCAGTTTAATTGATGTCACTAGTTAAAAAGGCGCACTGAAGTATAAGAAGAAAATAAGATTTTTGCTCAGGCTGCTTAAGATTTTCTCTGGATGAATAAGAACATTGTTTACTGATGAATTCCAGCTACATAATTTGCTCCAACTGATGATAAACATCTTACATGAATGGTGCTGGCTTCCTCCTTCTGAATACCACGTGAGTCCTTTAGAAATATGAGAGAGGCGAACCAAGCAGTCATTTAAAGATTAGCCAAGATAAATGATCAAACAACCAATTCAGGGCAATGGAAGAAAGGCAGTCTGGATTATTGAACAGTTTATAGAAACAGTTGCATATCAATTTTGAAAGTATACACTGTTCTGTTAATGGAGGAAGGCTGCTAGGTGGATTGCTTTAATCAACATATTGGAAACTATTTGGAGACTACATGAATACATTGCATGAGGCCATGGGAGCAATTTCTTCTACACATGTTAAGCACAGTCTCTGTAATAGTAGTGTTAGTAATAGTAGTAGTGTTAACTATTATTGTGTGTGTTCTTCTATGTAATAATAGTGTTAACTATTATTAGTAACAGTAGTGTTAACTATTATTAGTAACAGTAGTGTTAACTATTATTAGTAATAGTAGTGTTAACTATTATTGTGTGTGTTCTATGAAAACATGCAGTATACTTCACAGTATACTATATATTTGACTCCCTCATATACTGTCAGTTATTTTAGCATCTATATGATTTGGGAAGTATGCATAGTCCAAATATGTTCTCTGATTGGCTAAGAGATGAGAGGGAAGTCATTTAATAGGGGCAGCAAGAAGGGGAAAGAATGAGTGGAGAGAGAGGAAAATTAGGACACATAGTTGGCTCCAGAATGTGCAGCATATAGTTCATTGCCACAACCACCAAATATTCAGCAAGTCTGATGAAAATCATGAAATGCTTTGTATGAGCTAGCAGTCACCATAGTAATGTTGTATAACAAATGACTCTAAAATTGAGTTTTGCCTATCTTGACTGGGATTAGCTTAATGATTTTTCTGGTCTTGCCTGAGGCCCATTCACGTGTCTGGCAGGTATTTACTGAATGGTTGGCTGACATGGTAGAACCTCAGCTGGGAAGTCCAGCTCTGCTGCCCATGGTCTTGTTTCCAGAGTGGCCTGGCCCAGGCTTAGGTTCATGTTGGAGGCTGAATACTGAGAGGGGAAGCAGAAACATTCAAGATCTCCTGACACCTGGGTGCATTCAGGTTGCATTGTCAGTCCACTTTATTCTGTAGACCAAAGCAAGTCGCAAGGTCACACTGAAGTCAAGGGGTGTAAAAACGTTGGAAATTAGATTCTCAAAAAGTCAATGGTTGAGGGTTAGGAAGGAGCAGGGAGGCAATAATTCCCCTGTTTGTCTGGCCTGCCCTGTGGGTGGGGAGCTCTCAGCAGCTTGAGAGGAGCAGGAGAGAGGCAGAGAACTGAGAGTACTGTCAGCCAGAAGCTGGCCAGAGCAAACCGGAATGGGCAGTGACAGCCTGTGAAACATCTGCTGTATATGCCTGTACCTCTCTGTTGTATCTGCCTGAAGACCTCCCTCTACTTCGTTTGCTCGGCCTACTTTGAATTGCCCTGAGACTTCAGATTAAATTCTAAGGAATATCTTTCCGCCCTGGATATTCTGGTTTTTGCCTGTGCTGTAATATCTGAGTTTCTTGACTCTCTCACAACACTGCTCATACTGCCATTTAATTGCCTGTGTGTTTGACTGTGGTCCAACTTAGGCAATCCCCAATTAAAAGCAGGAGTTTTCCTATGTTGTTCGCCACCGCTGAGTTGCATGGTGACTGGCACATAGCAGGCACACAATGGATATATTTTTAAATTTTATTTTCTTCTGGTAAAAACACGTAACACGAGATCCACTCTGTTAACAAATATTTAAGTGTATAATAAAATACTGTAAAGCCCAGGTACAGTATTTGATGCATTCTGAATAGCATTTAGCCAAGTTTTCCAGCACATATCTAAACTCAATTTTATGACAAGCCTGAGTTAAATTTCCCACTAGATTCTGAATAAAGAGTTCACATTTTCTCATCAGGCATTTTACCTACATGAATTTTGGAAAAAGCGTCTTCTGTCTGTTGGGTACAGAAACCGCCTTTCAGGACAATAAAATGGAAATTGTGGAACAGCCAGAAATCAAGCAGTAAGAAGACAAACTTCCCCCTAAAAATTTGATTTCTAAAAATGTGTGCATTGTATGTCTCCCTGTATTAACTAATTCATGGAAAATATGTTGTTGTTAAATAAAATAATATATGACAATAATCTGTAGACACATAATGATTTTCTCTTTCACGCTTGGTTAGGTAAAGAGTTTGCCAAATTGTGCTGTAAAATATGTGATTATTATTATTAGGATAAAGAACATGTGAGTACTTGATGCAAGCTGCTGCTTTGTAATAATTAGGACACAGAATCCAGGGGAGGAGTCAGTCACGCACATCAGCCTTAGACTCTGAGCCCAAGCAAGGTGATTACAATTATGATGATCTATTATTCCACTGTGAAGTTAGGTAGGGGGTCTATTGAGAAGTTCAGGAAGATCTTGGTCAGGGAAATCATCTTCTCCAACTAACTTGCCAAGCCTGATTCCTGATTTTACCTTTCACTATATAACATACCTACCCACTCTTTATACCCAAGTGTCTTACCCAGGGGTGAAGAACTGAAACATCTTCCTGAACCAGGTAAGTAACTTCAATGCGTGCTCTATTCCTGAGCCTTAGACAACTTCATCCTGTTGGAATGTAGATTTAATGTAGCCAGGCTCTGTTGTTGTAGTAGAGATTCCAGAAATAGAAATATTTGGTTTACCAGTGTTTAGATCTCCTGACAGTCTTTGTTCTCATCTGTCCTTGTTTTTTGTGAATTCTGTTTGCATCTGTATCTCTGCTTAATTTCCACCACGTTGGTCCCAAACCCTCCCGGCCAGTTTGTCTTGTGATTTCTCCCTCCACCTTATAGACTATTTTAGGAACCGGCCATGTGAAATTTATCTCTGATTTCTCAGAATGATTAGTTATACTTATTTCCATCTGTCTTTCTCAGAAAATAATTGTTCATATTTTAAGACATCTTTGTTATTGGGAAGTTATAATTTCAAAAGTTTATGACAATTCTAAAAAAACACCTAAAGGGTGTCATGATCATGGTTTTAGTTAAAAAGAGTAATCATGAATAGTAATAATTATTAGGGGCTTATGAGATGCCAGGCTGCAGGCTAAGGATTTCGCTTGCTGTCTCTTATTTGATCAACACAGCAGTCTTACGAGAAAGGTGCTGTTATTATCTTAATTCTATATATTGTGAATTAGGAAAAAAAATTGAATTGGGGAAAAATCATGAGTGACTTTGAAAAAGATAAAAAAAGATTACTGGATACCTTTGGTGGGAAACTAGGCAATTTTGAGTTATTTGATTCTGTGGTGGTTGTATTAGTTCGTTTCTGCACTGCTATAAAGAAATACCTGAGACTGGGTAATTTATAAGAAATGAGATTTAGTTGGCTCATGGTTCTGCAGGCTATACAGGAAGCATAGCGGCTTCTGCCTCTGGGGAGGCCTCAGGAAACTTACAATCATGGCAGAAGGCGAACAGGAAGCAGGCACATCTCACATGGCCAGAGCAGGAGCCAGAGAGAGACGGGGGAGGTGCTACACACTATTAAACAACCAGATCTCAAGAGGACTCTGTCAGGAGAACAGCATCAAGGGGGATAGTGCTAACCTATTCGTGAGAACCCGCCCCCATGATGCAGTCACCTCCCACAGGGCCTCACCTCCAACACTGGGAATCACAGTTTGACATGAGATTTGGGTGGGGACACAGATCTAACCCATATCAGTGGTCTTTCTCTCTTTCATTGTTTTTCAGCTAATTTATAGCTCTGTAAATTGTAGAATACTTATAGTAATGCAAACTATTCTTGCCCATAAAAATGCAACTTTTGTCTGAAGGAGAGTCAGTTGATTATTACATAGATATTGACTAGTTTTGACATTTTTTTAACCTATTAAGCGTATTTATTTCATCATTCCTGGTGGTTTATCTATGTGTCTTTAGATTCTCCTGTGAACCAGTTATTGCCTCTTGCTGGCTTTCTCATTGATTAGTGATTTAATTGATATGGTTGAAATATGTTCATCTTATATCTGTATGAGGGTCATGATTATACCTTTTTCCACAATTTCTCTTATTCTCTCCCTCCTTTTCCTCCCTCCCACCTTCCCTCTTAGAGAAAGTATTTATTAACACATAGAGGAGGTGGATTATATGGATGCAAAAATATTAAGAGAAAGATCTTGGATTTAAGGTTTAAGCATGGCTAGGTCTAATAAAAAAAAACACTGTCATCTTAACCTCCTTATCTTACATTCTATAAATCTTTCCTGAGAAGCAAGTTAGACAGAGGAGTTTAAATATCTGCATTCTGATGCAATGCTCAAAACTTTCATGATCCTTCACAAGAAGTCAGTTCTTGTTTTAAGTGAGTTTCCTTCTGATTAGTTCAGGCTGCTAAACATAAACGGAGTGGAAGAAAGATGTTTTGTAGTGTATTTACTCATTGACTGAATATTATCTGTGAAGAACTGCATGCTGTTATGTTCCAGAAACCATACCAAATTCCCTGTTTGGGGAATGACAGTCATTAAAACCATCTACACTGGGGGAAAAATCCTAATGCAAATGGAATTCATCCAGGTGGATTCTGAAAACGTCATGAAGAGTCTCCCCACATTCCCAGGATATAAGCTTTATGTGCAGCAATTACACGAATGGATATAGAGACCCAAGCTGCTGTGGATCTGCAGGACCTGAGTGGAAGTTTGTTTATTTTTATTTTTATTTTTCCTGCACAGCCTCTGTCACCACTGTCCTCCTGGCAGCATCCTGAATTGCGAAGAGCCACCCCGCCCCCCAGACATTCAGTGACCTAGACTCAGACCTCTGGGGAAGGACACAGTCTCCAGGCTCAGCCAGTAGGCAGGGGACTGTGACAGAAAGGGACATGTGGCCAAGTCCCTCTGGTGAGATACAAACCTGGACTTTGGCCAAACCTGGTGAGAAAGAGGTTTAATCTCAAAATCAATCTCGCTCTTCCTTTCCACCCCCAGCTCCCTTTCCCCACTCCCTGCCTTCTGCTGTGGTTGTTAAGCTGATAGAACGTAAAGGCCTCCACCTGGAGCCAGCTTGCCTGAAATAATGCAGCCAAGAGGAAATCAGATCTGCGTGGTGAGGCCAGGCTGGGCTGACTGAGTGCTAACAGCATTGTCTGAATAACGCAGTCTCTCCATGTTGAACCTGGCCTTCAGCTTTTCAGACACTGCAGTTGACTAGTGGAGGAGAGAACTTGGCTAATTCATTCTCCCATTTCCTTCGTGCCTCACCTGGGTCCTGCCAGTGGCTCTGCACAGCCACAGTTACGGTGGGCAGTGCATCTTCCCAGGTACTTACCTCCCAAATACCTTTTCCCCCTACTTGATCCTGAGCATGATAGAGACTTTCTATACCTTCCAGGTCCTGGAAGGTGGCTTGACAGTCCTTGATTCTCTAATCCTGCCCAGGTTTTCTGTAAATAGGCCCTTTGTTAAATTATTTTCACTACACTTTCTGTGAATGTCATCCTGTCTTCTCAGGGCCCAAATTGATACAGGAAGTTGCCACTTTCAAGACCTATGGACTGGCTGTTGGAAAATTGCCCACGGACAGTCCCCACGAGCATGGGAACAGATGGCCGTCTCTGTGTTGGACGCCAGGAGAAGCTGTTGGCTTACATTGAAGGGATAGATTATAAAAAGCTATGATTCTTCAAACACTAGAGTCATAGGCAGTAGAATGAGATGCTCAGATGCTGAGACTTTTGGACTGAAGCAAACCATCAGCCCTAGATTTTAGTCTTTCTTTTCCCGCTTGGCTTTGGAGGCAAACACTCAATGGAACCACTGACTGATTTACCAGAGCGATTTAGCTGGTTTCCGCCTTCTCTCAAAATTCTCTCTCTCTCTCTCTCTCTCTCTCTCTCTATCTATCTATCTATCTCTATCTCTCTCTCACCTCCCCGTTTCCCTCTCTCCCTGGGCAACACACACACAAAGGTGAATTTGAGTAACTTAAATTTATCTACGATGAAACTGAATTGAATGTAATAAGCTCCATCATTATTTATTTTTTTTTTTAAGTTTTATTTTATTTTTTTTTGAGACGGAGTCTCACTCTGTTGCCCATCATTATTATATAAATGCTATAAAGTCATGATTCTCTGTTTCCTTCATGGTTTTATACACAGTTCTTAGGACAAAGACTCTCTCCTTGACCAAACTTTAGTCAGGCTTCTCTGAGCCTCTTCTAGACTAGGTCTATGAGAATTACAGACTCTCAGCGTGAGCAATTTTGTCCATCCTCGCCCCAAGAGGCTTGAGTAAGCACTAGCATTGTTTCTGTGAGCTCAAGTCTGGGTCCCTAGGATGACAACCCCACCCTCTTTTTTGTTTTTTAGAGACGGAGTCTCACTCTGTTGCCCAGGCTGGAGTGCAGTAGCGTGATCTCGGCTCACTATAATCTCCGCCTCCCAGGTTCAAGAAATTCTCCTGCCTCAGCCTCCCGAGTAGCTGGGACTACAGGCACATGCCGCCACGCCCAGCTAAATTTTTTGTATTTTAGTGGAGACAGGGTTTCACCGTGTTCTCCAGGCTGGTCTCGAACTCCTGAGCTCAGGCAATCTGCCTGCCTTAGTCTCCCAAAGTGCTGGGATTACAGGCGTGAGCCACCGTGCCCAGTCCCCACCCTCTTAAGTTCTTCCCTGAGGAGGCTCAAGACTGCTGAAAAAGTCTACTGCTTGTCCCAGCCAAGTCCTGACTATATGCCCCTGCCTTTCTTTTCTCAAAGCATTCGCTTGAGAAAACTTGCCATTGTAAATTCTATCTCTGCTCTTTTAAGGATGTAAATCTTCTCCCGGACTTCTCCCAGGTTTTCAACCTAGAAGCATCTTTCTCCTGGACCTGGAAGCGATCCCTTTGAAACACAGTCATAAAGACAGGGCCTCTGTCTCCTGGGTCCTGTGGGAAGGTAGGAGCCTAACTCAGATAAGTGCCATTTAGCAAACACGGGTGGCCTGATCACATCCAATGCTCCCCTTAATATCCTTCTGTACTTTTCACTTAGCACATCCTGGAATTTTAAAAGCCTCCTGCCTTTTGTATCACTGAAGTTGAACTCAGTTGATACTGAAATCTCTCTCCCCTTCAACAGTTGTATGTATAAAATATGTCTTACTTTTTTTTTTTTTTTTTTTTTTGAGATAGAGTCTCACTCTGTCACCCAGGCTGGAGTGCAGTGGCACAACCTTGGCTCACTGCAACCTCCGCCTCCTGGGTTCAAGTGATTCTCTGGCTTCAGCTTCCCAAGTAGCTGGGATTACAGGCACACACCACCACACCTGGCTAATTTTTATATTTTTAATAGAGACGGGGTTTCATCATGTTGGCCAGGCTGGTCTCGAACTCCTGACCTCTGGTGATCCACCCGCCTCGGCCTCCGAAAATGCTGGGATTACAGGCATGAGCCACTGTACCCAGCCCAAATTATGTCTCACATTTTAAACAAGAGTCTGGCTTTCTGCTGTTTGACACTTCACACATAGAAGTTAAATAAGTACTTGCTAAATAAATGAATAAGTAATTGTTTCCTAAGGGAAACAACCAAGTTTCCTCATGTGAAACATTGCAAGATACTAAGTGCATAATAAATGCTTAATAAATACCAATGGATGGGGAACTGGTTGTGGAGCCCTTGACCCTAGGTTCTGTGTCTGTCTTTGCCACAGAGTCCTCAGGTGACCTTGGGAGTTCATGCTTCCTCTCTAAGCCTTCGACCCCAAGCTGAAACAGTGGAGCTGCTGGAGATGGTACTGGGTGCCCCTGCTAGCTGAGACATTGCAGGACTTTTGGGACACGAGGTTCTGCCACTCTGATCAGTCGTCATCACCGTGTGTGCACAAGAGAACCCTGCAGAGCTTCCCATGGTGCGTCCACGCAGCCGCCTTGTTCCTGGCAGCCCAGAGGCTGCACTGCCCACTCCCAACGCTTCCTCCCGCTTCCTTCACAAGGAGCGCAACGCTCTGGCAATGCTCGTCCTTGGGTATTTTAATTAACTAACCACTCAGCCTTTTATTTGTCAAACACACATTTACAATTAGCTCTATTTGGCTTCCTAGCTTCCCAATTGAACATGAAGAAGAATTAACTAATTAAACTAATACATCTATTATTTAAGGTTTGTTTACCTTTCTCAAAATTTTGAGGAACACTGGTTCTTTTCCAATCGTTGGTTAAAAAGCTAATTATAGAAAAGGACCTGGTTTGTAGACAGAGCACAGAATGTGGGCTGCACACAGGTCAGTTCTTTTTATTTTTTTATTTTTGAGACACAATCTCGCTGTATTGCCCAGGCTGGAGTGCAGTGGTGCGACCTCCGCTCACTGCAACCTCTACCTCCCAGGTTCAAGTGATTCTCCTGCCTCAGCCTCCTGAGTAGCTGGGATTACAGGTGCGGGCCACCAGGCCCAGCTAATTTTTGTATTTTTAGTAGAGTTGGGATTTCACCATGATGGCCAGGCTGGTCTTGAATTCCTGACCTTAAGTGATCCACCCACCTCAGCCTCCCAAAGTGCTGGGATTACAGGTGTGAGCCACCATGCCTGGTCACACACAGGTCAGTTCTGAAGGCAGACTTTCAGATCTTCAGGGTTTGCTGATTCTGTCACTGAGAAAGCCCTCTTAGGATATGTGGATCAGCTGGTCCATGCAGTGGAGCAAATGTTGCATGGGAATCTCAGATGTGGAGTGAAACCAACCTGTCAGGAAACTCAGGCCCATGCCTCACTTTGAGCTCTGCAATGCCTTTGTCTCCGTGATCCATTAGACATGTGAGTCTGGAAAAGTTAATCAACACTTTGGGCCCCAGAACCTTTTCCCATGAAATGCAGAATAAAGTACTCTTATCTGAGAATTGCTGAATGATTGTGTACCATCCCCTGTGTCAATGAATATTAGCTGATTTCCAGGATTCTTAGCTGCAGAGAAGGGTAATAGAAAGTAGATACATTATTGATTTAGTAACAGCTTTATAGGTATAAGAAATACTACTCTACTAAAGGTTAATATATTTTATTATGGTAGTGTGTTTGTTTATGTATAAAACAATGCTAGAAAACTAATGTGAAAATATGGGCAATTCAGAGCCAAATAATATACTTTATTCTTCCTTCCCACTTTTCACAGCTACAGCCATTCAAACCTCTAATCCTTGGAATCCTGGTGTGGGAAAACTCAAGTGAAAATGCCCAGGAAATTCTGATTGCTGCAGAGACATTGAGGGAATCAGCGAATCTGGCAATGAGGTTCTTACTGCAACCCCTAGAGGCAGCTGTCTTAATGAAGATGTGGGAACAGGGAGGCCTATTGCAGAGAAAAAAGGTGGTTGCTATGGTTTGGCTGTGTCCCCACCCAAATCTCATCTTGAATTGTAGTTCCCATAATCCTCTCATGTCCTTGGAGGCACCCAGTTTCATGGGGTAATCGAATCATGGGGGCAGTTTCCCCCATGCTTTTCTCATGACAGTGAGTGAGTTCTCACAAGACCTGATGTGTGTGTGTGTGTGTTTTTATTGTTTTGTTTTGTTTTGTTTTGTTTTTGTCACCCAGGCTGGAGTGCAGTGGTGCCATCTCAGCTTACTGCAACCTCTGACTCCCTGGTTCAAACGATTCTCCTGCCTCAGCCTCCCGAGTAGCTGGGATTACAGGTGTGTGCCACCACGTCTGGGGTTTCACCATATTGGCCAGGATGGTCTCGATCTCCTGACCTCATGATCCGCCCGCCTCGGCCTCCCAAAGTGCTGGGATTACAGGCATGAGCCACTGTGCCCGGCCTCTGATGGTTTCATAAGGGGCTTCCCCCTTCGTTTGGCTCTAATTCTCTCTCCTGCCACCCTGTGAAGACGTGCCTTCCGCCATGATTGTAAGTTTCCTGAGGCCTCCCCAGCCATGTGGAACTGTGAGTCAATCAAACCTCTTTTCTTTATAAATTACCCAGTCTCGGGTATTTCTTCATAGCAGAGTGAGAACGGATGAATACAGTGGGGGAGAGAGTTGCTGTGTTTATATTTTATGTGTTAAATGCTCTTGGATGATCTTCACTCCTCAGAATTCTCTTGGGTTCTCAGCTTTCCTTAGTTTTCCAGGAGCATTGTTTGATATTTTCACTGAATGTGTTTATACCTTTTTCTTTATGAATAAAATCTGGGCAAATCAATTATCTTAAAATAATGTCCTCTAATTTCTAGATTAAGGACTCATTAACTCAATATTTTTAGATGTATTTTTAGTGTTATTTTTAGATGTATTTTTGATACTAATTGGTTATTTGCTTTTCTGCTTCTCTTCCTGAAATGCAGTTCTCACTTCTTCTGGGATTAAAATTAATTACTATTCAAAGGACATTGACAGAAGTTGAGTAATAATACTAAGCATAGTCTACTCTTAGTATTATTTCCTTCACATCAGCAGGTCTCTTATTCAGGTTATGAGACCGCTTTGAAATTAGTGGAGAGAAAAGTTAATGCTAAACTAATATTTGTTTTTTTGCAAATCAAGGAGATAAGTCATTTCAATGTCCCTGATGGTTCCATCTAGAAATAGAGATCACAGGTGATGAAGGAGATGATAATGATGGTGATAATAAGGATGGCAGTAATGAGAAAAGCTTCAATTAACTGGGTGTCTAATTTGGGACATGTCTCAATCAGAATAGAATAGTAAGTGCTTTTCAAAGAGAATTCAGATGACCAGCACCATCAGCATTGCATGGGATCCTGTTAGAAATGCAAATTTTGGACCCCAACACAAGACCTACTATACTGCAATGTTGGGGAGTTGAGCCCAGAGATATGGATTTTAGTAATCCCTCAAATGATTCTTATGCATGTTTAAGTTGGAGAAATAGTGACTAAGTAATGATGTGGCAACAAACAAGCCCAGAATTTCAGTGACGTAAACCTCCGAGATTTATTCACTGATCACACTGTGGGTCCTTATGGGTCATCTGCTGTCTGCTCGCCACGTCACTCAGGGGCCTAAGCTGATGGTGCAGCCCCACATGGAAACTGCTGGTGGCTATGGCAGAGGAAAAGAAAAGAGAGAAAATATGCTCTGCTTCTGGCTGTCAACATTTCAGCCAGGAGTATGCCCTTCCAGTCAATTAGAAGCCACACTCCACACTTAAATCTACTGTTACTGCATCCTTGACAACGATCTTCTTCCCTGAAACGTCTCCTGTGTGATGGATTGAGGGTGCAAATACCGATGGCTTTCTATTTCTCTTCTTTTCTCATCTCAACTCAAACTAAACATTTTTTTCAGGAAAAGAAGAAGAACAAAGGATCTCCACAGATTAATGATTGGGTTTATTCTTTGAATGTTTGATTCTTTTATAGTTTGATTTGAGATAAATCCTGGTGATGCTAATTCCCAACATAAAATGTCATCTGAGTTTAAATGGGTGACAGTGTTTTCTTCATTTAAGATGCTCTTTTATGACCATACTATAATTATAAAGAACGGGGTGCTTTGTTTGGCTTTATGGAAGCAGCAATCATAATCACAATAAAACACAGTTATCTTTGCCTCACTTGACCCTACCTTGGAGTATGCTTCACACAGAAGTGCTAGGGGATTGGGGCTTAAGGCGATCACAAAATACTTTCTAAATGGCTCACCAGAAATAAAGAAAAAAGACGATGAAAGAAAGAATTTAGTTCTATGCAGATTCTTTTTTATTTTGTTGAAAGACACATTTTTTCTCCTGCTAAAAATTACCAATTCATTTCCTCTAGAGCTTGAGGCACCATGACACAGAAACCAAGGACACATGACTTCAGATACTTAAGAAAACTCATGTCATCAAATCACATCAAGAACATTGGATGGCACATCAAGACCTTCGTAATAAGGTGGGTGTGGATCTCAGCTATCACACCCAGATTGAGGAAAAATTCCCAAAGTGATTTTATTTTTAGTTGTACATCTTGTCTTTGTTTCCTTCTGAACTCCCATTCCTCAAGAATGGCAGAAACCCAATCTCAGCTCTTGCAGGACCGCTATTCTGGTTCTGAGCCCGTGACTAAGGATTAGAGATTCTTTGTCCTGCTGAGACATCTGGTCTGAACAAGCAGGTATCCTCTATGCCAGGGCTAGGATTTAAATACTGGCCTCATTCCAAAATTTACTTTCTATTCTCCTTCTCTGCATACTTAGGTAGTTTGATTTCAGCTAAGCAGAAGCAGCAGCTCTCATTAATTGGAACCTGGTTCTGCTGCCTTGTCCTGCCATTCTAACACTAAAGTCCTGTTTCTCTGCTTTCATGAGCTCCTGGGTTTTGTACACGTTCCTTTTTCACTGCAACGTGTCAAAGCCTATTAAAATTTTGTGTTTGAATTTTACTATCCAACTTCTTTTTTTTTTTTTTCTTACCAATGAGTGCATTCATATCTTGTGTCTTTGGTCTTACACTCCTAATAACTTTGTAAAGTGGGTTAGGCAGGTACATTCATTTACAAATAAAAGAACTGAGGTGCTAACATTTTCTGGATTTGCATTTCTTAAAGGCAGAGTGGGGAGGTAGCAAAAGCTGTCCTGGGGACCAGCCCAGTTCTTTTTGATCCAGTGCTGTTACAAGCATTCAATCTATCTTTTACTCTCTAGTTTTCTTTTTGCTTTACTCTAGT
This sequence comes from Homo sapiens, assembly GCF_000001405.40. Taxonomy (NCBI): domain Eukaryota; kingdom Metazoa; phylum Chordata; class Mammalia; order Primates; family Hominidae; genus Homo; species Homo sapiens. The sequence goes on along the minus strand of NC_000012.12, from coordinate 127,715,787 downwards.
TTGTTTTCAATAATCTTGGGAATTACACATTTTTTTTCTTTTTGAGACTGAGTCTTGCTCTGTCACTCAGGCTGGAGTGCAGTGGTGCGATCTTGGGTCACTATAACCTCCACCTCCCGGGTTCAAGCGATTCTGCCACCTCAGCCTCCCAAGTAGCTGGGATTATAGGCACGCGCCACCATGCTCAGCGAATTTTTGTATTTCTAGTAGAGATGGGGTTTCACCATGTTGACCAGGCTAGTCTCAAACTCCTGACCTCAGGTGATCTGCCCGCCTTGGCCTCCCAAAGTGCTGGGTTACAGGTGTGAGCCACCACACCTGGCTGGGAATTACACATATTTTAAAAGTGAATTTTAATTTTATTTACTTTAAAAATGTTGTGCATCATGCAATAGAATTAAGTTATCACTGTCTGTTCTTTGAAATTTTATGCCCAAAAATGTCATGCATGCTTGTAATAGACCCAAATATGGGCAAGAACTACGAACGTAATCAAAAGAAAGACATTTCTGAGAATTCTACCCCAACCCAGCTTTGCTAAAAACATGAATAGGTTACAGTTAAGTAAGACAATTCTAGAATAAGGTAACACTGTGTTTCAGTCTTACTGCTGGTTGACCTTGGATAAGTTAATAAACTTCTGTTTTCTCAGCTCACTCTGTAAAATGTGGAGACTGGTAGTATACACAGAATAAAGTAAAACTGTGTTTGAGTCTTACTGCTGGTTGACCTTGGATAAGTTAATAAACTTCTGTTTTCTCAGCTCACTCTGTAAAATGTGGAGACTGGTAGTATACACAGAATAAGGTAAAACTGTGTTTGAGTCTTACTGCTGGTTGACCTTGGATGAGTTAATAAAATTCTGTTTCCTCAGCTCATTCACTGTAAAATATGGAGACTGGTAGTATATATGCCCTCAAAAAAAGTTATTATGAGGGTTCAAGAAAGTGGCCCTTGCAGAATGCACAGAGCAGTACTCGTCACATAGAGGCACTCATCAGTATTTTCTGTGTATCATCAAGATCATCATCATCACCATCACCATGCTGATCACCCTTTCAACCATGGAATGCTGCTGACATAAGCAAGTGACAAGTTAGATTCTGCTTGACGTCCTGGTGCTGTGGCTCACGCCTGTAATCCCAGGACTTTGGGAGGCCGAGGCGGGCAGATCACGAGGTCAGGAGTTTGAGACCAGCCTGGCCAGCATGGTGAAACCCTATCTCTACTAAAAATACAAAAATTAGCTGGACTCAGTGGCACGTACCTATAATCCCAGCTACTTGGGAGGCTGAGGCAGGAGAATTGCTTGAACCTGGGGGGCGGAGCTTGCAGTGAGCCAAGATCGCGCCAGTGCACTCCTGCCTGGGTGACAGAGTGAGACTCCATCTCAAAAAACAAACAAACAAACAAACAAACAAACAAAAAGAGATTCTGCTTGAGTCTTTCCATTCTTAAACATGATTAATGTACGAAATATACAAAAAATGTACAAAATGCACATAAATGTACAGACAATAAAAAATTAAAAATAAAAAATGATAATCCATGAATTCTCACAATGGACAGTTTAACTGATGCACCTCCAACTACTTCTTACTTCGTGGTGCAAAGGCTACTGAAATTTGCACATTGGAAAGGTTGTGGTGTTGCAAGTCAAATACGGCTGAATTTGGATGTTGGCTCCACTAATACTCTTTGTACATTTGGGCAAGCGTCTTAACATCTCTGAACCTCAGATTTCTCATTTGTAAAAAAAAAAAAAAAGTCATTGGGTAGGTTGAGAAATAATGAAACATTTATGGAGAAAGTGTCTACCTGGTAGGAGGTGGGTCCCCCACTGTCAGCTTCTCCTACTTTCTCCTTTTTTATGTAGCTTGGTAAAAAGAACAATTATATGTGGGCACGGCTATGTGCTTCCGATGACTGTTGCCAACTTGATCCAACTTATTATTATCTCAATAATTTACCAGCCCACTGAACCCAACCAGGGGTTGAAGGACAAAACAGGGCAGATATGACAGTCCACTGAGGTCAGCCTCCTGGGGCCCAGAGCAGAGTGACTGGTATTGAGTTTTCAAGTCAACACCCACAAGGGAGCTAGTAGGAGAAATGTCAGGGAAAAGCATCTTTCAGGACACATGCTGACTCCTTGTTTACATGGTGGGATATTTATTGATTACTTCCTATGTGTGAGTGTACTAAACACCTTTATATTATCAATTAGCTGTCATATTATCTATGTGATGGACTTATTCCCAGTTCATAGATGAGAAATCTAAGTTTCAGAAAGCCCCAAGTGTAATCGCATGGATTAATTCTCAAAGTGGCCTTAAAAAACTGACTAAGCTACAGGTTTTTTTGTTTTTGTTTTTGTTTTTGACAGAGTCTCGCTCTGTTGCCAGGCTGGAGTACAGTGGTGCGATCTCAGCTCACTGAAATCTCCACCTCCTGGATTCAAGCGATTCCACTGCCTCAGCCTCCCAAGCAGCTGGGAGTACAGGTACACGCCACCACACCCAGCTAATTTTTTTTTTTTTTGGTATTTTAGTAGAGACGAGGTTTCACCCTGTTGGCTAGAATGGTCTCCATCTCCTGACCTCGTGATCCGCCCACGTTGGCCCCCGCACAGTGCTGGGATTACAGGCATGAGCCACTGTGCCCAGCCTAAGCTACACTTTAAGATCAATGTTTTATAGGTATGCCCCCACCAAATACACACACACACACACACACACACACACACACACACACACATACACACACACTCCTCTCTCTCTGTATATATATGTATATATATGTGCGTGTGTGTATATATACATGCATATCTATACATACACCTATATATATTCATACCTATATGTGTGTGTATATGTACACATACTGTACATTCATATCTCTATAGCTGTCTATCTGTATATTTATCTATTCAGAGAGAGAGAAAGAGAGATGCACGGAGAGCTACAGGTAGCTTAGAGGTTGAGAGGGACAGAAATAAATCCATCTCCCTGCCAAGCTGTGACTCAAGCTGCTTTTCACTAGAACCAGAACGGATATTTATTTCCAGTGAATGCCTTGGCCCCCTGCTTTTTTTTGACACATTAATTAAATAGCTCTGACCATGCATTTTACCAAAAAAACTTGTGGTACAATTTTGACTTTGGCTGAGCAAATGATTCCCTTAGATCTTTACAACTTTCCCTTTAGTTCTTCAATACTGAGTGCCCCCAAAGAATTGCAGGCACACACCCAGACTTAAGTTTACATATTAATGGCATTCTCAAGTGGTACTAAAAAGGAATCTACCCCTGTGCTGCATTCCAAGCCTACTGTGTTAAATCTAAAGCCTGATCCTTCATAAGTAATATATAATAATAATATAGTAATATAATAATAATAGGCAGCTATTATGACTCCTTACTTACAGGATGATTTCACTGAGAATGGAGCATTGGAATTTGCAACTTGATTTCAGTGGTAACCCCACCTTTATGGCGGAGGACAGAGGCACCAGGCAGACTGATTGATCTTCTACCAGTTCACAGCCTGTGGAAAGGGCTCCTGCTCTCCATTCTACCACAGACCCCACTGCTCCCAGATGTGACATATTTCCTCACTCAGGCTAGGTACAGACATCTAAGTTTGGAATAGCTTTTTTTTTTTAATTTTTATTTTTTGGATAAGATCTCGTTCTGTCACCCAGGCTGGAGTGCAGTGGCGTGATCATGGTTCACCGAAGCCTTGAACTTCTGGGCTCCTGCGATCCTCCTACCTCAGCCTCATGAGTAGCTGATACTACAGCTGTGTGCCACCACGTCCAGCTTTTTAAAAATTTTTCTTGTAGAGACAGGGTCTTGCTATGTTGCCTAGGCTGGTTTTGAACTTCTGGGCTCAAGCAATCCTCCTGCCTCAGCCCCCCAAAGTGCGGGAGTGACAGGCATGAGCCACCTCACCCGGCCTAAGTTTGGGACATCTTACATTTTCATAACAGTTATAGAATTTCTGTCCTACTCGTAGATTCTATCAGCTAAAAGCTGAACATTAGAATGGCTCATTTCAATATGGAATAATGTATGATCCCTTTAAAGACATGCATCAGGTTGGTGTTGGTAGACTTTTAACTCCTTCCTAACATTTGTTAGTTTGTCGACAGGAAAAAACTACTATTTGGCTGGATTGTAACAACATAGTTTTGATCATATTTTCACTTATTGGTAACTTAATCTGCAGTACTTGATATTAGCTTTCACACGTAGTCGTGACATACACTATCACTTTAAAATAGACATATCTTTGAAAAATGAGTCAATTTAAAGAAAATATATTAAGTAAATAATAATGGAAGTGGTACCTAATAGAGGAAGATAGTGACTTTATTATTTAAAGGACAAGTTTAGAAGCCGACTATGGGGCTCGTTCTACAGTAAATTCTCTGCAGAGTCCATTCCCGTCCACAGGGAGGCGGTAGTGAGGCGCTCACCCCTGCAGTTTTGGCCTTGGCTCTTCTCTCCCCGTCTTTGAAAGCTGCCCCTGGAAATGATCGTCAGGCACACAACCCTGCCAAATGGAAGCTCCCAATACAAATGACTTCATGCCACTTTCTCCAGCATAGAAGAATATGTGATTCCTCAGGATCATCGCTATCACTAGGGATGATACTTTAACTGCATCTGGAAGAACAAAACTTTTTTGTTCCATTTTCCCCTCCAGCCTGCTAGGTCATAGTGTAGCTGTCCATCAAGATGCATTTTCAAAGAGCGAAAGATAGTTTATTTCACAGACATCTGGGAATGCTCCAAATGGTCACGCATCTCTTTACAGCTGGGATGTGTGATGATGCAACTAGAGAACTCCATACTCGTAAACTTTGTATTTAAACAAAAGTGAGAACATGCTATGGATACCCACCTCTTTGAAAGCTGGGTAGTGTTTACAGACGTGCTGTCAGAGTGTAAAGGAAGGATGTCCATAGACAGAAGCACTGAGAGGGAAGGTCGATGAGGTCCCTTCCATCACCTGGGATGTGAGCTGTGGCTCCCTGGCTCCTAGAACTGCTGTCAGCAAAAATTACTGGCATGAGTCCTTCCAGTGCCGCTTAAGGTCTGTCACTCGATGGGTCACCCAGTAAAGAGGAAACAGCAAAACAAACAGACAAAAAATATAAAAACACTGTCCCGGCCGGGCGCAGTGGCTCATGCCTGTAATCCCAGCACTTTGGGAGGCTGAAGCCAGGGGATCACTAGGTTAACAGATCGAGACCATCCTGGCCAACACGGTGAAACCCTGTCTTTACTGAAAATACAAAAATTAGCTGGACATGGTGGTGCTTGCTTGTAGTCCCAGCTACTTGGGAGGCTGAGGCAGGAGAATAACTTGAACCCGGGAGGCAGAGGTTGCAGTGAGCCAAGATTGTGCCCCTGCACTCCAGCCTGGCAACAGAGTGAGACTCTATCTCAAAAACAAAAACAGAAAATAAACAAACAAAAAATCAAAGCTGTCCCATGGGTCCACTGTTACCGTGTAAGGTAAGCCTACCTGTATGGTTTCCTTCACACCTGGGGAGGCTGGGAGGGATTCAGATGGCCCAGCTGCCAGTTCTCCTCACCAATCCGCTCCCACAGTTAAGTCCCCTAGTCAGAGAGCCCTCCTCATCACGGGTACTGGGCACAGGCCCTGTCTAATCCTGAGTATCGCATCTCAGTTCCCAGCCACCCTGCAGAATTATTTAATAACGAGCTGACTGAATCTGCCCCTGGGAACCAGAAGCTACTTCGTATGGTTTGACTGTGTCTCCACCCAAATCTCATCTTGAATTGTAGCTCCCATAATCCCCATGTGTCGTGGGAGGGACTCGGTGGGAGGTAATTGAATCATGGGGGTGGGTTTTTCTGTGCAGTTCTCATGATAGTGAATAAGTCTCATGAGATCTGGTGGTTTTTTTAAAGGGGAGTTTCCCTGCATAAGCTCTCTTGCCTGCTGCCATGTAAGATGTGACTTTGCTCCTTATTTGCCTTCCACCATGACTGTGAGGCCTCCCCAGCCATGTGGAACTGTGAGTCTATTAAACCTCTTTCCTTTATAAATTACCCAGTCTCGAGTATGTCTTTACTAGCAATGTGAGAACAGACTAATTCCCTACTTCAAGCTTTCCTTCCTACAAAGCCTGCTTCCCATAGCCCCTGCATGTTCACTCTTCTCCTGTGTGCACCCTCTGTGTGGCCCCGTACATGGCGTATGCTGTGCTCTTCTTCCAGGCTGTAAGCCTGTGTGAGTGATCAGCTACCATTACTCTCCTCTGTCCAGGCCCAGGGGGCAAGTGTTGAGTCTTTCCATGGCCTTAGTGTGGAAATTCCTCCCTCATCAACAGGGTGAATAGGAGAAGGCAAAAACCACTCTTTCCTCTCCCACGTAGTATTTTTGTCCTGACTGAAAAAAACAGTCTTCTGGCCAAATTCTGAAAGCGAGGAGATAATGCAAATTTCATGCTGCAGTGGAAACTTCAGATCCAGGTGCATGGATTGGAAGCCATGTGTGGAGTGAGTGTAGACAGTTACCACTCAGCTTAGGTAAGGCCCGAGTATGGAGACCCCATGGTCCACAATCAGTAACTGTGATCACCCTCTTGGTAGGAAAAGGGGAGTGAAGATCATACTTGAGAGCAGATTTTTAAAGGAGTTTCTTACTTCCTGTATTGCAGAAGGTTTGAATGCGAAGGGCGGAAGATGCCTACCAGATTTACACTCGCTGGCTGTAGAATATGCACAGGAGTTTAAATTTCATTATTAGTAGATTTACTGCTGAGAAAATTCACTTTCTACAACAATTTCACTCTATCCAGCTGCCTTTTAGAAATGATGACATTAGGTCTAGCAAACAGCGTGAGATTCCAGAAAGAGAAATGACCTTCCCAATAGTTCTGAAAAATGAAGTATGTTTCCACCAAACATTTCACAACTGCTTGATTAAAAATACCTGCCATTATTTTGATTAGAATTTCAGGAGGCTAGATGCCTTTCCTTATCTGGTTTTTGTAGGTCTAGCTTGAATAATTATAAAGAATGATTACCTAAATGTCAAATTGCCTTATCTGCCCATGTCCTATTACACTACGCTGTCATGTAATTAGCAGAAAGGAAAGGTCATGACCTGCAGTGTCAACGTGGAAATGACTTCTCTTTTCCCCTGGAGAGGAAAACATGGTGAGCGAGATTCGGGAAATCCATGGCTGTAGATCTCTATGTGTTGATATAGAACAATCTCGAGGATTTATCACTGAGCAACAGAAAGGATCAGAGCTAAGGGTATTGTCTGCTTCCATTTGTATTTCTTAAAGGATGAAATACACAGGCGGGCAGACCACCTGAGGTCAGGAGTTCAAGACCAGCGTGGCCAAATGGTGAAACCCTGTCTCTACCAAAAAATACAGAAAAAAATTAGCTGGGCGAGGTGTTGGGCACCTGTAATCCCAGCTACTCGGAAGGCTGAGGCAGGAGAATCACTTGAACCCCGGAGGCAGAGGTTGCAGTGAGCCAGGATCGTGCCATTGCACTCCAGCCTGGGCTACAGAGTGAGACTCCATCTGAAAAAAAAAAAAAAAAAGGGTGAAATACACTTGGATATGCACTGGATAACTCTGGAAGACTGTGCGCACGCGTGTGCACACACACACACACACACAGAAACACACACAATGACTATGTGTGGAGACAATTCTTTACCTATGGTATAGTAAAGGATTTTTTAGCTGGGCGCAGTGCAATAACTCATGCCTGTGATCTCAACACTTTGGGAGGCTGAGGCGGGCAGATTCCTTGAGCTCAGGAGCTCGAGACCAGCCTGGGCAACATAGTGAGACCCCTGTCTCTACAAAAAATACAAACATTAGCTGGTCATGGTGACATGTGCCTGCAGTCTCAGCTACCCGGAGGTTGAGGCAGGAGGATTGCATGAGCCCCAGGAGGTTGAGGCTGCAGTGAGCCATGACTGCGCCACTACACTCCAGCCTGGGTGAAGAGCAAGATCTTGCCTCAGAAAAATAAAATAAAATAAAATAAAATTTCAGATGTATTGTTCTCCTTTACGTTCATTTGCACTATATATTTTTATCATGGTAAACATAAAGTTTTATTTATCACATATAAGTATTGATTTATTTCATTATCTCCTTCAAAAATAGTAACTATAACACCTGTTTATATTACCAAACATTTCTTTCTTATTATGAACCAGACAATATACTAAGACGTTTAATTATGGTGTTGCATTTAATCTTTATGAAATTCCCAAGAGGAAGTTACATATTAAACAGTCTCATTTTGTAGACTGGGAAATGGAGGCTTAGGAAGGTTCAATAATTCCCCCAAATACACCACAAATTACCCTGTTCTCCCACTCCGTGATGTCTATCCTCAGAGTCAGCCAGCTTAACCACTGCACTCTGAAATCCTTTCAATTTCAGACATGTTATGGGGCTGGAGTCTAATACACACATTTTTGACTGCTTTGCTCAAATCTCTAGTGTTTTAAAGGTTTTATCAATGAAACTGGGCTATAAGTTAAGGATAATTTCCTGAAGGGGTTTTTATTGGCGTTCAAGTATCTTACATTCATTTCGTATTTTAACTTTTTCAAAATCAGTAACCAAAAAAGAAATTTCAATTTTTACAAATAGCTCAAATTATTTTTAAAAATCATTTCTTTTTTCACAGCAGTTAATTCCTGGAGTTTTAATATTGCCACTCCATCTTTAATCTTTTTACTGAATTGCCTGATGATAATTTGCATATCATTATAAATAATTACTTGCAAATTTCACTAGTAAAACTCAGCTTGGAACTGTGACATTTTCCCAAAATAAGTGGTTCAACGAAGCAAAATTGCGTTCATTGATTTAAAATTGAGCAAATATTTGGTAAAATCTACTATATATCCAATTTGGGGAAACAAAGAGAGTCAGTCTCTTGAGCTGTCGTCAAACTGCCCAGAGCAGTTTTGTTGAACTTGTTCACTCTTATTATAAACGGTGAGTAGTAACAGTAATTGTAATATTTTCAAGAGAGTACCTAGATTGAATGCTTACTGATGCCATAAGAAATCTATTTTTTCTTCTTCTAGGATCATTACCTATGAGAGAGAAACACTATAGGTTTTATAAATAAAAAGCAATTGATTCAGAGTACTTGTCTTAGAGAAATATGAACTATTCCATTCCTCTGTTTATATGTTTAAAGACAAGGAATATGAAACTATTCATTACTATAGTGATAAATAATTCAGTCTTTTCTTTCAGCTCTATATTATGGTCAATTAAGGATGCAAGTGAGGAGATACAAAGCAGAGGCTGAAAAAATGAGGCAGAAAAATAGTTACTGTTGAAAATCAGGAGAGCTCAGTCTGTCTGGTGTGGGCTCTATCCCAGGAGACTGTGGGGAGGTGTTCCCGCCGCAAAGCAGAGAAATGAACTTGTTGGTCTCTACGGTCTCACCCTGCTCTACATGTCAGTCAGAGTCAGAGGGGAAAATTATTAGCAAAGAAACAGAAACCCGTGAAGACACACACACACACACACCACACACATACACACACACACACACACACACACACACACACACACACACACACACAGAAATCACAGAAGGAACCCGGGGAGGGGAAGGGGGAGGAGGTGTTTCCTGTTTATAGAAAACAAAGCCATTTTTGACCTGTCAAGGAATCCACTCACAGACTTTTCTTTCAGATTTTTTGGATCAATACCTATTTAAATTCTTCCTTATTAGTTCAAATTCTTATTGAGGCTATTGTCAATTTACATACAGTTGTAAAATATAACATACAGAGATAATGTGTACACTTTACGCACTTTCTCCCAATGGTAACATTTTGCAAAATTATAATTGATATCACATTAAAGAAATTGACATTGATACACTCCACCAATCTCATTCAGATTTCCTGTTTTGTTTGTATTTGCAGGTGTATGTATGTGTGGTGTTTGGTGTGTATGATTAGTCCTATCAGTTTTATCACGTGTAGGTTCATGCATTTGCTACCTCATTCAGGGGAACTGCACAGCAGCATCACCCAGGATCACTCCTGTTGCCCTTTTATAACTGCATTCACCCCCACGCCTGCAGCAGCTGTCTCTAGCCCCTGGCAAACGCTCATCTGCCCTCCATTTCTGTAGATTTTTCGTTGAAAAAGTGTTATCTGAATGGAATCATACACTATGTCACCAGTGGGATTGGCTATTTTAACCCTGCATGATGACCTGGAGACTCATCTGCATTGTTGCACGGAGCAACAGTTCCTTCTGGTTTATTGTTGAGTTGCATCCGATGGTATGGATGTACCCCATTCAAAGACCTCTACACTGTTATTAGTTTGGGACTATTACAAAAATAATATTCCATTGTCTGCATATACCACAGCGTGTGTATCTGCTCAGCTACTGAAGGACATGTTGGTGGCTTCAGTTGTAAATAAAGCTGCTATAGACATTCCTGTGAAGTTTCTTGTGTGGACCTAAGTTTTCAGCTCATTCGAGCAAATTCCTACTAGTGTGACTGTAGGATCATGTGACACATGCATGCTTAGCATTGTACATTACCAAATTGTCTTCCATATTGGCCGTATCATTATTTCCACCAGCAGTGAATGCCAGCTCTTGCTGCTCAATGGCCTCGACAGCACTTGGTGTTGTCGGTGTTTTGGACCGTAGCCATTCTAAGACATTAGCAGAGGTATCTCACTGTAATTTCATTTACAAAAGTCTAACTTACAATTCCCTAATGAAATATAACATTGAATATTTTTTCATATGCTTATTTTCCATCTGTCTATCTTTTTTGGTGAGGAATCTCTTCAGATCTTTTACCCATTTTTAAACTGAGTTGTTTATTTTCTCATGTTGAGTTTTAAGACTTCTTTGTATATTTTGGGTACAAGTGCTTTGTCAGGTATGAGCTTTGCAAATCTTTTCTCTTAGCCTGTGGCGTGTCTTTTCATTTTCTTTACAGTGTCTTTCTCAGAACATGAATTTGTAATTTTACAAAGTCCAACTTAATCTTTCTACTTCATAGGTCTAGCTTTTTGTGTTATAGCTAGGGTTGTATATATATGAACATCCAATTTACCAGTACCATTCATTGAAAAGACTGTCAATTTTACATTGAGTTGTTTTGTACCTTTGTCAAAGATCAGTTGACTATATTTGACTTGCTCTATTTATTATCTATCTGCTTTGGTACATTGATCTATGTGTATCTATTTTTTCTCTAATATCACGCTGTATTGATTACTGTAGTCTTACATAAATTTTTGATATCAAGTGGTATGAGTCTTCCAATCTCCTTCTCCTCTTCCTCCCTCCTCCCCCTCCTCCCTCCTCCTCCTCTTCCATCCTTCCTCCTCCTCCTCTTCTTCTTCCTCTTCCTCTTCCTCCTTCTCTTTTCCCTCCTTCCTCCTCTTCTTCTTCCTCCTCCTCCTCCTTGTTTCTTCTGCTTCCTCTTCCTCCTCCTCCTTCTTGTTTCTTCTGCTTCCTCTTCCTCCTCCTCCTTCTTGTTTCTTCTGCTTCTTCCTCCTCCTCTTCCTCCCCCTCCTTCTGTATTTTTACCTATTCTATGCATTTTGCCTTTTCCTATAATCTTTAGAATCAGTTTCCAATATCTACAAAATTTCTGTTGGGAATTTGATTGGGAATGCATTGTATCTATAGATCAAGTTGAAAAAATTGCATTTTAATATTCAATTTTCAATTTATGAGAAGAGAATACTTTTACATTTATTTAGATCATTAAAGAAAGTTTTATAGTTTCCAAAATATAGGTCCTTTGTTATTTATTCAAAATGCTTTATTTTTTTAATACATTATATTTCTATTTGATTTTTTTTTTTATTTAAAGAGTTTTACTGGGCCGGGCACGGTGGCTCATGCCTGTAATTCCAGCACTTTGGGAGGCTGAGGCAGGTGGATCACAAGGTCAGGAGATCGAGACCATCCTGACTAACACAGTGAAACCCCATCTCTACTAAAAATACAAAAAAATTAGCCAGGCGTAGTGGAGGGTGCCTGTAGTTCCAGCTACTCGGGAGGCTGAGGAAGGAGAATGGTGTGAACCCAGTAGGAGGAGCTTGCAGTGAGCCCAGATCGCGCCACTGCACTCCAGCCTGGCCGACAGAGCGAGACTCCGTCTCAAATAAAATAAAATAATAAAAAAGAGTTTTACTGTTGATTGGGATTTTTTTTTTTTAACAGAGTTTAACTGTTGATTGGGATGTTTTTAACTGTCTGTGAATACAGACAGTTTTATTTCTTCCTTTCCTATCTGGATACATTTTACTTTTACCTCCTGTCTTACTGCACCAGTTAGAACTTCCAGTATGATGTTGAACAGGAGTGGTGAGAGAGGATATTTGTCTTGTTCCTGATCTTAAGAGAGAAGCTTCCAGTTTTTTCACCGTTAAGTATGACGCTGGCTGTATGTACTTGGTTTAATTTTTCAATGTTCTTGACCAAACTGAGGATGTTCCTCTCTCGTTCTGGCTTGCTAGGAGTTTTTATCATAAACGGACATTAGACTCTGGCACATGCCTCTTCTGCATGAGTGGATACGAGCATGTGACAAGTAGCCTCTTGATGTGGTGGATGGCAGGATTGATTTTCCAATGCTGAGCAAACCTTTGAAACAGAGAATAATCCCAATTACTCATAGTTTTACATTCTTTTTGTACGTTGTTGGATTCATTTCACTGCAATTGTGTTGAGGATTTTATTGCCTATGTTTATGAGAGATATCGATCTGTCCTTTTCCTCTTTTTAACGTCTTTAAATGTCTTTATTTGGTTTCATCCTTAGGGTAATAAAGGTCTCATTATGTTTGTTGGCTGTTTTCGCTTCACTTTTTATGTTTTTATTTGAGAATTGTATATGAATCCATTTTATATCCCTTAGTATGTCAAACTCAGCGTCCAGCAACTCATCAAAATTACCATTTAATCTTACTTTCAGTCTTCGTCTCCAGCAGCTGCAGCTCCTGGCAGGCCGATCTTTGCTGTGACTCCGTGGGTGCTTCTGTCTCCCCAGATTCCCAGTGGCAGTTTTTCCTTCAACTCCAGTTTTCTGATGTTCCAAGAACAGTCACTGATTTTTGGCTAGTCCAGCCTTTCCTTCCGAAGACGGAAATGACTGCTTTCAAGTTCTCTGCATGTCAGAGCTTAAACTAGAGGTCCCACAGCAGCAGAGCCTTTCAACAAGGAGTTACGCATGCAGGACCTGTGAGCCTCCTCCATTCCGGCTTCAGAATGGACACGGCCCCATCACCCATCTCTTCTGCCTCCCTGGCCCTTTGTGCCCCACAGAATAGGACAGATTCCTTAGCAGGACATTCAAAGCCCTTCACTGAGTGTCCTCCACCTGCCCCTTCTGTCCTAACTCCCAGCCAGCACTCTGAGATTGCTTCAAGTGACCTGGCGTTGGGAGCAGCAGCGTGGTGTGGTTACAACTGCAGGTTCCTGAGCAAGACTGCAGCATAGTTGTCAAGATTCAAGCTTTTCTTTCCCTTCTGTTTCTCCTTTCCTCCTTTATAGAATGGGGATGATAACATCCCCTTGATCCTAGACAGGTGCCACCTATTCTTACTATTAACCTTGAAAGCACAACACTGAATGCACTTTGCTTCTCCTATTTCCCTGTCCCTAGTTAATGGGTGCTTGGATAGCGAGAGCACCCTAGCACTTTGCGTGCGTGTGCATCACAGAACTTACCAGAGTCCCATGCCAATAAGATTGCCACAAAAATTAGAGGCAGGCTGCATGCAGTGTCTCACACCCACAATCCCAGCACTTTGGGAGGCCAAGGCAGGTAGATCCCTTCAGCCTCCTCTCATCAACAGCTCTTGTTATAGTTGCTATTTTTCTTTTAATGATGTAAATCTTTGATTTCCTTATTTTTCCTCAACATGGATCGGTGAGCTCCATGATGGCCTGGCTTACTCAATAATAAGATCTAATAAATTGGCTAATCGAGTCCAACAGATAATTGATGGGCATGAACAGTGTTTGCAATCTTATTCTACACGATCTGGTGATGGATATTGACTGAAGCCTTGTAATTGGTTAGGTTCCTACTCTTTCATAAAAGATATTTAAAAAGTAAACAAACAAGAGGTTTCTCTCATAGAGTTTATGATATAATTGAAAGATGTATATAAAAATTCAAGACAAATTAGAGAGAAGACTGTTCCAAATGTGTTGGGGAAAGTTTGATAAGTGCTCTAATAATATTAAACATTACAAAGAAAGGAAAAATGAACATATACATGTGTCTTATATATACATATATGTATGTGTATATGCATGTATGTGTGTTTATGTGTGTACATATACACATAGATAATCATATGTCTATGGTCATAGATCTATAACTTGTTAAATTCTGCTGTTCTGAAATGATGTACCTGAACTAGAAAGGTAATGACCTCGTTGGGAACATAAAAGTCATCTGGCATGTACTCACCATGATTCCACTTGTAATCATTAATTTGTAATCTGTATGTTTTTTCATAATTTCAACATACGATTGTCATTTTAGTTGATGTTTACTATATATTAAATATTTGTGACTAAAAACCTAGTTGTTATTTAATGTAGCTATTCGTTTAGTCCTATAAGTTTTTCTACATGTTCTGGAAATACATAATAATCTTATTTATATTTTTTATTGTTTCATTTTATTTTATTATAATTTTTTAACTTTAATTTTTTTCTTTTGATATGGAGTCTCGTTCTGTTGCCAGGCTGGTGTGCAGTGGTGCAATCTCGGCTCACTGCAACCTTCATCTCCTGGATTCAAGCAATTCTCCTGCCTCAGCCTCCCAAGTAGCTGGGACTACAAGCACCTGCCACCACGCCCGGCTAATTTTTGTATTTTTAGTAGAGACGGAGTTTCACCACATTGGCCAGGCTGATCTCGAATTCCTGACTTTGTGATCCCGCCTGCCTCCACCTCTCAAAGTGCTGGGATTACAGCCATGAGCCACCGCACCCTGCCCATAGTAATTTTATAATCATCTCATAGTCAAATCTCTCTACAAAATATCGATTTAGATAATAAGTCATAAAGGGTTAAGCTAAAATCGATACCTGTTCCAAAAAGATATTAAACATTCATGAGTTAAATGGGGAATGTGTCTGAAAGGAAGACACATCTCAATGTGCATTAATATAATTCAATAAACAGACAATTAGCACAACGCTTAGCTGTTCAGGATTAACAGTACAGAGGAAAAAATACCACACTCTCTCATAAAACATTTCTAAATAACGGTGCAAGAGTCAGTCATAGTTGATATTTTTATGTTCTCAAGACAGCATCACTGCAATTAAAAAAATTACGTTACCAAAAGGTGAAACTTTACTGATGCCACCAATGTTTGTGTTAATACTTGAATCGCTGTTTTGAAGAAGTAACAACAATGTATTTAAATAAGTCTACTCTATTTTTAAAAATAGATTAGTGGGTTTTAAACTGTGTACTATGAAACCTAAGGTTCCAAGTAGTAACTGCTGTGTTTGGTGATGGGGTGCGGAGGAATTGGGGGAGAGGTAATTTGGTGTAACGTTCATGAGACTCTGAAGGAGAAGCACATTTGTTGTTGCTGTTGTTTAGGTTTCAGGTCAAAGGGCAATGCTGTTAACAACAACAAACACATACAGACAAACAAAAATGAAACTGATAAAAATGAGAGAAGAGGTATATCTTCTCTGTTTTGTCCACCTGTGATAAACACAGTGACTTAAACTGTCAAGGCATTTGCTCTTGACTTGAGATACCCATTGGCATTTGCTCTCAGGGATGGCAGAGCAGCTCCACAACGCTATCAGAAACCCAGTCTCTTTCCTCCCTTCCATGCTTCCTCTCATGCCATGTTGCCTTGTTTCCTATGACTCGTTACGTCAGTGTCCCCAAGTGGCTGTCCTAGATTCAGTGTCACATCCTCGCCGAGTTCCTGTGTTGCGGTGGCACTAGGTTCGTAAGAAGCACATCTATGCTTATGGATGTCCAAGACAGACATGCCTAGATGAGCTTTTCCTGGTCAGATTTGCCGCTGAAGACGCGATTGGGATTCAACAAAGTGATTGGGGTTCAGTAGGAAGTGATGATCACAACCTGTCCAACAGTTCTGCCACAAACACATCCTTAAATTCCAGAGCTGCTCAAGAGGAACTCGTGTTTTCAATACTTTTGAGGGGATAAAAGAATATGAGACCAAGTGAGGTATGAGTCCCAGTGAGGTGAACATAAATCAACACGAATTAGTCACTGAAAGGAGGACTATCTTTTTTTTTTCCCATCAGACTGAATTGTAACAAATAAGAAGACATATCAGAACACACATCAGTTGTAGATGTTGGTCTCCTTTTCAGATGAATGCGGTCTATCCTCCATGTCAGTTTAATTTCTCCAGGAAACAAACACCAAGGCAGAATAAGAAGTGTGAGGTGTATTGAGCGTAGCATTGGTGATAGATGGACGGGGAGAAACAGCAGGAAGGGGCAACCATGCCACAATGCAGGTCTGACACCCGCGAAAGGACAGGCTGAAGGAAGGAAGATCGGAGAGGCAGAGCTCCAGGTGGCAGTGGTGCTCTGAAAAAGCGTTGGCCGGTCCATCAGGGAACTCATAGGAGGGCTACCCATGGACACGTCTCACTCTGAGTAAGATAACCAGACCCAGGACTCCACGCTGTGCTGCAGAAATGCTGTGGCTGGGGACTCCTAGCGTA